>NC_000007.14:60251011-60551011 GCF_000001405.40 Homo sapiens
ATCTGACATAGAACCTGGCACACAGAATGTGGACACTCAAAACATATTTGTTGGATGAATAAATGAGAATTCTCAGTAAATTCTTTGTGTGGTGTGCATTCAACTCACGGAGTGGAACGTCCCTTTAGACAGAGCAGATTTGAAACACTCTTTTTGCGGAATTTGCAAGTGGAGATTTCTAGCCATTTGATGCCAACAGTAGAAAGGGAAATATCTTCAAATAAAAACCAGACAGAATCATTCTCAGAAAATTCTTTGTGATGTGTGCGTTCAACTCACATAGTTTAACCTTTCTTTTCATAGAGCAGTTTGGAAACACTCTGTTTGTAAAGTCTGCAAGTGGATATATGGACCGCATTGAGGCCTTCGTTGCAAACGGGGTTTCTTCCTTTCATGCTAGACAGAAGAATTCTCAGTAACTTCTTTGTGCTGTGTGTATTCAACTCACAGAGTTGAACCTTGCTTTAGAGAGAGCAGATTTGAAACACTCTTGCTGTGGCATTTTCAGGTGGAGATTTCAAGCGATTTGAGGACAATTGCAGAAAAGGAAATATCTTCAAATAATAACCAGACAGAATCATTCTCAGAAAGTGCTTTGTGATGTGTGCGTTGAACTCACAGAGTTTAACCTTTCTTTTCATAGAGGAGTTTGGAAACACACTGTTTGTAAAGTCTGCAATTGGATATATGGACCTGTTTGAGGCCTTCGTTGGAAACGGGATTTCTTCATTGAATGCTATACGGAAGAATTCTCAGTAAATTCTTTGTATTGTGTGCATTCAACTCACAAAGTGGAACGTCCCTTTCGACAGAGCAGATTTGAAACACTCTTTTTGCGGAATTTGCAAGTGGAGATTTCTAGCCATTTGATGCCAACAGTAGAGAGGGAAATGTCTTCAAATAAAAACTAGACAGAATCATTCTCAGAAAATTCTTTGTGATGTGTGCATTCAGCTCACATAGTTTAACCTTTCTTTTCATAGAGCAGTTTCGAAACCCACTGTTTGTAAAATCTGCAAGTGGATATATTGACCGCTTTGAGGCATTCGTTGGAAACGGGATTTCTTCATTTCATGCTAGACAGAAGAATTCTCAGTAACTTCTTTGTGCTGTGTGTATTCAACTCACAGAGTGGAACGTCCCTTTACACAGAGCAGATTTGAAACACTCTTTTTGTGGAGTTTGCAAGTGGAGATTTCAAGCGATTTGATGCCAGCAGTAGAAAAGGAAATATCTTCAAATAAAAACTAGACAGAATCATTCTCAGAAACTACTTTGTGATGTGTGCCTTCAACTCACAGAGTTTAACCTTTCTTTTCTTAGAGTAGTTTAGAAACACTCTGCTTGTTATGTCTGCAAGTGGATATTTGGACCTCTTTGAGGCCTTCGTTGCAAACGGGGTTTCTTCCTTTCATGCTAGACTAAGAAGAGTTCTCAGTAACTTTTTTGTGTTGTGTGTATTCAACTCACAGAGTTGAACCTTGCTTTAGAGAGAGCAGATTTGAAACACTCTTGCTGTGGCATTTTCAGGTGGAGATTTCAAGCGATTTGAGGACAATTGCAGAAAAGGAAATATCTTCGTATAATAACCAGACAGAATCATTCTCAGAAAGTGCTTTGTGATGTGTGCGTTCCACTCACAGAGTTTAACCTTTCTTTTCATAGAGGAGTTTGGAAACACACTGTTTGTAAAGTCTGCAAGTGGATATATGGACCTGTTTGAGGCCTTCGTTGGAAACGGGATTTCTTCATTGAATGCTAGACGGAAGAATTCTCAGTAAATTCTTTGTGTTGTGTGCATTCAACTCACAGAGTGGAACGTCCCTTTAGACAGAGCAGATTTGAAACACTCTTTTTGCGGAATTTGCAAGTGGAGATTTCTAGCCATTTGATGCCAACAGTAGAAAGGGAAATATCTTCAAATAAAAACCAGACAGAATCATCCTCAGAAAATTCTTTGTGATGTGTGCGTTCAACTCACATAGTTTAACCTTTCTTTTCATAGAGCAGTTTGGAAACACTCTGTTGGTAAAGTCTGCAAGTGGATATATGGACCGCATTGAGGCCTTCGTTGGAAACGGGATTTCTTCATTTCATGCTAGACAGAAGAATTCTCAGTAACTTCTTTGTGTTGTGTGTATTCAACTCACAGAGTGGAACGTCCCTTTGCACAGAGCAGATTTGAAACACTCTTTTTGTGGAATTTGCAAGTGGAGATTTCTAGCGATTTGATGCCAACAGTAGAAAAGGAAATATCTTCAAATAAAAACTAGACAGAAATCATTCTCAGAAACTACTTTGTGATGTGTGCCTTCAACTCACAGAGTTTAACCTTTCTTTTCTTAGAGCAGTTTAGAAACACTCTGCTTGTTATGTCTGCAAGTGGATATTTGGACCTCTTTGAGGCCTTCGTTGCAAACGGGGTTTCTTCCTTTCATGCTAGACTAAGAAGAGTTCTCAGTAACTTTTTTGTGTTGTGTGTATTCAACTCACAGAGTTGAACCTTGCTTTAGAGAGAGCAGATTTGAAACACTCTTGCTGTGGCATTTTCAGGTGGAGATTTCAAGCGTTTTGAGGACAATTGCAGAAAAGGAAATATCTTCGTATAATAACCAGACAGAATCATTCTCAGAAAGTGCTTTGTGATGTGTGCGTTCAACTCACAGAGTTTAACCTTTCTTTTCATAGAGGAGTTTGGAAACACACTGTTTGTAAAGTCTGCAATTGGATATATGGACCTGTTTGAGACCTTCGTTGGAAACGGGATTTCTTCATTTCATGCTAGACAGAAGAATTCTCAGTAACTTCTTTGTGCTGTGTGTATTCAACTCACAGAGTGGAACGTCCCTTTGCACAGAGCAGATTTGAAACACTCTTTTTGTGGAGTTTGCAAGTGGAGATTTCAAGCGATTTGATGCCAACAGTAGAAAAGGAAATATCTTCAAATAAAAACTAGACAGAATCATTCTCAGAAACTACTTTGTGATGTGTGCCTTCTACTCACAGAGTTTAACCTTTCTTTTCTTAGAGCAGTTTAGAAACACTCTGCTTGTTATGTCTGCAAGTGGATATTTGGACCTCTTTGAGACCTTCGTTGCAAACGGGGTTTCTTCCTTTAATGCTAGACTAAGAAGAGTTCTCAGTAACTTTTTTGTGTTGTGTGTATTCAACTCACAGAGTTGAACCTTGCTTTAGAGAGAGCAGATTTGAAACACTCTTGCTGTGGAATTTTTAGGGGGAGATTTCAAGCGATTTGAGGACAATTGCAGAAAAGGAAATATCTTCGTATAGTAACCAGACAGAATCATTCTCAGAAAGTGCTTTGTGATGTGTGCGTTCAACTCACAGAGTTTAACCTTTCTTTTCATAGAGGAGTTTGGAAACACACTGTTTGTAAAGTCTGCAATTGGATATATGGACCTGTTTGAGGCCTACGTTGGAAACGGGATTTCTTCATTGAATGCTAGACGGAAGAATTCTCAGTAAATTCTTTGTGTTGTGTGCATTCAACTCACAGAGTGGAACGTCCCTTTAGACAGAGCAGATTTGAAACACTCTTTTTGCGGAATTTGCAAGTGGAGATTTCTAGCCATTTGATGCCAACAGTAGAAAGGGAAATATCTTCAAATAAAAACCAGACAGAATCATTCTCAGAAAATTCTTTGTGATGTGTGCGTTCAACTCACATAGTTTAACCTTTCTTTTCATAGAGCAGTTTGGAAACACTCTGTTTGTAAAGTCTGCAAGTGGATATATGGACCGCATTGAGGCCTTCGTTGGAAACGGGATTTCTTCATTTCATGCTAGACAGAAGAATTCTCAGTAACTTCTTTGTGCTGTGTGTATTCAACTCACAGAGTGGAACGTCCCTTTACACAGAGCAGATTTGAAACACTCTTTTTGTGGAGTTTGCAAGTGGAGATTTCAAGCGATTTGATGCCAACAGTAGAAAAGGAAATATCTTCAAATAAAAACTAGACAGAATCATTCTCAGAAACTACTTTGTGATGTGTGCCTTCAACTCACAGAGTTTAACCTTTCTTTTCTTAGAGCAGTTTAGAAACACTCTGCTTGTTATGTCTGCAAGTGGATATTTGGACCTCTTTGAGGCCTTCGTTGCAAACGGGGTTTCTTCCTTTAATGCTAGACTAAGAAGAGTTCTCAGTAACATTTTTGTGTTGTGTGTATTCAACTCACAGAGTTGAACCCTGCTTTAGAGAGAGCAGATTTGAAACACTCTTGCTGTGGCATTTTCAGGTGGAGATTTCAAGCGATTTGAGGACAATTGCAGAAAAGGAAATATCTTCGTATAACAACCAGACAGAATCATTCTCAGAAAGTGCTTTGTGATGTGTGCGTTCAACTCACAGAGTTTAACCTTTCTTTTCATAGAGGAGTTTGGAAACACACTGTTTGTAAAGTCTGCAATTGGATATATGGACCTGTTTGAGGCCTTCGTTGGAAACGGGATTTCTTCATTGAATGCTAGACGGAAGAATTCTCAGTAAATTCTTTGTGTGGTGTGCATTCAACTCACAGAGTGGAACGTCCCTTTAGACAGAGCAGATTTGAAACACTCTTTTTGCGGAATTTGCAAGTGGAGATTTCTAGCCATTTGATGCCAACAGTAGAAAGGGAAATATCTTCAAATAAAAACCAGACAGAATCATTCTCAGAAAATTCTTTGTGATGTGTGCGTTCAACTCACATAGTTTAACCTTTCTTTTCATAGAGCAGTTTGGAAACACTCTGTTTGTAAAGTCTGCAAGTGGATATATGGACCGCATTGAGGCCTTCGTTGGAAACGGGATTTCTTCATTTCATGCTAGACAGAAGAATTCTCAGTAACTTCTTTGTGCTGTGTGTATTCAACTCACAGAGTGGAACGTCCCTTTAGCACAGAGCAGATTTGAAACACTCTTTTTGTGGAATTTGCAAGTGGAGATTTTCTAGCCGATTTGATGCCAACAGTAGAAAAGGAAATATCTTCAAATAAAAACCAGACAGAATCATTCTCAGAAAATTCTTTGTGATGTGTGCCTTCAACTCACAGAGTTTAACCTTTCTTTTCTTAGAGCAGTTTAGAAACACTCTGCTTGTTATGTCTGCAAGTGGATATTTGGACCTCTTTGAGGCCTTCGTTGCAAACGGGGTTTCTTCCTTTCATGCTAGACTAAGAAGAGTTCTCAGTAACTTTTTTGTGTTGTGTGTATTCAACTCACAGAGCTGAACCTTGCTTTAGAGAGAGCAGATTTGAAACACTCTTGCTGTGGCATTTTCAGGTGGAGATTTCAAGCGATTTGAGGACAATTGCAGAAAAGGAAATATCTTCGTATAACAACCAGACAGAATCATTCTCAGAAAGTGCTTTGTGATGTGTGCGTTCAACTCACAGAGTTTAACCTTTCTTTTCATAGAGGAGTTTGGAAACACACTGTTTGTAAAGTCTGCAAGTGGATATATGGACCTGTTTGAGGCCTTCGTTGGAAACGGGATTTCTTCATTGAATGCTAGACGGAAGAATTCTCAGTAAATTCTTTGTGTTGTGTGCATTCAACTCACAGAGTGGAACGTCCCTTTAGACAGAGCAGATTTGAAACACTCTTTTTGCGGAATTTGCAAGTGGAGATTTCTAGCCATTTGATGCCAACAGTAGAAAGGGAAATATCTTCAAATAAAAACCAGACAGAATCATTCTCAGAAAATTCTTTGTGATGTGTGCGTTCAACTCACATAGTTTAACCTTTCTTTTCATAGAGCAGTTTGGAAACACTCTGTTTGTAAAGTCTGCAAGTGGATATATGGACCGCATTGAGGCCTTCGTTGGAAACGGGATTTCTTCATTTCATGCTAGACAGAGAATTCTCAGTAACTTCTTTGTGCTGTGTGTATTCAACTCACAGAGTGGAACGTCCCTTTACACAGAGCAGATTTGAAACACTCTTTTTGTGGAGTTTGCAAGTGGAGATTTCAAGCGATTTGATGCCAGCAGTAGAAAAGGAAATATCTTCAAATAAAAACTAGACAGAATCATTCTCAGAAACTACTTTGTGATGTGTGCCTTCAACTCACAGAGTTTAACCTTTCTTTTCTTAGAGCAGTTTAGAAACACTCTGCTTGTTATGTCTGCAAGTGGATATTTGGACCTCTTTGAGGCCTTCGTTGCAAACGGGGTTTCTTCCTTTCATGCTAGACTAAGAAGAGTTCTCAGTAACTTTTTTGTGTTGTGTGTATTCAACTCACAGAGTTGAACCTTGCTTTAGAGAGAGCAGATTTGAAACACTCTTGCTGTGGCATTTTCAGGTGGAGATTTCAAGCGATTTGAGGACAATTGCAGAAAAGGAAATATCTTCGTATAATAACCAGACAGAATCATTCTCAGAAAGTGCTTTGTGATGTGTGCGTTCAACTCACAGAGTTTAACCTTTCTTTTCATAGAGGAGTTTGGAAACACACTGTTTGTAAAGTCTGCAATTGGATATATGGACCTGTTTGAGGCCTTCTTTGGAAACGGGATTTCTTCATTGAATGCTAGACGGAAGAATTCTCAGTAAATTCTTTGTGTTGTGTGCATTCAACTCACAGAGTGGAACGTCCCTTTAGACAGAGCAGATTTGAAACACTCTTTTTGCGGAATTTGCAAGTGGAGATTTCTAGCCATTTGATGCCAACAGTAGAAAGGGAAATATCTTCAAATAAAAACCAGACAGAATCATTCTCAGAAAATTCTTTGTGATGTGTGCGTTCAACTCACATAGTTTAACCTTTCTTTTCATAGAGCAGTTTGGAAACACTCTGTTTGTAAAGTCTGCAAGTGGATATATGGACCGCATTGAGGCCTTCGTTGGAAACGGGATTTCTTCATTTCATGCTAGACAGAAGAATTCTCAGTAACTTCTCTGTGCTGTGTGTATTCAACTCACAGACTGGAACGTCCGTTTGCACAGAGCAGATTTGAAACACTCTTTTTGTGGAATTTGCAAGTGGAGATTTCAAGCGATTTGATGCCAACAGTAGAAAAGGAAATATCTTCAAATAAAAACTAGACAGAATCATTCTCAGAAACTACTTTGTGATGTGTGCCTTCAACTCACAGAGTTTAACCTTTCTTTTCTTAGAGCAGTTTAGAAACACTCTGCTTGTTATGTCTGCAAGTGGATATTTGGACCTCTTTGAGGCCTTCGTTGCAAACGGGGTTTCTTCCTTTCATGCTAGACTAAGAAGAGTTCTCAGTAACTTTTTTCTGTTGTGTGTATTCAACTCACAGAGTTGAACCTTGCTTTAGAGAGAGCAGATTTGAAACACTCTTGCTGTGGCATTTTCAGGTGGAGATTTCAAGCGATTTGAGGACAATTGCAGAAAAGGAAATATCTTCGTATAATAACCAGACAGAATCATTCTCAGAAAGTGCTTTGTGATGTGTGCGTTCAACTCACAGAGTTTAACCTTTCTTTTCATAGAGGAGTTTGGAAACACACTGTTTGTAAAGTCTGCAATTGGATATATGGACCTGTTTGAGGCCTTCGTTGGAAACGGGATTTCTTCATTGAATGCTAGACGGAAGAATTCTCAGTAAATTCTTTGTGTTGTGTGCATTCAACTCACAGAGTGGAACGTCCCTTTAGACAGAGCAGATTTGAAACACTCTTTTTGCGGAATTTGCAAGTGGAGATTTCTAGCCATTTGATGCCAACAGTAGAAAGGGAAATATCTTCAAATAAAAACCAGACAGAATCATTCTCAGAAAATTCTTTGTGATGTGTGCGTTCAACTCACATAGTTTAACCTTTCTTTTCATAGAGCAGTTTGGAAACACTCTGTTTGTAAAGTCTGCAAGTGGATATATGGACCACATTGAGGCCTTCGTTGGAAACGGGATTTCTTCATTTCATGCTAGACAGAAGAATTCTCAGTAACTTCTTTGTGCTGTGTGTATTCAACTCACAGAGTGGAACGTCCCTTTGCACAGAGCAGATTTGAAACACTCTTTTTGTGGAATTTGCAAGTGGAGATTTCAAGTGATTTGATGCCAACAGTAGAAAAGGAAATATCTTCAAATAAAAACTAGACAGAATCATTCTCAGAAACTACTTTGTGATGTGTGCCTTCAACTCACAGAGTTTAACCTTTCTTTTCTTAGAGCAGTTTAGAAACACTCTGCTTGTTATGTCTGCAAGTGGATATTTGGACCTCTTTGAGGCCTTCGTTGCAAACGGGGTTTCTTCCTTTAATGCTAGACTAAGAAGAGTTCTCAGTAACTTTTTTGTGTTGTGTGTATTCAACTCACAGAGTTGAACCATGCTTTAGAGAGAGCAGATTTGAAACACTCTTGCTGTGGAATTTTCAGGTGGAGATTTCAAGCGATTTGAGGACAATTGCAGAAAAGGAAATATCTTCGTATAATAACCAGACAGAATCATTCTCAGAAAGTGCTTTGTGATGTGTGCGTTCAACTCACAGAGTTTAACCTTTCTTTTCATAGAGGAGTTTGGAAACACACTGTTTGTAAAGTCTGCAATTGGATATATGGACCTGTTTGAGGCCTTCGTTGGAAACGGGATTTCTTCATTGAATGCTAGACGGAAGAATTCTCAGTAAATTCTTTGTGTGGTGTGCATTCAACTCACAGAGTGGAACGTCCCTTTAGACAGAGCAGATTTGAAACACTCTTTTTGCGGAATTTGCAAGTGGAGATTTCTAGCCATTTGATGCCAACAGTAGAAAGGGAAATATCTTCAAATAAAAACCAGACAGAATCATTCTCAGAAAATTCTTTGTGATGTGTGCGTTCAACTCACATAGTTTAACCTTTCTTTTCATAGAGCAGTTTGGAAACACTCTGTTTGTAAAGTCTGCAAGTGGATATATGGACCGCATTGAGGCCTTCGTTGGAAACGGGATTTCTTCATTTCATGCTAGACAGAAGAATTCTCAGTAACTTCTTTGTGCTGTGTGTATTCAACTCACAGAGTGGAACGTCCCTTTACACAGAGCAGATTTGAAACACTCTTTTTGTGCAGTTTGCAAGTGGAGATTTCAAGCGATTTGATGCCAACAGTAGAAAAGGAAATATCTTCAAATAAAAACTAGACAGAATCATTCTCAGAAACTACTTTGTGATGTGTGCCTTCAACTCACAGAGTTTAACCTTTCTTTTCTTAGAGCAGTTTAGAAACACTCTGCTTGTTATGTCTGCAAGTGGATATTTGGGCCTCTTTGAGGCCTTCGTTGCAAACGGGGTTTCTTCCTTTCATGCTAGACTAAGAAGAGTTCTCAGTAACTTTTTTGTGTTGTGTGTATTCAACTCACAGAGTTGAACCTTGCTTTAGAGAGAGCAGATTTGAAACACTCTTGCTGTGGCATTTTCAGGTGGAGATTTCAAGCGATTTGAGGACAATTGCAGAAAAGGAAATATCTTCGTATAACAACCAGACAGAATCATTCTCAGAAAGTGCTTTGTGATGTGTGCCGTTCAACTCACAGAGTTTAACCTTTCTTTTCATAGAGGAGTTTGGAAACACACTGTTTGTAAAGTCTGCAAGTGGATATATGGACCTGTTTGAGGCCTTCGTTGGAAACGGGATTTCTTCATTGAATGCTAGACGGAAGAATTCTCAGTAAATTCTTTGTGTTGTGTGCATTCAACTCACAGAGTGGAACGTCCCTTTAGACTGAGCAGATTTGAAACACTCTTTTTGCGGAATTTGCAAGTGGAGATTTCTAGCCATTTGCTGCCAACAGTAGAAAGGGAAATATCTTCAAATAAAAACCAGACAGAATCATTCTCAGAAAATTCTTTGTGATGTGTGCGTTCAACTCACATAGTTTAACCTTTCTTTTCATAGAGCAGTTTGGAAACACTCTGTTTGTAAAGTCTGCAAGTGGATATATGGACCGCATTGAGGCCTTCGTTGGAAACGGGATTTCTTCATTTCATGCTAGACAGAAGAATTCTCAGTAACTTCTTTGTGCTGCGTGTATTCAACTCACAGAGTGGAACGTCCCTTTGCACAGAGCAGATTTGAAACACTCTTTTTGTGGAATTTGCAAGTGGAGATTTCAAGCGATTTGATGCCAACAGTAGAAAAGGAAATATCTTCAAATAAAAACTAGACAGAATCATTCTCAGAAACTACTTTGTGATGTGTGCCTTCAACTCACAGAGTTTAACCTTTCTTTTCTTAGAGCAGTTTAGAAACACTCTGCTTGTTATGTCTGCAAGTGGATATTTGGACCTCTTTGAGGCCTTCGTTGCAAACGGGGTTTCTTCCTTTAATGCTAGACTAAGAAGAGTTCTCAGTAACTTTTTTGTGTTGTGTGTATTCAACTCACAGAGCTGAACCTTGCTTTAGAGAGAGCAGATTTGAAACACTCTTGCTGTGGCATTTTCAGGTGGAGATTTCAAGCGATTTGAGGACAATTGCAGAAAAGGAAATATCTTCGTATAACAACCAGACAGAATCATTCTCAGAAAGTGCTTTGTGATGTGTGCATTCAACTCACAGAGTTTAACCTTTCTTTTCATAGAGGAGTTTGGAAACACACTGTTTGTAAAGTCTGCAATTGGATATATGGACCTGTTTGAGGCCTTCGTTGGAAACGGGATTTCTTCATTGAATGCTAGACGGAAGAATTCTCAGTAAATACTTTGTGTTGTGTGCATTCAACTGACAGAGTGGAACGTCCCTTTAGACAGAGCAGATTTGAAACACTCTTTTTGCGGAATTTGCAAGTGGAGATTTCTAGCCATTTGATGCTAACAGTAGAAAGGGAAATATCTTCAAATAAAAACCAGACAGAATCATTCTCAGAAAATTCTTTGTGATGTGTGCGTTCAACTCACATAGTTTAACCTTTCTTTTCATAGAGCAGTTTGGAAACACTCTGTTTGTAAAGTCTGCAAGTGGATATATGGACCGCATTGAGGCCTTCGTTGGAAACGGGATTTCTTCATTTCATGCTAGACAGAAGAATTCTCAGTAACTTCTTTGTGCTGTGTGTATTCAACTCACAGAGTGGAACGTCCCTTTGCACAGAGCAGATTTGAAACACTCTTTTTGTGGAGTTTGCAAGTGGAGATTTCAAGCGATTTGATGCCAACAGTAGAAAAGGAAATTCTTCAAATAAAAACTAGACAGAATCATTCTCAGAAACTACTTTGTGATGTGTGCCTTTAACTCACAGAGTTTAACCTTTCTTTTCTTAGAGCAGTTTAGAAACACTCTGCTTGTTATGTCTGCAAGTGGATATTTGGACCTCTTTGAGGCCTTTGTTGCAAACGGGGTTTCTTCCTTTAATGCTAGACTAAGAAGAGTTCTCAGTAACTTTTTTGTGTTGTGTGTATTCAACTCACAGAGTTGAACCTTGCTTTAGAGAGAGCAGATTTGAAACACTCTTGCTGTGGCATTTTCAGGTGGAGATTTCAAGCGATTTGAGGACAATTGCAGAAAAGGAAATATCTTCGTATAACAACCAGACAGAATCATTCTCAGAAAGTGCTTTGTGATGTGTGCGTTCAACTCACAGAGTTTAACCTTTCTTTTCATAGAGGAGTTTGGAAACACACTGTTTGTAAAGTCTGCAATTGGATATATGGACCTGTTTGAGGCCTTCGTTGGAAACGGGATTTCTTCATTGAATGCTAGACGGAAGAATTCTCAGTAAATTCTTTGTGTTGTGTGCATTCAACTCACAGAGTGGAACGTCCCTTTAGACAGAGCAGATTTGAAACACTCTTTTTGCGGAATTTGCAAGTGGAGATTTCTAGCCATTTGATGCCAACAGTAGAAAGGGAAATATCTTCAAATAAAAACCAGACAGAATCATTCTCAGAAAATTCTTTGTGATGTGTGCGTTCAACTCACACAGTTTAACCTTTCTTTTCTTAGAGCAGTTTAGAAACACTCTGCTTGTTATGTCTGCAAGTGGATATTTGGACCTCTTTGAGGCCTTCGTTGCAAACGGGGTTTCTTCCTTTCATGCTAGACTAAGAAGAGTTCTCAGTAACTTTTTTGTGTTGTGTGTATTCAACTCACAGAGTTGAACCTTGCTTTAGAGAGAGCAGATTTGAAACACTCTTGCTGTGGCATTTTCAGGTGGAGATTTCAAGCGATTTGAGGACAATTGCAGAAAAGGAAATGTCTTCGTATAATAACCAGACAGAATCATTCTCAGAAAGTGCTTTGTGATGTGTGCGTTCAACTCACAGAGTTTAACCTTTCTTTTCATAGAGGAGTTTGGAAACACACTGTTTGTAAAGTCTGCAAGTGGATATATGGACCTGTTTGAGGCCTTCGTTGGAAACGGGATTTTATCATATAATGCTAGACGGAAGAATTCTCAGTAAATTCTTTGTGTTGTGTGCATTCAACTGACAGAGTGGAACGTCCCTTTAGACAGAGCAGATTTGAAACACTCTTTTTGCGGAATTTGCAAGTGGAGATTTCTAGCCATTTGATGCCAACAGTAGAAAGGGAAATATCTTCAAATAAAAACCAGACAGAATCATTCTCAGAAAATTCTTTGTGATGTGTGCGTTCAAATCACATAGTTTAACCTTTCTTTTCATAGAGCAGTTTGGAAACACTCTGTTTGCAAAGTCTGCAAGTGGATATATGGACCGCATTGAGGCCTTCGTTGGAAACGGGATTTCTTCATTTCATGCTAGACAGAAGAATTCTCAGTAACTTCTTTGTGCTGTGTGTATTCAACTCACAGAGTGGAACGTCCCTTTGCACAGAGCAGATTTGAAACACTCTTTTTGTGGAGTTTGCAAGTGGAGATTTCAAGCGATTTGATGCCAACAGTAGAAAAGGAAATATCTTCAAATAAAAACTAGACAGAATCATTCTCAGAAAATTCTTTGTGATGTGTGCGTTCAACTCACAGAGTTTAACCTTTCTTTTCATAGAGGAGTTTGGAAACACACTGTTTGTAAAGTCTGCAAGTGGATATATGGACCTGTTTGAGGCCTTCATTGGAAACGGGATTTCTTCATTGAATGCTAGACGGAAGAATTCTCAGTAAATTCTTTGTGTTGTGTGCATTCAACTCACAGAGTGGAACGTCCCTTTAGACAGAGCAGATTTGAAACACTCTTTTTGCGGAATTTGCAAGTGGAGATTTCTAGCCATTTGATGGCCAACAGTAGAAAGGGAAATATCTTCAAATAAAAACCAGACAGAATCATTCTCAGAAAATTCTTTGTGATGTGTGCGTTCAACTCACAATAGTATAACCTTTCTTTTCATAGAGCAGTTTGGAAACACTCTGTTTGTAAAGTCTGCAAGTGGATATATGGACCGCATTGAGGCCTTCGTTGGAAACGGGATTTCTTCATTTCATGCTAGACAGAAGAATTCTCAGTAACTTCTTTGTGCTGTGTGTATTCAACTCACAGAGTGGAACGTCCCTTTGCACAGAGCAGATTTGAAACACTCTTTTTGTGGAGTTTGCAAGTGGAGATTTCAAGCGATTTGATGCCAACAGTAGAAAAGGAAATATCTTCAAATAAAAACTAGACAGAATCATTCTCAGAAACTACTTTGTGATGTGTGCCTTCAACTCAGAGTTTAATCTTTCTTTTCTTAGAGCAGTTTAGAAACACTCTGCTTGTTATGTCTGCAAGTGGATATTTGGACCTCTTTGAGGCCTTCGTTGCAAACGGGGTTTCTTCCTTTAATGCTAGACTAAGAAGAGTTCTCAGTAACTTTTTTGTGTTGTGTGTATTCAACTCACAGAGTTGAACCTTGCTTTAGAGAGAGCAGATTTGAAACACTCTTGCTGTGGCATTTTCAGGTGGAGATTTCAAGCGATTTGAGGACAATTGCAGAAAAGGAACTACTTCGTATAATAACCAGACAGAATCATTCTCAGAAAGTGCTTTGTGATGTGTGCGTTCAACTCACAGAGTTTAACCTTTCTTTTCATAGAGGAGTTTGGAAACACACTGTTTGTAAAGTCTGCAATTGGATATATGGACCTGTTTGAGGCCTTCGTTGGAAACGGGATTTCTTCATTGAATGCTAGACGGAAGAATTCTCAGTAAATTCTTTGTGTTGTGTGCATTCAACTCACAGAGTGGAACGTCCCTTTAGACAGAGCAGATTTGAAACACTCTTTTTGCGGAATTTGCAAGTGGAGATTTCTAGCCATTTGATGCCAACAGTAGAAAGGGAAATATCTTCAAATAAAAACCAGACAGAATCATTCTCAGAAAATTCTTTGTGATGTGTGCGTTCAACTCACATAGTTTAACCTTTCTTTTCATAGAGCAGTTTGGAAACACTCTGTTTGTAAAGTCTGCAAGTGGATATATGGACCGCATTGAGGCCTTCGTTGGAAACGGGATTTCTTCATTTCATGCTAGACAGAAGAATTCTCAGTAACTTCTTTGTGCTGTGTGTATTCAACTCACAGAGTGGAACGTCCCTTTGCACAGAGCAGATTTGAAACACTCTTTTTGTGGAGTTTGCAAGTGGAGATTTCAAGCGATTTGATGCCAACAGTAGAAAAGGAAATATCTTCAAATAAAAACTAGACAGAATCATTCTCAAAAACTACTTTGTGATGTGTGCCTTCAACTCACAGAGTTTAACCTTTCTTTTCTTAGAGCAGTTTAGAAACACTCTGCTTGTTATGTCTGTAAGTGGATATTTGGACCTCTTTGAGGCCTTCGTTGCAAACGGGGTTTCTTCCTTTCATGCTAGACTAAGAAGAGTTCTCAGTAACTTTTTTGTGTTGTGTGTATTCAACTCACAGAGCTGAACCTTGCTTTAGAGAGAGCAGATTTGAAACACTCTTGCTGTGGCATTTTCAGGTGGAGATTTCAAGCGATTTGAGGACAATTGCAGAAAAGGAAATATCTTCGTATAACAACCAGACAGAATCATTCTCAGAAAGTGCTTTGTGATGTGTGCATTCCACTCACAGAGTTTAACCTTTCTTTTCATAGAGGAGTTTGGAAACACACTGTTTGTAAAGTCTGCAAGTGGATATATGGACCTGTTTGAGGCCTTCGTTGGAAACGGGATTTCTTCATTGAATGCTAGACGGAAGAATTCTCAGTAAATTCTTTGTGTTGTGTGCATTCAACTCACAGAGTGGAACGTCCCTTTAGACAGAGCAGATTTGAAACACTCTTTTTGCGGAATTTGCAAGTGGAGATTTCTAGCCATTTGATGCCAACAGTAGAAAGGGAAATATCTTCAAATAAAAACCAGACAGAATCATTCTCAGAAAATTCTTTGTGATGTGTGCGTTCAACTCACATAGTTTAACCTTTCTTTTCATAGAGCAGTTTGGAAACACTCTGTTTGTAAAGTCTGCAAGTGGATATATGGACCGCATTGAGGCCTTCGTTGCAAACGGGGTTTCTTCCTTTCATGCTAGACAGAAGAATTCTCAGTAACTTCTTTGTGCTGTGTGTATTCAACTCACAGAGTGGAACGTCCCTTTGCACAGAGCAGATTTGAAACACTCTTTTTGTGGAATTTGCAAGTGGAGATTTCAAGCGATTTGATGCCAACAGTAGAAAAGGAAATATCTTCAAATAAAAACTAGACAGAATCATTCTCAGAAACTACTTTGTGATGTGTGCCTTCAACTCACAGAGTTTAACCTTTCTTTTCTTAGAGCAGTTTAGAAACACTCTGCTTGTTATGTCTGCAAGTGGATATTTGGACCTCTTTGAGGCCTTCGTTGCAAACGGGGTTTCTTCCATTAATGCTAGACTAAGAAGAGTTCTCAGTAACTTTTTTGTGTTGTGTGTATTCAACTCACAGAGTTGAACCTTGCTTTAGAGAGAGCAGATTTGAAACACTCTTGCTGTGGCATTTTCAGGTGGAGATTTCAAGCGATTTGAGGACAATTGCAGAAAAGGAAATATCTTCGTATAATAACCAGACAGAATCATTCTCAGAAAGTGCTTTGTGATGTGTGCGTTCAACTCACAGAGTTTAACCTTTCTTTTCATAGAGGAGTTTGGAAACACACTGTTTGTAAAGTCTGCAATTGGATATATGGACCTGTTTGAGGCCTTCGTTGGAAACGGGATTTCTTCATTGAATGCTAGACGGAAGAATTCTCAGTAAATTCTTTGTGTTGTGTGCATTCAACTCGAGCAGAGTGGAACGTCCCTTTAGACAGAGCAGATTTGAAACACTCTTTTTTCGGAATTTGCAAGTGGAGATTTCTAGCCATTTGATGCCAACAGTAGAAAGGGAAATATCTTCAAATAAAAACCAGACAGAATCATTCTCAGAAAATTCTTTGTGATGTGTGCGTTCAACTCACATAGTTTAACCTTTCTTTTCATAGAGCAGTTTGGAAACACTCTGTTTGTAAAGTCTGCAAGTGGATATATGGACCGCATTGAGGCCTTCGTTGGAAACGGGATTTCTTCATTTCATGCTAGACAGAAGAATTCTCAGTAACTTCTTTGTGCTGTGTGTATTCAACTCACAGAGTGCAACGTCCCATTACACAGAGCAGATTTGAAACACTCTTTTTGTGGAATTTGCAAGTGGAGATTTCAAGCGATTTGATGCCAACAGTAGAAGAGGAAATATCTTCAAATAAAAACTAGACAGAATCATTCTCAGAAACTACTTTGTGATGTGTGCCTTCAACTCGCAGAGTTTAACCTTTCTTTTCTTAGAGCAGTTTAGAAACACTCTGCTTGTTATGTCTGCAAGTGGATATTTGGACCTCTTTGAGGCCTTCGTTGCAAACGGGATTTCTTCCTTTAATGCTAGACTAAGAAGAGTTCTCAGTAACTTTTTTGTGTTGTGTGTATTCAACTCACAGAGTTGAACCTTGCTTTAGAGAGAGCAGATTTGAAACACTCTTGCTGTGGCATTTTCAGGTGGAGATTTCAAGCGATTTGAGGACAATTGCAGAAAAGGAAATATCTTCGTTTAATAACCAGACAGAATCATTCTCAGAAAGTGCTTTGTGATGTGTACGTTCCACTCACAGAGTTTAACCTTTCTTTTCATAGAGGAGTTTGGAAACACACTGTTTGTAAAGTCTGCAATTGGATATATGGACCTGTTTGAGGCCTTCGTTGGAAACGGGATTTCTTCATTGAATGCTAGACGGAAGAATTCTCAGTAAATTCTTTGTGTTGTGTGCATTCAACTCACAGAGTGGAACGTCCCTTTAGACAGAGCAGATTTGAAACACTCTTTTTGCGGAATTTGCAAGTGGAGATTTCTAGCCATTTGATGCCAACAGTAGAAAGGGAAATATCTTCAAATAAAAACCAGACAGAATCATTCTCAGAAAATTCTTTGTGATGTGTGCGTTCAACTCACATAGTTTAACCTTTCTTTTCATAGAGCAGTTTGGAAACACTCTGTTTGTAAAGTCTGCAAGTGGATCTATGGACCGCATTGAGGCCTTCGTTGGAAACGGGATTTCTTCATTTCATGCTAGACAGAAGAATTCTCAGTAACTTCTTTGTGCTGTGTGTATTCAACTCACAGAGTGGAACGTCCCTTTACACAGAGCAGATTTGAAACACTCTTTTTCTGGAGTTTGCAAGTGGAGATTTCAAGCGATTTGATGCCAACAGTAGAAAATGAAATATCTTCAAATAAAAACTAGACAGAATCATTCTCAGAAACTACTTTGTGATGTGTGCCTTCAACTCACAGAGTTTAACCTTTCTTTTCTTAGAGCAGTTTAGAAACACTCTGCTTGTTATGTCTGCAAGTGGATATTTGGACCTCTTTGAGGCCTTCGTTGCAAAAGGGGTTTCTTCCTTTAATGCTAGACTAAGAAGAGTTCTCAGTAACTTTTTTGTGTTGTGTGTATTCAACTCACAGAGTTGAACCTTGCTTTAGAGAGAGCAGATTTGAAACACTCTTGCTGTGGCATTTTCAGGTGGAGATTTCAAGCGATTTGAGGACAATTGCAGAAAAGGAAATATCTTCGTATAATAACCAGACAGAATCATTCTCAGAAAGTGCTTTGTGATGTGTGCGTTCCACTCACAGAGTTTAACCTTTCTTTTCATAGAGGAGTTTGGAAACACACTGTTTGTAAAGTCTGCAAGTGGATATATGGACCTGTTTGAGGCCTTCGTTGGAAACGGGATTTCTTCATTGAATGCTAGACGGAAGAATTCTCAGTAAATTCTTTGTGTTGTGTGCATTCAACTCACAGAGTGGAACGTCCCTTTAGACAGAGCAGATTTGAAACACTCTTTTTGCGGAATTTGCAAGTGGAGATTTCTAGCCATTTGATGCCAACAGTAGAAAGGGAAATATCTTCAAATAAAAACCAGACAGAATCATTCTCAGAAAATTCTTTGTGATGTGTGCGTTCAACTCACATAGTTTAACCTTTCTTTTCATAGAGCAGTTTGGAAACACTCTGTTTGTAAAGTCTGCAAGTGGATATATGGACCGCATTGAGGCCTTCGTTGGAAACGGGATTTCTTCATTCATGCTAGACAGAAGAATTCTCAGTAACTTCTTTGTGCTGTGTGTATTCAACTCACAGAGTGGAACGTCCCTTTGCACAGAGCAGATTTGAAACACTCTTTTTGTGGAGTTTGCAAGTGGAGATTTCAAGCGATTTGATGCCAACAGTAGAAAAGGAAATATCTTCAAATAAAAACTAGACAGAATCATTCTCAGAAACTACTTTGTGATGTGTGCCTTCAACTCACAGAGTTTAACCTTTCTTTTCTTAGAGCAGTTTAGAAACACTCTGCTTGTTATGTCTGCAAGTGGATATTTGGACCTACTTTGAGGCCTTCGTTGCAAACGGGGTTTCTTCCTTTAATGCTAGACTAAGAAGAGTTCTCAGTAACTTTTTTGTGTTGTGTGTATTCAACTCACAGAGTTGAACCTTGCTTTAGAGAGAGCAGATTTGAAACACTCTTGCTGTGGCATTTTCAGGTGGAGATTTCAAGCGATTTGAGGACAATTGCAGAAAAGGAAATATCTTCGTATAATAACCAGACAGAATCATTCTCAGAAAGTGCTTTGTGATGTGTGCGTTCCACTCACAGAGTTTAACCTTTCTTTTCATAGAGGAGTTTGGAAACACACTGTTTGTAAAGTCTGCAAGTGGATATATGGACCTCTTTGAGGCCTTCGTTGGAAACGGGATTTCTTCATTGAATGCTAGACGGAAGAATTCTCAGTAAATTCTTTGTGTTGTGTGCATTCAACTCACAGAGTGGAACGTCCCTTTAGACAGAGCAGATTTGAAACACTCTTTTTGCGGAATTTGCAAGTGGAGATTTCTAGCCATTTGATGCCAACAGTAGAAAGGGAAATATTTTCAAATAAAAACCAGACAGAATCATTCTCAGAAAATTCTTTGTGATGTGTGCGTTCAACTCACATAGTTTAACCTTTCTTTTCATAGAGCAGTTTGGAAACACTCTGTTTGTAAAGTCTGCAAGTGGATATATGGACCGCATTGAGGCCTTCGTTGGAAACGGGATTTCTTCATTTCATGCTAGACAGAAGAATTCTCAGTAACTTCTTTGTGCTGTGTGTATTCAACTCACAGAGTGGAACGTCCCTTTACACAGAGCAGATTTGAAAAACTCTTTTTGTGGAGTTTGCAAGTGGAGATTTCAAGCGATTTGATGCCAACAGTAGAAAAGGAAATATCTTCAAATAAAAACTAGACAGAATCATTCTCAGAAACTACTTTGTGATGTGTGCCTTCAACTCACAGAGTTTAACCTTTCTTTTCTTAGAGCAGTTTAGAAACACTCTGCTTGTTATGTCTGCAAGTGGATATTTGGACCTCTTTGAGGCCTTCG
This sequence comes from Homo sapiens, assembly GCF_000001405.40. Lineage (NCBI taxonomy): Eukaryota > Metazoa > Chordata > Mammalia > Primates > Hominidae > Homo > Homo sapiens. Next base: position 60,270,801 of record NC_000007.14, read on the forward strand.
TTGCAAACGGGGTTTCTTCCTTTAATGCTAGACTAAGAAGAGTTCTCAGTAACTTTTTTGTGTTGTGTGTATTCAACTCACAGAGTTGAACCTTGCTTTAGAGAGAGCAGATTTGAAACACTCTTGCTGTGGCATTTTCAGGTGGAGATTTCAAGCGTTTTGAGGACAATTGCAGAAAAGGAAATATCTTCGTATAATAACCAGACAGAATCATTCTCAGAAAGTGCTTTGTGATGTGTGCGTTCCACTCACAGAGTTTAACCTTTCTTTTCATAGAGGAGTTTGGAAACACACTGTTTGTAAAGTCTGCAAGTGGATATATGGACCTGTTTGAGGCCTTCGTTGGAAACGGGATTTCTTCATTGAATGCTAGACGGAAGAATTCTCAGTAAATTCTTTGTGTTGTGTGCATTCAACTCACAGAGTGGAACGTCCCTTTAGACAGAGCAGATTTGAAACACTCTTTTTGCGGAATTTGCAAGTGGAGATTTCTAGCCATTTGATGCCAACAGTAGAAAGGGAAATATCTTCAAATAAAAACCAGACAGAATCATTCTCAGAAAATTGTTTGTGATGTGTGCGTTCAACTCACATAGTTTAACCTTTCTTTTCATAGAGCAGTTTGGAAACACTCTGTTTGTAAAGTCTGCAAGTGGATATATGGACCGCATTGAGGCCTTCGTTGGAAACGGGATTTCTTCATTTCATGCTAGACAGAAGAATTCTCAGTAACTTCTTTGTGCTGTGTGTATTCAACTCACAGAGTGGAACGTCCCTTTACACAGAGCAGATTTGAAACACTCTTTTTGTGGAGTTTGCAAGTGGAGATTTCAAGCGATTTGATGCCAACAGTAGAAAAGGAAATATCTTCAAATAAAAACTAGACAGAATCATTCTCAGAAACTACTTTGTGATGTGTGCCTTCAACTCACAGAGTTTAACCTTTCTTTTCTTAGAGCAGTTTAGAAACACTCTGCTTGTTATGTCTGCAAGTGGATATTTGGACCTCTTTGAGGCCTTCGTTGCAAACGGGGTTTCTTCCTTTCATGCTAGACTAAGAAGAGTTCTCAGTAACTTTTTTGTGTTGTGTGTATTCAACTCACAGAGTTGAACCTTGCTTTAGAGAGAGCAGATTTGAAAAACTCTTGCTGTGGCATTTTCAGGTGGAGATTTCAAGCGATTTGAGGACAATTGCAGAAAAGGAAATATCTTCGTATAACAACCAGACAGAATCATTCTCAGAAAGTGCTTTGTGATGTGTGCGTTCAACTCACAGAGTTTAACCTTTCTTTTCATAGAGGAGTTTGGAAACACACTGTTTGTAAAGTCTGCAATTGGATATATGGACCTGTTTGAGGCCTTCGTTGGAAACGGGATTTCTTCATTGCATGCTAGACGGAAGAATTCTCAGTAAATTCTTTGTGTTGTGTGCATTCAACTCACAGAGTGGAACGTCCCTTTAGACAGAGCAGATTTGAAACACTCTTTTTGCGGAATTTGCAAGTGGAGATTTCTAGCCATTTGATGCCAACAGTAGAAAGGGAAATATCTTCAAATAAAAACCAGACAGAATCATTCTCAGAAAATTCTTTGTGATGTGTGCGTTCAACTCACATAGTTTAACCTTTCTTTTCATAGAGCAGTTTGGAAACACTCTGTTTGTAAAGTCTGCAAGTGGATATATGGACCGCATTGAGGCCTTCGTTGCAAACGGGGTTTCTTCCTTTCATGCTAGACAGAAGAATTCTCAGTAACTTCTTTGTGCTGTGTGTATTCAACTCACAGAGTGGAACGTCCCTTTACACAGAGCAGATTTGAAACACTCTTTTTGTGGAGTTTGCAAGTGGAGATTTCAAGCGATTTGATGCCAACAGTAGAAAAGGAAATATCTTCAAATAAAAACTAGACAGAATCATTCTCAGAAACTACTTTGTGATGTGTGCCTTTAACTCACAGAGTTTAACCTTTCTTTTCTTAGAGCAGTTTAGAAACACTCTGCTTGTTATGTCTGCAAGGGGATATTTGGACCTCTTTGAGGCCTTCGTTGCAAACGGGGTTTCTTCCTTTCATGCTAGACTAAGAAGTGTTCTCAGTAACTTTTTTGTGTTGTGTGTATTCAACTCACAGAGTTGAACCTTGCTTTAGAGAGAGCAGATTTGAAACACTCTTGCTGTGGCATTTTCAGGTGGAGATTTCAAGCGATTTGAGGACAATTGCAGAAAAGGAAATATCTTCGTATAATAACCAGACAGAATCATTCTCAGAAAGCGCTTTGTGATGTGTGCGTTCCACTCACAGAGTTTAACCTTTCTTTTCATAGAGGAGTTTGGAAACACACTGTTTGTAAAGTCTGCAAGTGGATATATGGACCTGTTTGAGGCCTTCGTTGGAAACGGGATTTCTTCATTGAATGCTAGACGGAAGAATTCTCAGTAAATTCTTTGTGTTGTGTGCATTCAACTCACAGAGTGGAACGTCCCTTTAGACAGAGCAGATTTGAAACACTCTTTTTGCGGAATTTGCAAGTGGAGATTTCTAGCCATTTGATGCCAACAGTAGAAAGGGAAATATACTTCAAATAAAAACCAGGCAGAATCATTCTCAGAAAATTCTTTGTGATGTGTGCGTTCAACTCACATAGTTTAACCTTTCTTTTCATAGAGCAGTTTGGAAACACTCTGTTTGTAAAGTCTGCAAGTGGATATATGGACCGCATTGAGGCCTTCGTTGGAAACGGGATTTCTTCATTTCATGCTAGACAGAAGAATTCTCAGTAACTTCTTTGTGCTGTGTGTATTCAACTCACAGAGTGGAACGTCCCTTTACACAGAGCAGATTTGAAACACTCTTTTTGTGGAGTTTGTAAGTGGAGATTTCAAGCGATTTGATGCCAACAGTAGAAAAGGAAATATCTTCAAATAAAAACTAGACAGAATCATTCTCAGAAACTACTTCGTGATGTGTGCCTTCAACTCACAGAGTTTAACCTTTCTTTTCTTAGAGCAGTTTAGAAACACTCTGCTTGTTATGTCTGCAAGTGGATATTTGGACCTCTTTGAGGCCTTCGTTGCAAACGGGGTTTCTTCCTTTCATGCTAGACTAAGAAGAGTTCTCAGTAACTTTTTTGTGTTGTGTGTATTCAACTCACAGAGTTGAACCTTGCTTTAGAGAGAGCAGATTTGAAACACTCTTGCTGTGGCATTTTCAGGTGGAGATTTCAAGCGATTTGAGGACAATTGCAGAAAAGGAAATATCTTCGTATAATAACCAGACAGAATCATTCTCAGAAAGTGCTTTGTGATGTGTGCGTTCAACTCACAGAGTTTAACCTTTCTTTTCATTGAGGAGTTTGGAAACACACTGTTTGTAAAGTCTGCAATTGGATATATGGACCTGTTTGAGGCCTTCGTTGGAAACGGGATTTCTTCATTGAATGCTAGACGGAAGAATTCTCAGTAAATTCTTTGTGTTGTGTGCATTCAACTCACAGAGTGGAACGTCCCTTTAGACAGAGCAGATTTGAAACACTCTTTTTGCGGAATTTGCAAGTGGAGATTTCTAGCCATTTGATGCCAACAGTAGAAAGGGAAATATCTTCAAATAAAAACCAGACAGAATCATTCTCATAAAATTCTTTGTGATGTGTGCGTTCAAATCACATAGTTTAACCTTTCTTTTCATAGAGCAGTTTGGAAACACTCTGTTTGCAAAGTCTGCAAGTGGATATATGGACCGCATTGAGGCCTTCGTTGGAAACGGGATTTCTTCATTTCATGCTAGACAGAAGAATTCTCAGTAACTTCTTTGTGCTGTGTGTATTCAACTCACAGAGTGGAACGTCCCTTTGCACAGAGCAGATTTGAAACACTCTTTTTGTGGAATTTGCAAGTGGAGATTTCAAGCGATTTGATGCCAACAGTAGAAAAGGAAATATCTTCAAATAAAAACTAGACAGAATCATTCTCAGAAACTACTTTGTGATGTGTGCCTTCAACTCACAGAGTTTAACCTTTCTTTTCTTAGAGCAGTTTAGAAACACTCTGCTTGTTATGTCTGCAAGTGGATATTTGGACCTCTTTGAGGCCTTCGTTGCAAACGGGGTTTCTTCCTTTAATGCTAGACTAAGAAGAGTTCTCAGTAACTTTTTTGTGTTGTGTGTATTCAACTCACAGAGCTGAACCTTGCTTTAGAGAGAGCAGATTTGAAACACTCTTGCTGTGGCATTTTCAGGTGGAGATTTCAAGCGATTTGAGGACAATTTCAGAAAAGGAAATATCTTCGTATAACAACCAGACAGAATCATTCTCAGAAAGTGCTTTGTGATGTGTGCGTTCAACTCACAGAGTTTAACTTTTCTTTCCATAGAGGAGTTTGGAAACACACTGTTTGTAAAGTCTGCAAGTGGATATATGGACCTGTTTGAGGCCTTCGTTGGAAACGGGATTTCTTCATTGAATGCTAGACGGAAGAATTCTCAGTAAATTCTTTGTGTTGTGTGCATTCAACTCACAGAGTGGAACGTCCCTTTAGACAGAGCAGATTTGAAACACTCTTTTTGCGGAATTTGCAAGTGGAGATTTCTAGCCATTTGATGCCAACAGTAGAAAGGGAAACATCTTCAAATAAAAACCAGACAGAATCATTCTCAGAAAATTCTTTGTGATGTGTGCGTTCAACTCACATAGTTTAACCTTTCTTTTCATAGAGCAGTTTGGAAACACTCTGTTTGTAAAGTCTGCAAGTGGATATATGGACCGCATTGAGGCCTTCGTTGGAAACGGGATTTCTTCATTTCATGCTAGACAGAAGAATTCTCAGTAACTTCTTTGTGCTGTGTGTATTCAACTCACAGAGTGGAACGTCCCTTTACACAGAGCAGATTTGAAACACTCTTTTTGTGGAGTTTGCAAGTGGAGATTTCAAGCGATTTGATGCCAACAGTAGAAAAGGAAATATCTTCAAATAAAAACTAGTCAGAATCATTCTCAGAAACTACTTTGTGATGTGTGCCTTCAACTCACAGAGTTTAACCTTTCTTTTCTTAGAGCAGTTTAGAAACACTCTGCTTGTTATGTCTGCAAGTGGATATTTGGACCTCTTTGAGGCCTTCGTTGCAAACGGGGTTTCTTCCTTTCATGCTAGACTAAGAAGAGTTCTCAGTAACTTTTTTGTGTTGTGTGTATTCAACTCACAGAGTTGAACCTTGCTTTAGAGAGAGCAGATTTGAAACACTCTTGCTGTGGCATTTTCAGGTGGAGATTTCAAGCGATTTGAGGACAATTGCAGAAAAGGAAATATCTTCGTATAATAACCAGACAGAATCATTCTCAGAAAGTGCTTTGTGATGTGTGCGTTCCACTCACAGAGTTTAACCTTTCTTTTCATAGAGGAGTTTGGAAACACACTGTTTGTAAAGTCTGCAAGTGGATATATGGACCTGTTTGAGGCCTTCGTTGGAAACGGGATTTCTTCATTGAATGCTAGACGGAAGAATTCTCAGTAAATTCTTTGTGTTGTGTGCATTCAACTCACAGAGTGGAACGTCCCTTTAGACAGAGCAGATTTGAAACACTCTTTTTGCGGAATTTGCAAGTGGAGATTTCTAGCCATTTGATGCCAACAGTAGAAAGGGAAACATCTTCAAATAAAAACCAGACAGAATCATTCTCAGAAAATTCTTTGTGATGTGTGCGTTCAACTCACATAGTTTAACCTTTCTTTTCATAGAGCAGTTTGGAAACACTCTGTTTGTAAAGTCTGCAAGTGGATATATGGACCGCATTGAGGCCTTCGTTGGAAACGGGATTTCTTCATTTCATGCTAGACAGAAGAATTCTCAGTAACTTCTTTGTGCTGTGTGTATTCAACTCACAGAGTGGAACATCCCTTTGCACAGAGCAGATTTGAAACACTCTTTTTGTGGAGTTTGCAAGTGGAGATTTCAAGCGATTTGATGCCAACAGTAGAAAAGGAAATATCTTCAAATAAAAACTAGACAGAATCATTCTCAGAAACTACTTTGTGATGTGTGCCTTCAACTCACAGAGTTTAACCTTTCTTTTCTTAGAGCAGTTTAGAATCACTCTGCTTGTTATGTCTGCAAGTGGATATTTGGACCTCTTTGAGGCCTTCGTTGCAAACGGGGTTTCTTCCTTTAATGCTAGACTAAGAAGAGTTCTCAGTAACTTTTTTGTGTTGTGTGTATTCAACTCACAGAGTTGAACCTTGCTTTAGAGAGAGCAGATTTGAAACACTCTTGCTGTGGCATTTTCAGGTGGAGATTTCAAGCGATTTGAGGACAATTGCAGAAAAGGAAATATCTTCGTATAATAACCAGACAGAATCATTCTCAGAAAGTGCTTTGTGTTGTGTGCGTTCAACTCACAGAGTTTAACCTTTCTTTTCATAGAGGAGTTTGGAAACACACTGTTTGTAAAGTCTGCAATTGGATATATGGACCTGTTTGAGGCCTTCGTTGGAAACGGGATTTCTTCATTGAATGCTAGACGGAAGAATTCTCAGTAAATTCTTTGTGTTGTGTGCATTCAACTGACAGAGTGGAACGTCCCTTTAGACAGAGCAGATTTGAAACACTCTTTTTGCGGAATTTGCAAGTGGAGATTTCTAGCCATTTGATGCCAACAGTAGAAAGGGAAATATCTTCAAATAAAAACCAGACAGAATCATTCTCAGAAAATTCTTTGTGATGTGTGCGTTCAACTCACATAGTTTAACCTTTCTTTTCATAGAGCAGTTTGGAAACACTCTGTTTGTAAAGTCTGCAAGTGGATCTATGGACCGCATTGAGGCCTTCGTTGGAAACGGGATTTCTTCATTTCATGCTAGACAGAAGAATTCTCAGTAACTTCTTTGTGCTGTGTGTATTCAACTCACAGAGTGCAACGTCCCTTTACACAGAGCAGATTTGAAACACTCTTTTTGTGGAGTTTGCAAGTGGAGATTTCAAGCGATTTTATGCCAACAGTAGAAAAGGAAATATCTTCAAATAAAAACTAGACAGAATCATTCTCAGAAACTACTTTGTGATGTGTGCCTTCAACTCACAGAGTTTAACCTTTCTTTTCTTAGAGCAGCTTAGAAACACTCTGCTTGTTATGTCTGCAAGTGGATATTTGGACCTCTTTGAGGCCTTCGTTGCAAACGGGGTTTCTTCCTTTAATGCTAGACTAAGAAGAGTTCTCAGTAACTTTTTTGTGTTGTGTGTATTCAACTCACAGAGTTGAACCTTGCTTTAGAGAGAGCAGATTTGAAACACTCTTGCTGTGGCATTTTCAGGTGGAGATTTCAAGCGATTTGAGGACAATTGCAGAAACGGAAATATCTTCGTATAATAACCAGACAGAATCATTCTCAGAAAGTGCTTTGTGATGTGTGCGTTCAACTCACAGAGTTTAACCTTTCTTTTCATAGAGGAGTTTGGAAACACACTGTTTGTAAAGTCTGCAATTGGATATATGGACCTGTTTGAGGCCTCCGTTGGAAACGGGATTTCTTCATTGAATGCTAGACGGAAGAATTCTCAGTAAATTCTTTGTGTTGTGTGCATTCAACTCACAGAGTGGAACGTCCCTTTAGACAGAGCAGATTTGAAACACTCTTTTTGCGGAATTTGCAAGTGGAGATTTCTAGCCATTTGATGCCAACAGTAGAAAGGGAAATATCTTCAAATAAAAACCAGACAGAATCATTCTCAGAAAATTCTTTGTGATGTGTGCGTTCAACTCACATAATTTAACCTTTCTTTTCATAGAGCAGTTTGGAAACACTCTGTTTGTAAAGTCTGCAAGTGGATATATGGACCGCATTGAGGCCTTCGTTGGAAACGGGATTTCTTCATTTCATGCTAGACAGAAGAATTCTCAGTAACTTCTTTGTGCTGTGTGTATTCAACTCACAGAGTGGAACGTCCCTTTACACAGAGCAGATTTGAAACACTCTTTTTGTGGAGTTTGCAAGTGGAGATTTCAAGCGATTTGATGCCAACAGTAGAAAAGGAAATATCTTCAAATAAAAACTAGACAGAATCATTCTCAGAAACTACTTTGTGATGTGTGCCTTCAACTCACAGAGTTTAACCTTTCTTTTCATAGAGCAGTTTAGAAACACTCTGCTTGTTATGTCTGCAAGTGGATATTTTTACCTCTTTGAGGCCTTCGTTGCAAACGGGGTTTCTTCCTTTCATGCTAGACTAAGAAGAGTTCTCAGTAACTTTTTTGTGTTGTGTGTATTCAACTCACAGAGTTGAACCTTGCTTTAGAGAGAGCAGATTTGAAACACTCTTGCTGTGGCATTTTCAGGTGGAGATTTCAAGCGATTTGAGGACAATTGCAGAAAAGGAAATATCTTCGTATAATAACCAGACAGAATAATTCTCAGAAAGTGCTTTGTGATGTGTGCGTTCAACTCACAGAGTTTAACCTTTCTTTTCATAGAGGAGTTTGGAAACACACTGTTTGTAAAGTCTGCAATTGGATATATGGACCTGTTTAAGGCCTTCGTTGGAAACGGGATTTCTTCATTGAATGCTAGACGGAAGAATTCTCAGTAAATTCTTTGTGTTGTGTGCATTCAACTCACAGAGTGGAACGTCCCTTTAGACAGAGCAGATTTGAAACACTCTTTTTGCGGAATTTGCAAGTGGAGATTTCTAGCCATTTGATGCCAACAGTAGAAAGGGAAATATCTTCAAATAAAAACCAGACAGAATCATTCTCAGAAAATACTTTGTGATGTGTGCGTTCAACTCACATAGTTTAACCTTTCTTTTCATAGAGCAGTTTGGAAACACTCTGTTTGTAAAGTCTGCAAGTGGATATATGGACCGCATTGAGGCCTTCGTTGGAAACGGGATTTCTTCATTTCATGCTAGACAGAAGAACTCTCAGCAACTTCTTTGTGCTGTGTGTATTCAACTCACAGAGTGGAACGTCCCTTTACACAGAGCAGATTTGAAACACTCTTTTTGTGGAGTTTGCAAGTGAAGATTTCAAGCGATTTGATGCCAACAGTAGAAAAGGAAATATCTTCAAATACAAACTAGACAGAATCATTCTCAGAAACTACTTTGTGATGTGTGCCTTCAACTCACAGAGTTTAACCTTTCTTTTCTTAGAGCAGTTTAGAAACACTCTGCTTGTTATGTCTGCAAGTGGATATTTGGACCTCTTTGAGGCCTTCGTTGCAAACGGGGTTTCTTCTTTCATGCTAGACTAAGAAGAGTTCTCAGTAACTTTTTTGTGTTGTGTGTATTCAACTCACAGAGTTGAACCTTGCTTTAGAGAGAGCAGATTTGAAACACTCTTGCTGTGACATTTTCAGGTGGAGATTTCAAGCGATTTGAGGACAATTGCAGAAAAGGAAATATCTTCGTATAATAACCAGAAAGAATCATTCTCAGAAAGTGCTTTGTGATGTGTGCGTTCCACTCACAGAGTTTAACCTTTCTTTTCATAGAGGAGTTTGGAAACACACTGTTTGTAAACTCTGCAAGTGGATATATGGACCTGTTTGAGGCCTTCGTTGGAAACGGGATTTCTTCATTGAATGCTAGACGGAAGAATTCTCAGTAAATTCTTTGTGTTGTGTGCATTCAACTCACAGAGTGAAACGTCCCTTTAGACAGAGCAGATTTGAAACACTCTTTTTGCGGAATTTGCAAGTGGAGATTTCTAGCCATTTGATGCCAACAGTAGAAAGGGAAACATCTTCAAATAAAAACCAGACAGAATCATTCTCAGAAAATTCTTTGTGATGTGTGCGTTCAACTCACATAGTTTAACCTTTCTTTTCATAGAGCAGTTTGGAAACACTCTGTTTGTAAAGTCTGCAAGTGGATATATGGACCGCATTGAGGCCTTCGTTGGAAACGGGATTTCTTCATTTCATGCTAGACAGAAGAATTCTCAGTAACTTCTTTGTGCTGTGTGTATTCAACTCACAGAGTGGAACGTCCCTTTGCACAGAGCAGATTTGAAACACTCTTTTTGTGGAGTTTGCAAGTGGAGATTTCAAGCGATTTGATGCCAACAGTAGAAAAGGAAGTATCTTCAAATAAAAACTAGACAGAATCATTCTCAGAAACTACTTTGTGATGTGTGCCTTCAACTCACAGAGTTTAACCTTTCTTTTCTTAGAGCAGTTTAGAAACACTCTGCTTGTTATGTCTGCAAGTGGATATTTGGACCTCTTTGAGGCCTTCGTTGCAAACGGGGTTTCTTCCTTTAATGCTAGACTAAGAAGAGTTCTCAGTAACATTTTTGTGTTGTGTGTATTCAACTCACAGAGTTGAACCTTGCTTTAGAGAGAGCAGATTTGAAACACTCTTGCTGTGGCATTTTCAGGTGGAGATTTCAAGCGATTTGAGGACAATTGCAGAAAAGGAAATATCTTCGTATAACAACCAGACAGAATCATTCTCAGAAAGTGCTTTGTGATGTGTGCGTTCAACTCACAGAGTTTAACCTTTCTTTTCATAGAGGAGTTTGGAAACACACTGTTTGTAAAGTCTGCAATTGGATATATGGACCTGTTTGAGGCCTTCGTTGGAAACGGGATTTCTTTCATTGAATGCTAGACGGAAGAATTCTCAGTAAATTCTTTGTGTTGTGTGCATTCAACTCACAGAGTGGAACCGTCCCTTTAGACAGAGCAGATTTGAAACACTCTTTTTGCGGAATTTGCAAGTGGAGATTTCTAGCCATTTGATGCCAACAGTTGAAAGGGAAATATCTTCAAATAAAAACCAGACAGAATCATTCTCAGAAAATTCTTTGTGATGTGTGCGTTCAACTCACATAGTTTAACCTTTCTTTTCATAGAGCAGTTTGGAAACACTCTGTTTGTAAAGTCTGCAAGTGGATATATGGACCGCATTGAGGCCTTCGTTGGAAACGGGATTTCTTCATTTCATGCTAGACAGAAGAATTCTCAGTAACTTCTTTGTGCTGTGTGTATTCAACTCACAGAGTGGAACGTCCCTTTGCACAGAGCAGATTTGAAACACTCTTTTTGTGGAGTTTGCAATTGGAGATTTCAAGCGATTTGATGCCAACAGTAGAAAAGGAAATATCTTCAAATAAAAACTAGACAGGAATCATTCTCAGAAACTACTTTGTGATGTGTGCCTTCAACTCACAGAGTTTAACCTTTCTTTTCTTAGAGCAGTTTAGAAACACTCTGCTTGTTATGTCTGCAAGTGGATATTTGGACCTCTTTGAGGCCTTCGTTGCAAACGGGGTTTCTTCCTTTCATGCTAGACTAAGAAGAGTTCTCAGTAACTTTTCTGTGTTGTGTGTATTCAACTCACAGAGTTGAACCTTGCTTTAGAGAGAGCAGATTTGAAACACTCTTGCTGTGGCATTTTCAGGTGGAGATTTCAAGCGATTTGAGGACAATTGCAGAAAAGGAAATATCTTCGTATAACAACCAGACAGAATCATTCTCAGAAAGTGCTTTGTGATGTGTGCGTTCCACTCACAGAGTTTAACCTTTCTTTTCATAGAGGAGTTTGGAAACACACTGTGTGTAAAGTCTGCAAGTGGATATATGGACCTGTTTGAGGCCTTCGTTGGAAACGGGATTTCTTCATTGAATGCTAGACGGAAGAATTCTCAGTAAATTCTTTGTGTTGTGTGCATTCAACTCACAGAGTGGAACGTCCCTTTAGACAGAGCAGATTTGAAACACTCTTTTTGCGGAATTTGCAAGTGGAGATTTCTAGCCATTTGATGCCAACAGTAGAAAGGGAAATATCTTCAAATAAAAACCAGACAGAATCATTCTCAGAAAATTCTTTGTGATGTGTGCGTTCAACTCACATAGTTTAACCTTTCTTTTCATAGAGCAGTTTGGAAACACTCTGTTTGTAAAGTCTGCAAGTGGATATATGGACCGCATTGAGGCCTTCGTTGGAAACGGGATTTCTTCATTTCATGCTAGACAGAAGAACTCTCAGCAACTTCTTTGTGCTTTGTGTATTCAACTCACAGAGTGGAACGTCCCTTTACACAGAGCAGATTTGAAACACTCTTTTTGTGGAGTTTGCAAGTGAAGATTTCAAGCGATTTGATGCCAACAGTAGAAAAGGAAATATCTTCAAATAAAAACTAGACAGAATCATTCTCAGAAACTACTTTGTGATGTGTGCCTTCAACTCACAGAGTTCAACCTTTCTTTTCTTAGAGCAGTTTAGAAACACTCTGCTTGTTATGTCTGCAAGTGGATATTTGGACCTCTTTGAGGCCTTCGTTGCAAACGGGGTTTCTTCCTTTCATGCTAGACTAAGAAGAGTTCTCAGTAACTTTTTTGTGTTGTGTGTATTCAACTCACAGAGTTGAACCTTGCTTTAGAGAGAGCAGATTTGAAACACTCTTGCTGTGGAATTTTCAGGTGGAGATTTCAAGCGATTTGAGGACAATTGCAGAAAAGGAAATATCTTCGTATAATAACCAGACAGAATCATTCTCAGAAAGTGCTTAGTGATGTGTGCGTTCAACTCACAGAGTTTAACCTTTCTTTTCATAGAGGAGCTTGGAAACACACTGTTTGTAAAGTCTGCAATTGGATATATGGACCTGTTTGAGGCTTCCGTTGGAAACGGGATTTCTTCATTGAATGCTAGACGGAAGAATTCTCAGTAAATTCTTTGTGTTGTGTGCATTCAACTCACAGAGTGGAACGTCCCTTTAGACAGAGCAGATTTGAAACACTCTTTTGCGGAATTTGCAAGTGGAGATTTCTAGCCATTTGATGCCAACAGTAGAAAGGGAAATATCTTCAAATAAAAACCAGACAGAATCATTCTCAGAAAATTCTTTGTGATGTGTGCGTTCAACTCACATAGTTTAACCTTTCTTTTCATAGAACAGTTTGGAAACACTCTGTTTGTAAAGTCTGCAAGTGGATATATGGACCGCATTGAGGCCTTCGTTGGAAACGAGATTTCTTCATTTCATGCTAGACAGAAGAATTCTCAGTAACTTCTTTGTGCTGTGTGTATTCAACTCACAGAGTGGAACGTCCCTTTACACAGAGCAGATTTGAAACACTCTTTTTGTTGAATTTGCAAGTGGAGATTTCAAGCGATTTGATGCCAACAGTAGAAAAGGAAATATCTTCAAATAAAAACTAGACAGAATCATTCTCAGAAACTACTTTGTGATGTGTGCCTTCAACTCACAGAGTTTAACCTTTCTTTTCTTAGAGCAGTTTAGAAACACTCTGCTTGTTATGTCTGCAAGTGGATATTTGGACCTCTTTGAGGCCTTCGTTGCAAACGGGGTTTCTTCCTTTCATGCTAGACTAAGAAGAGTTCTCAGTAACTTTTTTGTGTTGTGTGCATTCAACTCACAGAGTGGAACGTCCCTTTAGACAGAGCAGATTTGAAACACTCTTTTTGCGGAAGTTGCAGGTGGAGATTTCTAGCCATTTGTTGCCAACAGTACAAAGGGAAATATCTTCAAATAAAAACTAGACAGAATCATTCTCAGAAAATTCTTTGTGATGTGTGCGTTCAACTCACATAGTTTAACCTTTCTTTTCATAGAGCAGTTTGGAAACACTCTGTTTGTAAAGTCTGCAAGTGGATATATGGACCGCATTGAGGCCTTCGTTGGAAACGGGATTTCTTCATTTCATGCTAGACAGAAGAATTCTCAGTAACTTCTTTGTGCTGTGTGTATTCAACTCACAGAGTGGAACGTCCCTTTGCACAGAGCAGATTTGAAACACTCTTTTTGTGGAGTTTGCAAGTGGAGATTTCAAGCGATTTGATGCCAACAGTAGAAAAGGAAGTATCTTCAAATAAAAACTAGACAGAATCATTCTCAGAAACTACTTTGTGATGTGTGCCTTCAACTCACAGAGTTTAACCTTTCTTTTCTTAGAGCAGCTTAGAAACACTCTGCTTGTTATGTCTGCAAGTGGATATTTGGACCTCTTTGAGGCCTTCGTTGCAAACGGGGTTTCTTCCTTTAATGCTAGACTAAGAAGAGTTCTCAGTAACTTTTTTGTGTTGTGTGTATTCAACTCACAGAGTTGAACCTTGCTTTAGAGAGAGCAGATTTGAAACACTCTTGCTGTGGCATTTTCAGGTGGAGATTTCAAGCGATTTGAGGACAATTGCAGAAAAGGAAATATCTTCGTATAATAACCAGACAGAATCATTCTCAGAAAGTGCTTTGTGATGTGTGCGTTCAACTCACAGAGTTTAACCTTTCTTTTCATAGAGGAGTTTGGAAACACACTGTTTGTAAAGTCTGCAATTGGATATATGGACCTGTTTGAGGCCTTCGTTGGAAACGGGATTTCTTCATTGAATGCTAGACGGAAGAATTCTCAGTAAATTCTTTGTGTGGTGTGCATTCAACTCACAGAGTGGAACGTCCCTTTAGACAGAGCAGATTTGAAACACTCTTTTTGCGGAATTTGCAAGTGGAGATTTCTAGCCATTTGATGCCAACAGTAGAAAGGGAAATATCTTCAAATAAAAACCAGACAGAATCATTCTCAGAAAATTCTTTGTGATGTGTGCGTTCAACTCACATAGTTTAACCTTTCTTTTCATAGAGCAGTTTGGAAACACTCTGTTTGTAAAGTCTGCAAGTGGATATATGGACCGCATTGAGGCCTTCGTTGGAAACGGGATTTCTTCATTTCATGCTAGACAGAAGAATTCTCAGTAACTCCTTTGTGCTGTGTGTATTCAACTCACAGAGTGGAACGTCCCTTTGCACAGAGCAGATTTGAAACACTCTTTTTGTGGAATTTGCAAGTGGAGATTTCAAGCGATTTGATGCCAACAGTAGAAAAGGAAATATCTTCAAATAAAAACTAGACAGAATCATTCTCAGAAACTACTTTGTGATGTGTGCCTTCAACTCACAGAGTTTAACCTTTCTTTTCTTAGAGCAGTTTAGAAACACTCTGCTTGTTATGTCTGCAAGTGGATATTTGGACCTCTTTGAGGCCTTCGTTGCAAACGGGGTTTCTTCCTTTCATGCTAGACTAAGAAGAGTTCTCAGTAACTTTTTTGTGTTGTGTGTATTCAACTCACAGAGTTGAACCTTGCTTTAGAGAGAGCAGATTTGAAACACTCTTGCTGTGGCATTTTCAGGTGGAGATTTCAAGCGATTTGAGGACAATTGCAGAAAAGGAAATATCTTCGTATAATAACCAGACAAAATCATTCTCAGAAAGTGCTTTGTGATGTGTGCGTTCAACTCACAGAGTTTAACCTTTCTTTTCATAGAGGAGTTTGGAAACACACTGTTTGTAAAGTCTGCAATTGGATATATGGACCTGTTTGAGGCCTTACGTTGGAAACGGGATTTCTTCATTGAATGCTAGACGGAAGAATTCTCAGTAAATTCTTTGTGTTGTGTGCATTCAACTGACAGAGTGGAACGTCCCTTTAGACAGAGCAGATTTGAAACACTCTTTTTGCGGAATTTGCAAGTGGAGATTTCTAGCCATTTGATGCCAACAGTAGAAAGGGAAATATCTTCAAATAAAAACCAGACAGAATCATTCTCAGAAAATTCTTTGTGATGTGTGCGTTCAACTCACATAGTTTAACCTTTCTTTTCATAGAGCAGTTTGGAAACACTCTGTTTGTAAAGTCTGCAAGTGGCTATATGGACCGCATTGAGGCCTTCGTTGGAAACGGGATTTCTTCATTTCATGCTAGACAGAAGAATTCTCAGTAACTTCTTTGTGCTGTGTGTATTCAACTCACAGAGTGGAACGTCCCTTTGCACAGAGCAGATTTGAAACACTCTTTTTGTGGAATTTGCAAGTGGAGATTTCAAGCGATTTGATGCCAACAGTAGAAAAGGAAATATCTTCAAATAAAAACTAGACAGAATCATTCTCAGAAACTACTTTGTGATGTGTGCGTTCAACTCACAGAGTTTAACCTTTCTTTTCTTAGAGCAGTTTAGAAACACTCTGCTTGTTATGTCTGCAAGTGGATATTTGGACCTCTTTGAGGCCTTCGTTGCAAACGGGCTTTCTTCCTTTAATGCTAGACTAAGAAGAGTTCTCAGTAACTTTTTTGTGTTGTGTGTATTCAACTCACAGAGTTGAACCTTGCTTTAGAGAGAGCAGATTTGAAACACTCTTGCTGTGGCATTTTCAGGTGGAGATTTCAAGCGATTTGAGGACAATTGCAGAAAAGGAAATATCTTCGTATAATAACCAGACAGAATCATTCTCAGAAAGTGCTTTGTGATGTGTGCGTTCAACTCACAGAGTTTAACCTTTCTTTTCATAGAGGAGTTTGGAAACACACTGTTTGTAAAGTCTGCAAGTGGATATATGGACCTCTTTGAGGCCTTCGTTGGAAACGGGATTTCTTCATTGAATGCTAGACCGAAGAATTCTCAGTAAATTCTTTGTGTTGTGTGCATTCAACTCACAGAGTGGAACGTCCCTTTAGACAGAGCAGATTTGAAACACTCTTTTTGCGGAATTTGCAAGTGGAGATTTCTAGCCATTTGATGCCAACAGTAGAAAGGGAAACATCTTCAAATAAAAACCAGACAGAATCATTCTCAGAAAATTCTTTGTGATGTGTGCGTTCAACTCACATAGTTTAACCTTTCTTTTCATAGAGCAGTTTGGAAACACTCTGTTTGTAAAGTCTGCAAGTGGATATATGGACCGCATTGAGGCCTTCGTTGGAAACGGGATTTCTTCATTTCATGCTAGACAGAAGAATTCTCAGTAACTTCTTTGTGCTGTGTGTACTCAACTCACAGAGTGGAACGTCCCTTTGCACAGAGCAGATTTGAAACACTCTTTTCGTGGAGTTTGCAAGTGGAGATTTCAAGCGATTTGATGCCAACAGTAGAAAAGGAAATATCTTCAAATAAAAACTAGACAGAATCATTCTCAGAAACTACTTTGTGATGTCTGCCTTCAACTCACAGAGTTTAACCTTTCTTTTCTTTGAGCAGTTTAGAAACACTCTGCTTGTTATGTCTGCAAGTGGATATTTGGACCTCTTTGAGGCCTTCGTTGCAAACGGGGTTTCTTCCTTTCATGCTAGACTAAGAAGAGTTCTCAGTAACTTCTTTGTGTTGTGTGTATTCAACTCACAGTGTTGAACCTTGCTTTAGAGAGAGCAGATTTGAAACACTCTTGCTGTGGCATTTTCAGGTGGAGATTTCAAGCGATTTGAGGACAATTGCAGAAAAGGAAATATCTTCGTATAAAAACCAGACAGAATCATTCTCAGAAAGTGCTTTGTGATGTGTGCGTTCCACTCACAGAGTTTAACCTTTCTTTTCATAGAGGAGTTTGGAAACACACTGTTTGTAAAGTCTGCAAGTGGATATATGGACCTGTTTGAGGCCTTCGTTGGAAACGGGATTTCTTCATTGAATGCTAGACGGAAGAATTCTCAGTAAATTCTTTGTGTTGTGTGCATTCAACTCACAGAGTGGAACGTCCCTTTAGACAGAGCAGATTTGAAACACTCTTTTTGCGGAATTTGCAAGTGGAGATTTCTAGCCATTTGATGCCAACAGTAGAAAGGGAAATATCTTCAAATAAAAACCAGACAGAATCATTCTCAGAAAATTCTTTGTGATGTGTGCATTCAACTCACATAGTTTAACCTTTCTTTTCTTAGAGCAGTTTAGAAACACTCTGCTTGTTATGTCTGCAAGTGGATATTTGGACCTCTTTGAGGCCTTCGTTGCAAACGGGGTTTCTTCCTTTCATGCTAGACTAAGAAGAGTTCTCAGTAACTTTTTTGTGTTGTGTGTATTCAACTCACAGAGTTGAACCTTGCTTTAGAGAGAGCAGATTTGAAACACTCTTGCTGTGGCATTTTCAGGTGGAGATTTCAAGCGATTTGAGGACAATTGCAGAAAAGGAAATATCTTCGTATAATAACCAGACAGAATCATTCTCAGAAAGTGCTTTGTGATGTGTGCGTTCAACTCACAGAGTTTAACCTTTCTTTCCATAGAGGAGTTTGGAAAAACACTGTTTGTAAAGTCTGCAATTGGATATATGGACCTGTTTGAGGCCTTCGTTGGAAACGGGATTTCTTCATTGAATGTTAGACGGAAGAATTCTCAGTAAATTCTTTGTGTTGTGTGCATTCAACTGACAGAGTGGAACGTCCCTTTAGACAGAGCAGATTTGAAACACTCTTTTTGCGGAATTTGCAAGTGGAGATTTCTAGCCATTTGATGCCAACAGTAGAAAGGGAAACATCTTCAAATAAAAACCAGACAGAATCATTCTCAGAAAATTCTTTGTGATGTGTGCGTTCAAATCACATAGTTTAACCTTTCTTTTCATAGACCAGTTTGGAAACACTCTGTTTGTAAAGTCTGCAAGTGGATATATGGACCGCATTGAGGCCTTCGTTGGAAACGGGATTTCTCCATTTCATGCTAGACAGAAGAATTCTCAGTAACTTCTTTGTGCTGTGTGTATTCAACTCACAGAGTGGAACGTCCCTTTGCACAGAGCAGATTTGAAACACTCTTTTTGTGGAGTTTGCAAGTGGAGATTTCAAGCGATTTGATGCCAACAGTAGAAAAGGAAATATCTTCAAATAAAAACTAGACAGAATCATTCTCAGAAACTACTTTGTGATGTGTGCCTTCAACTCACAGAGTTTAACCTTTCTTTTCTTAGAGCAGTTTAGAAACACTCTGCTTGTTATGTCTGCAAGTGGATATTTGGACCTCTTTGAGGCCTTCGTTGCAAACGGGGTTTCTTCCTTTCATGCTAGACTAAGAAGAGTTCTCAGTAACTTTTTTGTGTTGTGTGTATTCAACTCACAGAGTTGAACCTTGCTTTAGAGAGAGCAGATTTGAAACACTCTTGCTGTGGCATTTTCAGGTGGAGATTTCAAGCGATTTGAGGACAATTGCAGAAAAGGAAATATCTTTGTATAACAACCAGACAGAATCATTCTCAGAAAGTGCTTTGTGATGTGTGCGTTCAACTCACAGAGTTTAACCTTTCTTTTCATAGAGGAGTTTGGAAACACACTGTTTGTAAAGTCTGCAATTGGATATATGGACCTGTTTGAGGCCTTCGTTGGAAACGGGATTTCTTCATTGCATGCTAGACGGAAGAATTCTCAGTAAATTCTTTGTGTTGTGTGCATTCAACTGACAGAGTGGAACGTCCCTTAAGACAGAGCAGATTTGAAACACTCTTTTTGCGGAATTTGCAAGTGGAGATTTCTAGCCATTTGATGCCAACAGTAGAAAGGGAAATATCTTCAAATAAAAACCAGACAGAATCATTCTCAGAAAATTCTTTGTGATGTGTGCGTTCAACTCACATAGTTTAACCTTTCTTTTCATAGAGCAGTTTGGAAACACTCTGTTTGTAAAGTCTGCAAGTGGATATATGGACCGCATTGAGGCCTTCGTTGGAAACGAGATTTCTTCATTTCATGCTAGACAGAAGAATTCTCAGTAACTTCTTTGTGCTGTGTGTATTCAACTCACAGAGTGGAACGTCCCTTTACACAGAGCAGATTTGAAACACTCTTTTTGTGGAGTTTGCAAGTGGAGATTTCAAGCGATTTGATGCCAACAGTAGAAAAGGAAATATCTTCAAATAAAAACTAGACAGAATCATTCTCAGAAACTACTTTGTGATGTGTGCCTTCAACTCACAGAGTTTAACCTTTCTTTTCTTAGAGCAGTTTAGAAACACTCTGCTTGTTATGTCTGCAAGTGGATATTTGGACCTCTTTGAGGCCTTCGTTGCAAACGGGGTTTCTTCCTTTCATGCTAGACTAAAAAGAGTTCTCAGTAACATTTTTGTGTTGTGTGTATTCAACTCACAGAGTTGAACCTTGCTTTAGAGAGAGCAGATTTGAAACACTCTTGCTGTGGCATTTTCAGGTGGAGATTTCAAGCGATTTGAGGACAATTGCAGAAAAGGAAATATCTTCGTATAACAACCAGACAGAATCATTCTCAGAAAGTGCTTTGTGATGTGTGCGTTCAACTCACAGAGTTTAACCTTTCTTTTCATAGAGGAGTTTGGAAACACACTGTTTGTAAAGTCTGCAATTGGATATATGGACCTGTTTGAGGCCTTCGTTGGAAACGGGATTTCTTCATTGAATGCTAGACGGAAGAATTCTCAGTAAATTCTTTGTGTTGTGTGCATTCAACTCACAGAGTGGAACGTCCCTTTAGACAGAGCAGATTTGAAACACTCTTTTTGCGGAATTTGCAAGTGGAGATTTCTAGCCATTTGATGCCAACAGTAGAAAGGGAAATATCTTCAAATAAAAACCAGACAGAATCATTCTCAGAAAATTCTTTGTGATGTGTGCGTTCAACTCACATAGTTTTACCTTTCTTTTCATAGAGCAGTTTGGAAACACTCTGTTTGTAAAGTCTGCAAGTGGATATATGGACCGCATTGAGGCCTTCGTTGGAAACGGGATTTCTTCATTTCATGCTAGACAGAAGAATTCTCAGTAACTTCTTTGTGCTGTGTGTATTCAACTCACAGAGTGGAACGTCCCTTTACACAGAGCAGATTTGAAATACTCTTTTTGTGGAGTTTGCAAGTGGAGATTTCAAGCGATTTGATGCCAACAGTAGAAAAGGAAATATCTTCAAATAAAAACTAGACAGAATCATTCTCAGAAACTACTTTGTGATGTGTGCCTTCAACTCACAGAGTTTAACCTTTCTTTTCTTAGAGCAGTTTAGAAACACTCTGCTTGTTATGTCTGCAAGTGGATATTTGGACCTCTTTGAGGCCTTCGTTGCAAACGGGGTTTCTTCCTTTAATGCTAGACTAAGAAGAGTTCTCAGTAACTTTTTTGTGTTGTGTGTATTCAACTCACAGAGTTGAACCTTGCTTTAGAGAGAGCAGATTTGAAACACTCTTGCTGTGGCATTTTCAGGTGGAGATTTCAAGCGATTTGAGGACAATTGCAGAAAAGGAAATATCTTCGTATAATAACCAGACAGAATCATTCTCAGAAAGTGCTTTGTGATGTCTGCGTTCAACTCACAGAGTTTAACCTTTCTTTTCATAGAGGAGTTTGGAAACACACTGTTTGTAATGTCTGCAATTGGATATATGGACCTGTTTGAGGCCTTCGTTGGAAACGGGATTTCTTCATTGAATGCTAGACGGAAGGATTCTCAGTAAATTCTTTGTGTTGTGTGCATTCAACTCACAGAGTGGAACGTCCCTTTAGACAGAGCAGATTTGAAACACTCTTTTTGCGGAATTTGCAAGTGGAGATTTCTAGCCATTTGATGCCAACAGTAGAAAGGGAAATATCTTCAAATAAAAACCAGACAGAATCATTCTCAGAAAATTCTTTGTGATGTGTGCGTTCAACTCACATAGTTTAACCTTTCTTTTCATAGAGCAGTTTGGAAACACTCTGTTTGTAAAGTCTGCAAGTGGATATATGGACCGCATTGAGGCCTTCGTTGGAAACGGGATTTCTTCATTTCATGCTAGACAGAAGAATTCTCAGTAACTTCTTTGTGCTGTGTGTATTCAACTCACAGAGTGGAACGTCCCTTTGCACAGAGCAGATTTGAAACACTCTTTTTGTGGAATTTGCAAGTGGAGATTTCAAGCCATTTGTTGCCAACAGTAGAAAAGGAAATATCTTCAAATAAAAACTAGACAGAATCATTCTCAGAAACTACTTTGTGATGTGTGCCTTCAACTCACAGAGTTCAACCTTTCTTTTCTTAGAGCAGTTTAGAAACACTCTGCTTGTTATGTCTGCAAGTGGATATCTGGACCTCTTTGAGGCCTTCGTTGCAAACGGGGTTTCTTCCTTTCATGCTAGACTAAGAAGAGTTCTCAGTAACTTTTTTGTGTTGTGTGTATTCAACTCACAGAGTTGAACCTTGCTTTAGAGAGAGCAGATTTGAAACACTCTTGCTGTGGCATTTTCAGGTGGAGATTTCAAGCGATTTGAGGACAATTGCAGAAAAAGAAATATCTTCGTATAATAACCAGACAGAATCATTCTCAGAAAGTGCTTTGTGATGTGTGCGTTCAACTCACAGAGTTTAACCTTTCTTTTCATAGAGGAGTTTGGAAACACACTGTTTGTAAAGTCTGCAATTGGATATATGGACCTGTTTGAGGCCTTCTTTGGAAACGGGATTTCTTCATTGAATGCTAGACGGAAGAATTCTCAGTAAATTCTTTGTGTTTTGTGCATTCAACTCACAGAGTGGAACGTCCCTTTAGACAGAGCAGATTTGAAACACTCTTTTTGCGGAATTTGCAAGTGGAGATTTCTAGCCATTTGATGCCAACAGTAGAAAGGGAAATATCTTCAAATAAAAACCAGACAGAATCATTCTCAGAAAATTCTTTGTGATGTGTGCGTTCAACTCACATAGTTTAACCTTTCTTTTCATAGAGCAGTTTGGAAACACTCTGTTTGTAAAGTCTGCAAGTGGATATATGGACCGCATTGAGGCCTTCGTTGGAAACGGGATTTCTTCATTTCATGCTAGACAGAAGAATTCTCAGTAACTCCTTTGTGCTGTGTGTATTCAACTCACAGAGTGGAACGTCCCTTTGCACAGAGCAGATTTGAAACACTCTTTTTGTGGAATTTGCAAGTGGAAATTTCAAGCGATTTGATGCCAACAGTAGAAAAGGAAATATCTTCAAATAAAAACTAGACAGAATCATTCTCAGAAACTACTTTGTGATGTGTGCCTTCAACTCACAGAGTTTAACCTTTCTTTTCTTAGAGCAGTTTAGAAACACTCTGCTTGTTATGTCTGCAAGTGGATATTTGGACCTCTTTGAGGCCTTCGTTGCAAACGGGGTTTCTTCCTTTCATGCTAGACTAAGAAGAGTTCTCAGTAACTTTTTTTGTGTTGTGTGTATTCAACTCACAGAGTTGAACCTTGCTTTAGAGAGAGCAGATTTGAAACACTCTTGCTGTGGCATTTTCAGGTGGAGATTTCAAGCGATTTGAGGACAATTGCAGAAAAGGAAATATCTTCGTATAATAACCAGACAGAATCATTCTCAGAAAGTGCTTTGTGATGTGTGCGTTCAACTCACAGAGTTTAACCTTTCTTTTCATAGAGGAGTTTGGAAACACACTGTTTGTAAAGTCTGCAATTGGATATATGGACCTGTTTGAGGCCTTCGTTGGAAACGGGATTTCTTCATTGAATGCTAGACGGAAGAATTCTCAGTAAATTCTTTGTGTGGTGTGCATTCAACTCACAGAGTGGAACGTCCCTTTAGACAGAGCAGATTTGAAACACTCTTTTTGCGGAATTTGCAAGTGGAGATTTCTAGCCATTTGATGCCAACAGTAGAAAGGGAAATATCTTCAAATAAAAACCAGACAGAATCATTCTCAGAAAATTCTTTGTGATGTGTGCGTTCAACTCACATAGTTTAACCTTTCTTTTCATAGAGCAGTTTGGAAACACTCTGTTTGTAAAGTCTGCAAGTGGATATATGGACCGCATTGAGGCCTTCGTTGGAAACGGGATTTCTTCATTTCATGCTAGACAGAAGAATTCTCAGTAACTTCTTTGTGCTGTGTGTACTCAACTCACAGAGTGGAACGTCCCTTTGCACAGAGCAGATTTGAAACACTCTTTTTGTGGAGTTTGCAAGTGGAGATTTCAAGCGATTTGATGCCAACAGTAGAAAAGGAAATATCTTCAAATAAAAACTAGACAGAATCATTCTCAGAAACTACTTTGTGATGTCTGCCTTCAACTCACAGAGTTTAACCTTTCTTTTCTTAGAGCAGTTTAGAAACACTCTGCTTGTTATGTCTGCAAGTGGATATTTGGACCTCTTTGAGGCCTTCGTTGCAAACGGGGTTTCTTCCTTTCATGCTAGACTAAGAAGAGTTCTCAGTAACTTTTTTGTGTTGTGTGTATTCAACTCACAGAGTTGAACCTTGCTTTAGAGAGAGCAGATTTGAAACACTCTTGCTGTGGCATTTTCAGGTGGAGATTTCAAGCGATTTGAGGACAATTGCAGAAAAGGAAATATCTTCGTATAATAACCAGACAGAATCATTCTCAGAAAGTGCTTTGTGATGTGTGCGTTCCACTCACAGAGTTTAACCTTTCTTTTCATAGAGGAGTTTGGAAACACACTGTTTGTAAAGTCTGCAAGTGGATATATGGACCTGTTTGAGGCCTTCGTTGGAAACGGGATTTCTTCATTGAATGCTAGGCGGAAGAATTCTCAGTAAATTCTTTGTGTTGTGTGCATTCAACTCACAGAGTGGAACGTCCCTTTAGACAGAGCAGATTTGAAACACTCTTTTTGCGGAATTTGCAAGTGGAGATTTCTAGCCATTTGATGCCAACAGTAGAAAGGGAAATATCTTCAAATAAAAACCAGACAGAATCATTCTCAGAAAATTCTTTGTGATGTGTGCGTTCAACTCACATAGTTTAACCTTTCTTTTCATAGAGCAGTTTGGAAACACTGTGTTTTTAAAGTCTGCAAGTAGATATATGGACCGCTTTGAGGCCTTCGTTGGAAAAGGGATTTCTTCATTTCATGCTAGACAGAAGAATTCTCAAGTAACTTCTTTGTGCTGTGTGTATTCAACTCACAGAGTGGAACGTCCCTTTACACAGAGCAGATTTGAAACACTCTTTTTGTGGAATTTGCAAGTGGAGATTTCAAGCGATTTGATGCCAACAGTAGAAAAGGAAATATCTTCAAATAAAAACTAGACAGAATCATTCTCAGAAACTACTTTGTGATGTGTGCCTTCAACTCACAGAGTTTAACCTTTCTTTTCTTAGAGCAGTTTAGAAACACTCTGCTTGTTATGTCTGCAAGTGGATATTTGGACCTCTTTGAGGCCTTCGTTGCAAACGGGGTTTCTTCCTTTAATGCTAGACTAAGAAGAGTTCTCAGTAACTTTTTTGTGTTGTGTGTATTCAACTCACAGAGCTGAACCTTGCTTTAGAGAGAGCAGATTTGAAACACTCTTGCTGTGGCATTTTCAGGTGGAGATTTCAAGCGATTTGAGGACAATTTCAGAAAAGGAAATATCTTCGTATAACAACCAGACAGAATCATTCTCAGAAAGTGCTTTGTGATGTGTGCGTTCAACTCACAGAGTTTAACCTTTCTTTTCATAGAGGAGTTTGGAAACACACTGTTTGTAAAGTCTGCAATTGGATATATGGACCTGTTTGAGGCCTTCGTTGGAAACGGGATTTCTTCATTGAATGCTAGACGGAAGAATTCTCAGTAAATTCTTTGTGTGGTGTGCATTCAACTCACAGAGTGGAACGTCCCTTTAGACAGAGCAGATTTGAAACACTCTTTTTGCGGAATTTGCAAGTGGAGATTTCTAGCCATTTGATGCCAACAGTAGAAAGGGAAATATCTTCAAATAAAAACCAGACAGAATCATTCTCAGAAAATTCTTTGTGATGTGTGCGTTCAACTCACATAGTTTAACCTTTCTTTTCATAGAGCAGTTTGGAAACACTCTGTTTGTAAAGTCTGCAAGTGGATATATGGACCGCATTGAGGCCTTCGTTGGAAACGGGATTTCTTCATTTCATGCTAGACAGAAGAATTCTCAGTAACTTCTTTGTGCTGTGTGTATTCAACTCACAGAGTGGAACGTCCCTTTGCACAGAGCAGATTTGAAACACTCTTTTTGTGGAGTTTACAAGTGGAGATTTCAAGCGATTTGATACCAACAGTAGAAAAGGAAATATCTTCAAATAAAAACTAGACAGAATCATTCTCAGAAACTACTTTGTGATGTGTGCCTTCAACTCACAGAGTTTAACCTTTCTTTTCTTAGAGCAGTTTAGAAACACTCTGCTTGTTATGTCTGCAAGTGGATATTTGGACCTCTTTGAGGCCTTCGTTGCAAACGGGGTTTCTTCCTTTCATGCTAGACTAAGAAGAGTTCTCAGTAACTTTTTTGTGTTGTGTGTATTCAACTCACAGAGTTGAACCTTGCTTTAGAGAGAGCAGATTTGAAACACTCTTGCTGTGGCATTTTCAGGTGGAGATTTCAAGCGATTTGAGGACAATTGCAGAAAAGGAAATATCTTCGTATAATAACCAGACAGAATCATTCTCAGAAAGTGCTTTGTGATGTGTGCGTTCCACTCACAGAGTTTAACCTTTCTTTTCATAGAGGAGTTTGGAAACACACTGTTTGTAAAGTCTGCAAGTGGATATATGGACCTGTTTGAGGCCTTCGTTGGAAACGGGATTTCTTCATTGAATGCTAGACGGAAGAATTCTCAGTAAATTCTTTGTGTTGTGTGCATTCAACTCACAGAGTGGAACGTCCCTTTAGACAGAGCAGATTTGAAACACTCTTTTTGCGGAATTTGCAAGTGGAGATTTCTAGCCATTTGATGCCAACAGTAGAAAGGGAAATATCTTCAAATAAAAACCAGACAGAATCATTCTCAGAAAATTCTTTGTGATGTGTGCGTTCAACTCACATAGTTTAACCTTTCTTTTCATAGAGCAGTTTGGAAACACTCTGTTTGTAAAGTCTGCAAGTGGATATATGGACCGCATTGAGGCCTTCGTTGGAAACGGGATTTCTTCATTTCATGCTAGACAGAAGAATTCTCAGTAACTTCTTTGTGCTGTGTGTATTCAACTCACAGAGTGGAACGTCCCTTTACATAGAGCAGATTTGAAACACTCTTTTTGTGGAATTTGCAAGTGGAGATTTCAAGCGATTTGATGCCAACAGTAGAAAAGGAAATATCTTCAAATAAAAACTAGACAGAATCATTCTCAGAAACTACTTTGTGATGTGTGCCTTCAACTCACAGAGTTTAACCTTTCTTTTCTTAGAGCAGTTTAGAAACACTCTGCTTGTTATGTCTGCAAGTGGATATTTGGACCTCTTTGAGGCCTTCGTTGCAAACGGGGTTTCTTCCTTTCATGCTAGACTAAGAAGAGTTCTCAGTAACTTTTTTGTGTTGTGTGTATTCAACTCACAGAGTTGAACCTTGCTTTAGAGAGAGCAGATTTGAAACACTCTTGCTGTGGCATTTTCAGGTGGAGATTTCAAGCGATTTGAGGACAATTGCAGAAAAGGAAATATCTTCGTATAATAACCAGACAAAATCATTCTCAGAAAGTGCTTTGTGATGTGTGCGTTCCACTCACAGAGTTTAACCTTTCTTTTCATAGAGGAGTTTGGAAACACACTGTTTGTAAAGTCTGCAACTGGATATATGGACCTCTTTGAGGCCTTCGTTGGAAACGGGATTTCTTCATTGAATGTTAGACGGAAGAATTCTCAGTAAATTCTTTGTGTTGTGTGCATTCAACTCACAGAGTGGAACGTCCCTTTAGACAGAGCAGATTTGAAACACTCTTTTTGCGGAATTTGCAAGTGGAGATTTCTAGCCATTTGATGCCAACAGTAGAAAGGGAAATATCTTCAAATAAAAACCAGACAGAATCATTCTCAGAAAATTCTTTGTGATGTGTGCGTTCAACTCACATAGTTTAACCTTTCTTTTCATAGAGCAGTTTGGAAACACTCTGTTTGTAAAGTCTGCAAGTGGATATATGGACCTGTTTGAGGCCTTCGTTGGAAACGGGATTTCTTCATTGAATGCTAGGCGGAAGAATTCTCAGTAAATTCTTTGTGTTGTGTGCATTCAACTCACAGAGTGGAACGTCCCTTTAGACAGAGCAGATTTGAAACACTCTTTTTGCGGAATTTGCAAGTGGAGATTTCTAGCCATTTGATGCCAACAGTAGAAAGGGAAATATCTTCAAATAAAAACCAGACAGAATCATTCTCAGAAAATTCTTTGTGATGTGTGCGTTCAACTCACATAGTTTAACCTTTCTTTTCATAGAGCAGTTTGGAAACACTCTGTTTGTAAAGTCTGCAAGTGGATATATGGACCGCATTGAGGCCTTCGTTGGAAACGGGATTTCTTCATTTCTTGCTAGACAGAAGAATTCTCAGTAACTTCTTTGTGCTGTGTGTATTCAACTCACAGAGTGGAACGTCCCTTTGCACAGAGCAGATTTGAAACACTCTTTTTGTGGAGTTTGCAAGTGGAGATTTCAAGCGATTTGATGCCAACAGTAGAAAAGGAAATATCTTCAAATAAAAACTAGACAGAATCATTCTCAGAAACTACTTTGTGATGTGTGCCTTCAACTCACAGAGTTTAACCTTTTCTTTTCTTAGAGCAGTTTAGAAACACTCTGCTTGTTATGTCTGCAAGTGGATATTTGGACCTCTTTGAGGCCTTCGTTGCAAACGGGGTTTCTTCCTTTCATGCTAGACTAAGAAGAGTTCTCAGTAACTTTTTTGTGTTGTGTGTATTCAACTCACAGAGTTGAACCTTGCTTTAGAGAGAGCAGATTTGAAACACTCTTGCTGTGGCATTTTCAGGTGGAGATTTCAAGCGATTTGAGGACAATTGCAGAAAAGGAAATATCTTCGTATAATAACCAGACAGAATCATTCTCAGAAAGTGCTTTGTGATGTGTGCGTTCAACTCACAGAGTTTAACTTTTCTTTCCATAGAGGAGTTTGGAAACACACTGTTTGTAAAGTCTGCAAGTGGATATATGGACCTGTTTGAGGCCTTCGTTGGAAACGGGATTTCTTCATTGAATGCTAGACGGAAGAATTCTCAGTAAATTCTTTGTGTTGTGTGCATTCAACTCACAGAGTGGAACGTCCCTTTAGACAGAGCAGATTTGAAACACTCTTTTTGCGGAATTTGCAAGTGGAGATTTCTAGCCATTTGATGCCAACAGTAGAAAGGGAAATATCTTCAAATAAAAACCAGACAGAATCATTCTCATAAAATTCTTTGTGATGTGTGCATTCAAATCACATAGTTTAACCTTTCTTTTCATAGAGCAGTTTGGAAACACTCTGTTTGCAAAGTCTGCAAGTGGATATATGGACCGCATTGAGGCCTTCGTTGGAAACGGGATTTCTTTATTTCATGCTAGACAGAAGAATTCTCAGTAACTTCTTTGTGCTGTGTGTATTCAACTCACAGAGTGGAACGTCCCTTTACACAGAACAGATTTGAAACACTCTTTTTGTGGAATTTGCAAGTGGAGATTTCAAGCGATTTGATGCCAACAATAGAAAAGGAAATATCTTCAAATAAAAACTAGACAGAATCATTCTCAGAAACTACTTTCTGATGTGTGCCTTCAACTCACAGAGTTTAACCTTTCTTTTCTTAGAGCACTTTAGAAACACTCTGCTTGTTATGTCTGCAAGTGGATATTTGGACCTCTTTGAGGCCTTCGTTGCAAACGGGGTTTCTTCCTTTCATGCTAGACTAAGAAGAGTTCTCAGTAACTTTTTTGTGTTGTGTGTATTCAACTCACAGAGTTGAACCTTGCTTTAGAGAGAGCAGATTTGAAACACTCTTGCTGTGGCATTTTCAGGTGGAGATTTCAAGCGATTTGAGGACAATTGCAGAAAAGGAAATATCTTCGTATAACAACCAGACAGAATCATTCTCAGAAAGTGCTTTGTGATGTGTGCGTTCAACTCACAGAGTTTAACCTTTCTTTTCATAGAGGAGTTTGGAAACACACTGTTTGTAAAGTCTGCAATTGGATATATGGACCTGTTTGAGGCCTTCGTTGGAAACGGGATTTCTTCATTGAATGCTAGACGGAAGAATTCTCAGTAAATTCTTTGTGTTGTGTGCATTCAACTCACAGAGTGGAACGTCCCTTTAGACAGAGCAGATTTGAAACACTCTTTTTGCGGAATTTGCAAGTGGAGATTTCTAGCCATTTGATGCCAACAGTAGAAAGGGAAATATCTTCAAATAAAAACCAGACAGAATCATTCTCAGAAAATTCTTTGTGATGTGTGCGTTCAACTCACATAGTTTAACCTTTCTTTTCATAGAGCAGTTTGGAAACACTCTGTTTGTAAAGTCTGCAAGTGGATATATGGACCGCATTGAGGCCTTCGTTGGAAACGGGATTTCTTCATTTCATGCTAGACAGAAGAATTCTCAGTAACTTCTTTGTGCTGTGTGTATTCAACTCACAGAGTGGAACGTCCCTTTGCACAGAGCAGATTTGAAACACTCTTTTTGTGGAGTTTGCAAGTGGAGATTTCAAGCGATTTGATGCCAACAGTAGAAAAGGAAATATCTTCAAATAAAAACTAGACAGAATCATTCTCAGAAACTACTTTGTGATGTGTGCCTTCAACTCACAGAGTTTAACCTTTCTTTTCTTAGAGCAGTTTAGAAACACTCTCCTTGTTATGTCTGCAAGTGGATATTTGGACCTCTTTGAGGCCTTCGTTGCAAACGGGGTTTCTTCCTTTCACGCTAGACTAAGAAGAGTTCTCAGTAACTTTTTTGTGTTGTGTGTATTCAACTCACAGAGTTGAACCTTGCTTTAGAGAGAGCAGATTTGAAACACTCTTGCTGTGGCATTTTCAGGTGGAGATTTCAAGCGTTTTGAGGACAATTGCAGAAAAGGAAATATCTTCGTATAATAACCAGACAGAATCATTCTCAGAAAGTGCTTTGTGATGTGTGCGTTCAACTCACAGAGTTTAACCTTTCTTTTCATAGAGGAGTTTGGAAACACACTGTTTGTAAAGTCTGCAATTGGATATATGGACCTGTTTGAGGCCTTTGTTGGAAACGGGATTTCTTCATTGAATGCTAGACGGAAGAATTCTCAGTAAATTCTTTGTGTTGTGTGCATTCAACTCACAGAGTGGAACGTCCCTTTAGACAGAGCAGATTTGAAACACTCTTTTTGCGGAATTTGCAAGTGGAGATTTCTAGCCATTTGATGCCAACAGTAGAAAGGGAAATATCTTCAAATAAAAACCAGACAGAATCATTCTCAGAAAATTCTTTGTGATGTGTGCGTTCAACTCACATAGTTTAACCTTTCTTTTCATAGAACAGTTTGGAAACACTCTGTTTGTAAAGTCTGCAAGTGGATATATGGACCGCATTGAGGCCTTCGTTGGAAACGGGATTTCTTCATTTCATGCTAGACAGAAGAATTCTCAGTAACTTCTTTGTGCTGTGTGTATTCAACTCACAGAGTGGAACGTCCCTTTGCACAGAGCAGATTTGAAACACTCTTTTTGTGGAATTTGCAAGTGGAGATTTCAAGCGATTTGATGCCAACAGTAGAAAAGGAAATATCTTCAAATAAAAACTAGACAGAATCATTCTCAGAAACTACTTTGTGATGTGTGCCTTCAACTCACAGAGTTTAACCTTTCTTTTCTTAGAGCAGTTTAGAAACACTCTGCTTGTTATGTCTGCAAGTGGATATTTGGACCTCTTTGAGGCCTTCTTTGCAAACGGGGTTTCTTCCTTTCATGCTAGACTAAGAAGAGTTCTCAGTAACTTTTTTGTGTTGTGTGTATTCAACTCACAGAGTTGAACCTTGCTTTAGAGAGAGCAGATTTGAAACACTCTTGCTGTGGCATTTTCAGGTGGAGATTTCAAACGATTTGAGGACAATTGCAGAAAAGGAAATATCTTCGTATAATAACCAGACAGAATCATTCTCAGAAAGTGCTTTGTGATGTGTGCGTTCAACTCACAGAGTTTAACCTTTCTTTTCATAGAGGAGTTTGGAAACACACTGTTTGTAAAGTCTGCAATTGGATATATGGACCTGTTTGAGGCCTTCGTTGGAAACGGGATTTCTTCATTGAATGCTAGACGGAAGAATTCTCAGTAAATTCTTTGTGTTGTGTGCATTCAACTGACAGAGTGGAACGTCCCTTTAGACAGAGCAGATTTGAAACACTCTTTTTGCGGAATTTGCAAGTGGAGATTTCTAGCCATTTGATGCCAACAGTAGAAAGGGAAATATCTTCAAATAAAAACCAGACAGAATCATTCTCAGAAAATTCTTTGTGATGTGTGCGTTCAACTCACATAGTTTAACCTTTCTTTTCATAGAGCAGTTTGGAAACACTCTGTTTGTAAAGTCTGCAAGTGGATATATGGACCGCATTGAGGCCTTCGTTGGAAACGGGATTTCTTCATTTCATGCTAGACAGAAGAATACTCAGTAACTTCTTTGTGCTGTGTGTATTCAACTCACAGAGTGGAACGTCCCTTTACAGAGAGCAGATTTGAAACACTCTTTTTGTGGAGTTTGCAAGTGGAGATTTCAAGCGATTTGATGCCAACCGTAGAAAAGGAAATATCTTCAAATAAAAACTAGACAGAATCATTCTCAGAAACTACTTTGTGATGTGTGCCTTCAACTCACAGAGTTTAACCTTTCTTTTCTTAGAGCAGTTTAGAAACACTCTGCTTGTTATGTCTGCAAGTGGATATTTGGACCTCTTTGAGGCCTTCGTTGCAAACGGGGTTTCTTCCTTTAATGCTAGACTAAGAAGAGTTCTCAGTAACTTTTTTGTGTTGTGTGTATTCAACTCACAGAGTTGAACCTTGCTTTAGAGAGAGCAGATTTGAAACACTCTTGCTGTGACATTTTCAGGTGGAGATTTCAAGCGATTTGAGGACAATTGCAGAAAAGGAAATATCTTCGTATAATAACCAGAAAGAATCATTCTCAGAAAGTGCTTTGTGATGTGTGCGTTCAACTCACAGAGTTTAACCTTTCTTTTCATAGAGGAGTTTGGAAACACACTGTTTGTAAAGTCTGCAATTGGATATATGGACCTGTTTGAGGCCTTCTTTGGAAACGGGATTTCTTCATTGAATGCTAGACGGAAGAATTCTCAGTAAATTCTTTGTGTTGTGTGCATTCAACTCACAGAGTGGAACGTCCCTTTAGACAGAGCAGATTTGAAACACTCTTTTTGCGGAATTTGCAAGTGGAGATTTCTAGCCATTTGATGCCAAGAGTAGAAAGGGAAATATCTTCAAATAAAAACCAGACAGAATCATTCTCAGAAAATTCTTTGTGATGTGTGCGTTCAACTCACATAGTTTAACCTTTCTTTTCATAGAGCAGTTTGGAAACACTCTGTTTGTAAAGTCTGCAAGTGGATATATGGACCGCATTGAGGCCTTCGTTGGAAACGGGATTTCTTCATTTCATGCTAGACAGAAGAATTCTCAGTAACTTCTTTGTGCTGTGTGTATTCAACTCACAGAGTTGAACCTTGCTTTAGAGAGAGCAGATTTGAAACACTCTTGCTGTGGCATTTTCAGGTGGAGATTTCAAGCGATTTGAGGACAATTGCAGAAAAGGAAATATCTTCAAATAATAACCAGACAGAATCATTCTCAGAAAGTGCTTTGTGATGTGTGCGTTCAACTCACAGAGTTTAACCTTTCTTTTCATAGAGGAGTTTGGAAACACACTGTTTGTAAAGTCTGCAATTGGATATATGGACCTGTTTGAGGCCTTCGTTGGAAACGGGATTTCTTCATTGCATGCTAGACGGAAGAATTCTCAGTAAATACTTTGTGTTGTGCGCATTCAACTGACAGAGTGGAACGTCCCTTTAGACAGAGCAGATTTGAAACACTCTTTTTGCGGAATTTGCAAGTGGAGATTTCTAGCCATTTGATGCCAACAGTAGAAAGGGAAATATCTTCAAATAAAAACCAGACAGAATCATTCTCAGAAAATTCTTTGTGATGTGTGCGTTCAACTCACATAGTTTAACCTTTCTTTTCATAGAGCAGTTTGGAAACACTCTTTTTGTAAAGTCTGCAAGTGGATATATGGACCTGTTTGAGGCCTTCGTTGGAAACGGGATTTCTTCATTGAATGCTAGACGGAAGAATTCTCAGTAACTTCTTTGTGCTGTGTGTATTCAACTCACAGAGTGGAACGTCCCTTTGCACAGAGCAGATTTGAAACACTCTTTTTGTGGAATTTGCAAGTGGAGATTTCAAGCGATTTGATGCCAACAGTAGAAAAGGAAATATCTTCAAATAAAAACTAGACAGAATCATTCTCAGAAACTACTTTGTGATGTGTGCCTTCAACTCACAGAGTTTAACCTTTCTTTTCTTAGAGCACTTTAGAAACACTCTGCTTGTTATGTCTGCAAGTGGATATTTGGACCTCTTTGAGGCCTTCGTTGCAAACGGGGTTTCTTCCTTTCATGCTAGACTAAGAAGAGTTCTCAGTAACTTTTTTGTGTTGTGTGTATTCAACTCACAGAGTTGAACCTTGCTTTAGAGAGAGCAGATTTGAAACACTCTTGCTGTGGCATTTTCAGGTGGAGATTTCAAGCGTTTTGAGGACAATTGCAGAAAAGGAAATATCTTCGTATAATAACCAGACAGAATCATTCTCAGAAAGTGCTTTGTGATGTGTGCGTTCAACTCACAGAGTTTAACCTTTCTTTTCATAGAGGAGTTTGGAAACACACTGTTTGTAAAGTCTGCAATTGGATATATGGACCTGTTTGAGGCCTTCGTTGGAAACGGGATTTCTTCATTGAATGCTAGACGGAAGAATTCTCAGTAAATTCTTTGTGTTGTGTGCATTCAACTCACAGAGTGGAACGTCCCTTTAGACAGAGCAGATTTGAAACACTCTTTTTGTGGAATTTGCAAGTGGAGATTTCTAGCCATTTGATGCCAACAGTAGAAAGGGAAATATCTTCAAATAAAAACCAGACAGAATCATTCTCAGAAAATTCTTTGTGATGTGTGCGTTCAACTCACATAGTTTAACCTTTCTTTTCATAGAGCAGTTTGGAAACACTCTGTTTGTAAAGTCTGCAAGTGGATATATGGACCGCATTGAGGCCTTCGTTGGAAACGGGATTTCTTCATTTCATGCTAGACAGAAGAATTCTCAGTAACTTCCTTGGGCTGTGTGTATTCAACTCACAGAGTGGAACGTCCCTTTGCACAGAGCAGATTTGAAACACTCTTTTTTGTGGAATTTGCAAGTGGAGATTTCAAGCGATTTGATGCCAACAGTAGAAAAGGAAATATCTTCAAATAAAAACTAGACAGAATCATTCTCAGAAACTACTTTGTGATGTGTGCCTTCAACTCACAGAGTTTAACCTTTCTTTTCTTAGAGCAGTTTAGAAACACTCTGCTTGTTATGTCTGCAAGTGGATATTTGGACCTCTTTGAGGCCTTCGTTGCAAACGGGGTTTCTTCCTTTCATGCTAGACTAAGAAGAGTTCTCAGTAACTTTTTTGTGTTGTGTGTATTCAACTCACAGAGTTGAACCTTGCTTTAGAGAGAGCAGATTTGAAACACTCTTGCTGTGGCATTTTCAGGTGGAGATTTCAAGCGATTTGAGGACAATTGCAGAAAAGGAAATATCTTCCGTATAATAACCAGACAGAATCATTCTCAGAAAGTGCTTTGTGATGTGTGCGTTCAACTCACAGAGTTTAACCTTTCTTTTCATAGAGGAGTTTGGAAACACACTGTTAGTAAAGTCTGCAGGTGGATATATGGACCTGTTTGAGGCCTTCGTTGGAAACGGGATTTCTTCATTGAATGCTAGACGGAAGAATTCTCAGTAAATTCTTTGTGTTGTGTGCATTCAACTCACAGAGTGGAACGTCCCTTTAGACAGAGCAGATTTGAAACACTCTTTTTGCGGAATTTGCAAGTGGAGATTTCTAGCCATTTGATGCCAACAGTAGAAAGGGAAATATCTTCAAATAAAAACCAGACAGAATCATTCTCAGAAAATTCTTTGTGATGTGTGCATTCAACTCACATAGTTTAACCTTTCTTTTCTTAGAGCAGTTTAGAAACACTCTGCTTGTTATGTCTGCAAGTGGATATTTGGACCTCTTTGAGGCCTTCGTTGCAAACGGGGTTTCTTCCTTTCATGCTAGACTAAGAAGAGTTCTCAGTAACTTTTTTGTGTTGTGTGTATTCAACTCACAGAGTTGAACCTTGCTTTAGAGAGAGCAGATTTGAAACACTCTTGCTGTGGCATTTTCAGGTGGAGATTTCAAGCGATTTGAGGACAATTGCAGAAAAGGAAATATCTTCCTATAATAACCAGACAGAATCATTCTCAGAAAGTGCTTTGTGATGTGTGCGTTCAACTCACAGAGTTTAACCTTTCTTTTCATAGAGGAGTTTGGAAACACACTGTTTGTAAAGTCTGCAATTGGATATATGGACCTGTTTGAGGCCTTCGTTGGAAACGGGATTTCTTCATTGAATGCTAGACGGAAGAATTCTCAGTAAATTCTTTGTGTTGTGTGCATTCAACTCACAGAGTGGAACGTCCCTTTAGACAGAGCAGATTTGAAACACTCTTTTTGCGGAATTTGCAAGTGGAGATTTCTAGCCATTTGATGCCAACAGTAGAAAGGGAAATATCTTCAAATAAAAACCAGACAGAATCATTCTCAGAAAATTCTTTGTGATGTGTGCGTTCAACTCACATAGTTTAACCTTTCTTTTCATAGAGCAGTTTGGAAACACTCTGTTTGTAAAGTCTGCAAGTGGATATATGGACCGCATTGAGGCCTTCGTTGGAAACGGGATTTCTTCATTTCATGCTAGACAGAAGAATTCTCAGTAACTTCTTTGTGCTGTGTGTATTCAACTCACAGAGTGGAACGTCCCTTTGCACAGAGCAGATTTGAAACACTCTTTTTGTGGAATTTGCAAGTGGAGATTTCAAGCGATTTGATGCCAACAGTAGAAAAGGAAATATCTTCAAATAAAAACTAGACAGAATCATTCTCAGAAACTACTTTGTGATGTGTGCCTTCAACTCACAGAGTTTAACCTTTCTTTTCTTAGAGCAGTTTAGAAACACTCTGCTTGTTATGTCTGCAAGTGGATATTTGGACCTCTTTGAGGCCTTCGTTGCAAACGGGGTTTCTTCTTTTCATGCTAGACTAAGAAGAGTTCTCAGTAACTTTTTTGTGTTGTGTGTATTCAACTCACAGAGTTGAACCTTGCTTTAGAGAGAGCAGATTTGAAACACTCTTGCTGTGGCATTTTCAGGTGGAGATTTCAAGCGATTTGAGGACAATTGCAGAAAAGGAAATATCTTCGTATAATAACCAGACAGAATCATACTCAGAAAGTGCTTTGTGATGTGTGCGTTCAACTCACAGAATTTAACCTTTCTTTTCATAGAGGAGTTTGGAAACACACTGTTTGTAAAGTCTGCAAGTGGATATATGGACCTGTTTGAGGCCTTCGTTGGAAACGGGATTTCTTCATTGAATGCTAGACGGAAGAATTCTCAGTAAATTCTTTGTGTTGTGTGCATTCAACTCACAGAGTGGAACGTCCCTTTAGACAGAGCAGATTTGAAACACTCTTTTTGCGGAATTTGCAAGTGGAGATTTCTAGCCATTTGATGCCAACAGTAGAAAGGGAAATATCTTCAAATAAAAACCAGACAGAATCATTCTCAGAAAATTCTTTGTGATGTGTGCGTTCAACTCACATAGTTTAACCTTTCTTTTCATAGAGCAGTTTGGAAACACTCTGTTTGTAAAGTCTGCAAGTGGATATATGGACCGCATTGAGGCCTTCGTTGGAAACGGGATTTCTTCATTTCATGCTAGACAGAAGAATTCTCAGTAACTTCTTTGTGCTGTGTGTATTCAACTCACAGAGTGGAACGTCCCTTTGCACAGAGCAGATTTGAAACACTCTTTTTGTGGAGTTTGCAAGTGGAGATTTCAAGCGATTTGATGCCAACAGTAGAAAAGGAAATATCTTCAAATAAAAACTAGACAGAATCATTCTCAGAAACTACTTTGTGATGTGTGCCTTCAACTCACAGAGTTTAACATTTCTTTTCTTAGAGCAGTTTAGAAACACTCTGCTTGTTATGTCTGCAAGTGGATATTTGGACCTCTTTGAGGCCTTCGTTGCAAACGGCGTTTCTTCCTTTAATGCTAGACTAAGAAGAGTTCTCAGTAACTTTTTTGTGTTGTGTGTATTCAACTCACAGAGTTGAACCTTGCTTTAGAGAGAGCAGATTTGAAACACTCTTGCTGTGGCATTTTCAGGTGGAGATTTCAAGCGATTTGAGGACAATTGCAGAAAAGGAAATATCTTCGTATAATAACCAGACAGAATCATTCTCAGAAAGTGCTTTGTGATGTGTGCGTTCAACTCACAGAGTTTAACCTTTCTTTTCATAGAGGAGCTTGGAAACACACTGTTTGTAATGTCTGCAATTGGATATATGGACCTGTTTGAGGCCTTCGTTGGAAACGGGATTTCTTCATTGAATGCTAGACGGAAGAATTCTCAGTAAATTCTTTGTGTTGTGTGCATTCAACTCACAGAGTGGAACGTCCCTTTAGACAGAGCAGATTTGAAACACTTTTTGGCGGAATTTGCAAGTGGAGATTTCTAGCCATTTGATGCCAACAGTAGAAAGGGAAATATCTTCAAATAAAAAGCAGACAGAATCATTCTCAGAAAATTCTTTGTGATGTGTGCGTTCAACTCACATAGTTTAACCGTTCTTTTCATAGAGCAGTTTGGAAACACTCTGTTTGTAAAGTCTGCAAGTGGATATATGGACCGCATTGAGGCCTTCGTTGGAAACGGGATTTCTTCATTTCATGCTAGACAGAAGAATTCTCAGTAACTTCTTTGTGCTGTGTGTATTCAACTCACAGAGTGGAACGTCCCTTTGCACAGAGCAGATTTGAAACACTCTTTTTGTGGAGTTTGCAAGTGGAGATTTCAAGCGATTTGATGCCAACAGTAGAAAAGGAAATATCTTCAAATAAAAACTAGACAGAATCATTCTCAGAAACTACTTTGTGATGTGTGCCTTCAACTCACAGAGTTTAACCTTTCTTTTCTTAGAGCAGTTTAGAAAC
The DNA here is from genome assembly GCF_000001405.40 of Homo sapiens. NCBI lineage: Eukaryota > Metazoa > Chordata > Mammalia > Primates > Hominidae > Homo > Homo sapiens. The sequence goes on from NC_000007.14 coordinate 60,309,592, forward strand.
ACTCTGCTTGTTATGTCTGCAAATGGATATTTGGACCTCTTTGAGGCCTTCGTTGCAAACGGGGTTTCTTCCTTTCATGCTAGACTAAGAAGAGTTCTCAGTAACTTTTTGTGTTGTGTGTATTCAACTCACAGAGTTGAACCTTGCTTTAGAGAGAGCAGATTTGAAACACTCTTGCTGTGGCATTTTCAGGTGGAGATTTCAAGCGATTTGAGGACAATTGCAGAAAAGGAAATATCTTCGTATAATAACCAGACAGAATCATTCTCAGAAAGTGCTTTGTGATGTGTGCGTTCAACTCACAGAGTTTAACCTTTCTTTTCATAGAGGAGTGTGGAAACACACTGTTTGTAAAGTCTGCAATTGGATATATGGACCTGTTTGAGGCCTTCGTTGGAAACGGGATTTCTTCATTGAATGCTAGACGGAAGAATTCTCAGTAAATTCTTTGTGTTGTGTGCATTCAACTCACAGAGTGGAACGTCCCTTTAGACAGAGCAGATTTGAAACACTCTTTTTGCGGAATTTGCAAGTGGAGATTTCTAGCCATTTGATGCCAACAGTAGAAAGGGAAATATCTTCAAATAAAAACCAGACAGAATCATTCTCAGAAAGTGCTTTGTGATGTGTGCGTTCAACTCACATAGTTTAACCTTTCTTTTCATAAAGGAGTTTGGAAACACACTGTTTGTAAAGTCTGCCAGTGGATATATGTACCTGTTTGAGGCCTTCGTTGGAAAGGGGATTTTATCATATAATGCTAGACGGAAGAATTCTCAGTAAATTCTTTGTGTTGTGTGCATTCAACTCACAGAGTGGAACGTCCCTTTAGACAGAGCAGATTTGAAACACTCTTTTTGCGGAATTTGCAAGTGGAGATTTCTAGCCATTTGATGCCAACAGTAGAAAGGAAAATATCTTCAAATAAAAACCAGACAGAATCATTCTCAGAAAATTCTTTGTGATGTGTGCGTTCAACTCACATAGTTTAACCTTTCTTTTCATAGAGCAGTTTGGAAACACTCTGTTTGTAAAGTCTGCAAGTGGATATATGGACCGCATTGAGGCCTTCGTTGGAAACGGGATTTCTTCATTTCATGCTAGACAGAAGAATTCTCAGTAACTTCTTTGTGCTGTGTGTATTCAACTCACAGAGTGGAACGTCCCTTTGCACAGAGCAGATTTGAAACACTCTTTTTGTGGAGTTTGCAAGTGGAGATTTCAAGCGATTTGATGCCAACAGTAGAAAAGGAAATATCTTCAAATAGAAACTAGACAGAATCATTCTCAGAAACTACTTTGTGATGTGTGCCTTCAACTCACAGAGTTTAACCTTTCTTTTCTTAGAGCAGTTTAGAAACACTCTGCTTGTTATGTCTGCAAGTGGATATTTGGACCTCTTTGAGGCCTTCGTTGCAAACGGGTTTTCTTCCTTTCATGCTAGACTAAGAAGAGTTCTCAGTAACTTTTTTGTGTTGTGGGTATTCAACTCACAGAGTTGAACCTTGCTTTAGAGAGAGCAGATTTGAAACACTGTTGCTGTTGCATTTTCAGCTGGAGATTTCAAGCGATTTGAGGACAATTGCAGAAAAGGAAATATCTTCGTATAATAACCAGACAGAATCATTCTCAGAAAGTGCTTTGTGATGTGTGCGTTCAACTCACAGAGTTTAACCTTTCTTTTCATAGAGGAGTTTGGAAACACACTGTTTGTAAAGTCTGCAAGTGGATATATGGACCTGTTTGAGGCCTTCGTTGGAAACGGGATTTCTTCATTGAATGCTAGACGGAAAAATTCTCAGTAAATTCTTTGTGTTGTGTGCATTCAACTCACAGAGTGGAACGTCCCTTTAGACAGAGCAGATTTGAAACACTCTTTTTGCGGAATTTGCAAGTGGAGATTTCTAGCCATTTGATGCCAACAGTAGAAAGGGAAATATCTTCAAATAAAAACCAGACAGAATCATTCTCAGAAAATTCTTTGTGATGTGTGCGTTCAACTCACATAGTTTAACCTTTCTTTTCATAGAGCAGTTTGGAAACACTCTGTTTGTAAAGTCTGCAAGTGGATATATGGACCGCATTGAGGCCTTCGTTGGAAACGGGATTTCTTCATTTCATGCTAGACAGAAGAATTCTCAGTAACTTCTTTGTGCCGTGTGTATTCAACTCACAGAGTGGAACGTCCCTTTGCACAGAGCAGATTTGAAACACTCTTTTTGTGGAGTTTGCAAGTGGAGATTTCAAGCGATTTGATGCCAACAGTAGAAAAGGAAATATCTTCAAATAAAAACTAGACAGAATCATTCTCAGAAACTACTTTGTGATGTGTGCCTTCAACTCACAGAGTTCAACCTTTCTTTTCTTAGAGCAGTTTAGAAACACTCTGCTTGTTATGTCTGCAAGTGGATATTTGGACCTCTTTGAGGCCTTCGTTGCAAACGGGGTTTCTTCCTTTCATGCTAGACTAAGAAGAGTTCTCAGTAACTTTTTTGTGTTGTGTGTATTCAACTCACAGAGTTGAACCTTGCTTTAGAGAGAGCAGATTTGAAACACTCTTGCTGTGACATTTTCAGGTGGAGATTTCAAGCGATTTGAGGACAATTGCAGAAAAGGAAATATCTTCGTATAACAACCAGACAGAATCATTCTCAGAAAGTGCTTTGTGATGTGTGCGTTCCACTCACAGAGTTTAACCTTTCTTTTCATAGAGGAGTTTGGAAACACACTGTTTGTAAAGTCTGCAAGTGGATATATGGACCTGTTTGAGGCCTTCGTTGGAAACGGGATTTCTTCATTGAATGCTAGACGGAAGAATTCTCAGTAAATTCTTTGTGTTGTGTGCATTCAACTCACAGAGTGGAACGTCCCTTTAGACAGAGCAGATTTGAAACACTCTTTTTGCGGAATTTGCAAGTGGAGATTTCTAGCCATTTGATGCCAACAGTAGAAAGGGAAATATCTTCAAATAAAAACCAGACAGAATCATTCTCAGAAAATTCTTTGTGATGTGTGCGTTCAACTCACATAATTTAACCTTTCTTTTCATAGAGCAGTTTGGAAACACTCTGTTTGTAAAGTCTGCAAGTGGATATATGGACCGCATTGAGGCCTTCGTTGGAAACGTGATTTCTTCATTTCATGCTAGACAGAAGAATTCTCAGTAACTTCTTTGTGCTGTGTGTATTCAACTCACAGAGTGGAACGTCCCTTTGCACAGAGCAGATTTGAAACACTCTTTTTGTGGAATTTGCAAGTGGAGATTTCAAGCGATTTGATGCCAACAGTAGAAAAGGAAATATCTTCAAATAAAAACTAGACAGAACCATTCTCAGAAACTACTTTGTGATGTGTGCCTTCAACTCACAGAGTTTAACCTTTCTTTTCTTAGAGCAGTTTAGAAACACTCTGCTTGTTATGTCTGCAAGTGGATATTTGGACCTCTTTGAGGCCTTCGTTGCAAACGGGGTTTCTTCCTTTCATGCTAGACTAAGAAGAGTTCTCAGTAACTTTTTTGTGTTGTGTGTATTCAACTCACAGAGTTGAACCTTGCTTTAGAGAGAGCAGATTTGAAACACTCTTGCTGTGGCATTTTCAGGTGGAGATTTCAAGCGATTTGAGGACAATTGCAGAAAAGGAAATATCTTCGTATAACAACCAGACAGAATCATTCTCAGGAAGTGCTTTGTGATGTGTGCGTTCAACTCACAGAGTTTAACCTTTCTTTTCATAGAGGAGTTTGGAAACACACTGTTTGTAAAGTCTGCAAGTGGATATATGGACCTGTTTGAGGCCTTCGTTGGAAACGGGATTTCTTCATTGAATGCTAGACGGAAGAATTCTCAGTAAATTCTTTGTGTTGTGTGCATTGAACTCACAGAGTGGAACGTCCCTTTAGACAGAGCAGATTTGAAACACTCTTTTTGCGGAATTTGCAAGTGGAGATTTCTAGCCATTTGATGCCAACAGTAGAAAGGGAAATATCTTCAAATAAAAACCAGACAGAGAATCATTCTCAGAAAATTCTTTGTGATGTGTGCGTTCAACTCACATAGTTTAACCTTTCTTTTCATAGAGCAGTTTGGAAACACTCTGTTTGTAAAGTCTGCAAGTGGATATATAGACCGCATTGAGGCCTTCGTTGGAAACGGGATTTCTTCATTTCATGCTAGACAGAAGAATTCTCAGTAACTTCTTTGTGCTGTGTGTATTCAACTCACAGAGTGGAACGTCCCTTTACACAGAGCAGATTTGAAACACTCTTTTTGTGGAGTTTGCAAGTGGAGATTTCAAGCGATTTGATGCCAACAGTAGAAAAGGAAATATCTTCAAATAAAAACTAGACAGAATCATTCTCAGAAACTACTTTGTGATGTGTGCCTTTAACTCACAGAGTTTAACCTTTCTTTTCTTAGAGCAGTTTAGAAACACTCTGCTTGTTATGTCTGCAAGTGGATATTTGGACCTCTTTGAGGCCTTCGTTGCAAACGGGGTTTCTTCCTTTCATGCTAGACTAAGAAGAATTCTCAGTAACTTTTTTGTGTTGTGTGTATTCAACTCACAGAGTTGAACCTTGCCTTAGAGAGAGCAGATTTGAAACACTCTTGCTGTGGCATTTTCAGGTTTAGATTTCAAGCGATTTGAGGACAATTGCAGAAAAGGAAATATCTTCGTATAATAACCAGACAGAATCATTCTCAGAAAGTGCTTTGTGATGTGTGCGTTCAACTCACAGAGTTTAACCTTTCTTTTCATAGAGGAGTTTGGAAACACACTGTTTGTAAAGTCTGCAAGTGGATATATGGATCTGTTTGAGGCCTTCGTTGGAAGCGGGATTTTATCATATAATGCTAGACGGAAGAATTCTCAGTAAATTCTTTGTGTTGTGTGCATTCAACTCACAGAGTGGAACGTCCCTTTAGACAGAGCAGATTTGAAACACTCTTTTTGCGGAATTTGCAAGTGGAGATTTCTAGCCATTTGATGCCAACAGTAGAAAGGGAAATATCTTCAAATAAAAACCAGACAGAATCATTCTCAGAAAATTGTTTGTGATGTGTGCGTTCAACTCACATAGTTTAACCTTTCTTTTCATAGAGCAGTTTGGAAACACTCTGTTTGTAAAGTCTGCAAGTGGATATATGGACCGCATTGAGGCCTTCGTTGGAAACGGGATTTCTTCATTTCATGCTAGACAGAAGAATTCTCAGTAACTTCTTTGTGTTGTGTGTATTCAACTCACAGATTGGAACGTCCCTTTACACAGAGCAGATTTGAAACACTCTTTTTGTGGAATTTGCAAGTGGAGATTTCAAGCGATTTGATGCCAACAGTAGAAAAGGAAATATCTGCAAACAAAAACTAGACAGAATCATTCTCAGAAACTACTTTGTGATGTGTGCCTTCAACTCACAGAGTTTAACCTTTCTTTTCTTAGAGCAGTTTAGAAACACTCTGCTTGTTATGTCTGCAAGTGGATATTTGGACCTCTTTGAGGCCTTCGTTGCAAACGGGGTTTCTTCCTTTCATGCTAGACTAAGAAGAGTTCTCAGCAACTTTTTTGTGTTGTGTGTATTCAACTCAAAGAGTTGAACCTTGCTTTAGAGAGAGCAGATTTGAAACACTCTTGCTGTGGAATTTTCAGGTGGAGATTTCAAGCGATTTGAGGACAATTGCAGAAAAAGAAATATCTTCGTATAATAACCAGACAGAATCATTCTCAGAAAGTGCTTTGTGATGTGTGCGTTCAACTCACAGAGTTTAACCTTTCTTTTCATAGAGGAGCTTCGAAACACACTGTTTGTAAAGTCTGCAATTGGATATATGGACCGCATTGAGGCCTCCGTTGGAAACGGGATTTCTTCATTGAATGCTAGACGGAAGAATTCTCAGTAAATTCTTTGTGTTGTGTGCATTGAACTCACAGAGTGGAACGTCCCTTTACACAGAGCAGATTTGAAACACTCTTTTTGCGGAATTTGCAAGTGGAGATTTCTAGCCATTTGATGCCAACAGTAGAAAGGGAAATATCTTCAAATAAAAACCAGACAGAATCATTCTCAGAAAATTCTTTGTGATGTGTGCCTTCAACTCACAGAGTTTAACCTTTCTTTTCTTAGAGCAGTTTAGAAACACTCTGCTTGTTATGTCTGCAAGTGGATATTTGGACCTCTTTGAGGCCTTCGTTGCAAACGGGGTTTTTTCCTTTAATGCTAGACTAAGAAGAGTTCTCAGTAACTTTTTTGAGTTGTGTGTATTCAACTCACAGAGTTGAACCTTGCTTTAGAGAGAGCAGATTTGAAACACTCTTGCTGTGGCATTTTCAGGTGGAGATTTCAAGCGATTTGAGGACAATTGCAGAAAAGGAAATATCTTCGTATAATAACCAGACAGAATCATTCTCAGAAAGTGCTTTGTGATGTGTGCGTTCAACTCACAGAGTTTAACCTTTCTTTTCATAGAGGAGTTTGGAAACACACTGTTTGTAAAGTCTGCAATTGGATATATGGACCTGTTTGAGGCCTTCGTTGGAAACGGGATTTCTTCATTGAATGCTAGACGGAAGAATTCTCAGTAAATTCTTTGTGTTGTGTGCATTCAACTGACAGAGTGGAGCGTCCCTTTAGACAGAGTAGATTTGAAACACTCTTTTTGCGGAATTTGCAAGTGGAGATTTCTAGCCATTTGATGCCAAAAGTAGAAAGGGAAATATCTTCAAATAAAAACCAGACAGAATCATTCTCAGAAAATTCTTTGTGATGTGTGCGTTCAACTCACATAGTTTAACCTTTCTTTTCATAGAGCAGTTTGGAAACACTCTGTTTGTAAAGTCTGCAAGTGGATATATGGACCGCATTGAGGCCTTCGTTGGAAACGGGATTTCTTCATTTCATGCTAGACAGAAGAATTCTCAGTAACTTCCTTGTGCTGTGTGTATTCAACTCACAGAGTGGAACGTCCCTTTACACAGAGCAGATTTGAAACACTCTTTTTGTGGAATTTGCAAGTGGAGATTTCAAGCGATTTGATGCCAACAGTAGAAAAGGAAATATCTTCAAATAAAAACTAGACAGAATCATTCTCAGAAACTACTTTGTGATGTGTGCCTTCAACTCACAGAGTTTAACCTTTCTTTTCTTAGAGCAGTTTAGAAACACTCTGCTTGTTATGTCTGCAAGTGGATATTTGGACCTCTTTGAGGCCTTCGTTGCAAACGGGGTTTCTTCCTTTCATGCTAGACTAAGAAGAGTTCTCAGTAACATTTTTGTGTTGTGTGTATTCAACTCACAGAGTTGAACCTTGCTTTAGAGAGAGCAGATTTGAAACACTCTTGCTGTGGCATTTTCAGGTGGAGATTTCAAGCGATTTGAGGACAATTGCAGAAAAGGAAATATCTTCGTATAATAACCAGACAGAATCATTCTCAGAAAGTGCTTTGTGATGTGTGCGTTCCACTCACAGAGTTTAACCTTTCTTTTCATAGAGGAGTTTGGAAACACACTGTTTGTAAAGTCTGCAAGTGGATATATGGACCTGTTTGAGGCCTTCGTTGGAAACGGGATTTCTTCATTGAATGCTAGACGGAAGAATTCTCAGTAAATTCTTTGTGTTGTGTGCATTCAACTCACAGAGTGGAACGTCCCTTTAGACAGAGCAGATTTGAAACACTCTTTTTGCGGAATTTGCAAGTGGAGATTTCTAGCCATTTGATGCCAACAGTAGAAAGGGAAATATCTTCAAATAAAAACCAGACAGAATCATTCTCAGAAAATTCTTTGTGATGTGTTCGTTCAACTCACATAGTTTAACCTTTCTTTTCATAGAGCAGTTTGGAAACACTCTGTTTGTAAAGTCTGCAAGTGGATATATGGACCGCATTGAGGCCTTCGTTGGAAACGGGATTTCTTCATTTCATGCTAGACAGAAGAATTCTCAGTAACTTCTTTGTGCTGTGTGTATTCAACTCACAGAGTGGAACGTCCCTTTACACAGAGCAGATTTGAAACACTCTATTTGTGGAGTTTGCAAGTGGAGATTTCAAGCGATTTGATGCCAACAGTAGAAAAGGAAATATCTTCAAATAAAAACTAGACAGAATCATTCTCAGAAACTACTTTGTGATGTGTGCCTTCAACTCACAGAGTTTAACCTTTCTTTTCTTAGAGCAGTTTAGAAACACTCTGCTTGTTATGTCTGCAAGTGGATATTTGGACCTCTTTGAGGCCTTCGTTGCAAACGGGGTTTCTTCCTTTCATGCTAGACTAAGAAGAGTTCTCAGTAACTTTTTTGTGTTGTGTGTATTCAACTCACAGAGTTGAACCTTGCTTTAGAGAGAGCAGATTTGAAACACTCTTGCTGTGGCATTTTCAGGTGGAGATTTCAAGCGATTTGAGGACAATTACAGAAAAGGAAATATCTTCGTATAACAACCAGACAGAATCATTCTCAGAAAGTGCTTTGTGATGTGTGCGTTCAACTCACAGAGTTTAACCTTTCTTTTCATAGAGGAGTTTGGAAACACACTGTTTGTAAAGTCTGCAATTGGATATATGGACCTGTTTGAGGCCTCCGTTGGAAACGGGATTTCTTCATTGAATGCTAGACGGAAGAATTCTCAGTAAATTCTTTGTGTTGTGTGCATTCAACTCACAGAGTGGAACGTCCCTTTAGACAGAGCAGATTTGAAACACTCTTTTTGCGGAATTTGCAAGTGGAGATTTCTAGCCATTTGATGCCAACAGTAGAAAGGGAAATATCTTCAAATAAAAACCAGACAGAATCATTCTCAGAAAATTCTTTGTGATGTGTGCGTTCAACTCACATAGTTTAACCTTTCTTTTCATAGAGCAGTTTGGAAACACTCTGTTTGTAAAGTCTGCAAGTGGATATATGGACCGCATTGAGGCCTTCTTTGGAAACGGGATTTCTTCATTTCATGCTAGACAGAAGAATTCTCAGTAACTTCTTTGTGCTGTGTGTATTCAACTCACAGAGTGGAACGTCCCTTTACACAGAGCAGATTTGAAACACTCTTTTTGTGGAGTTTGCAAGTGGAGATTTCAAGCGATTTGATGCCAACAGTAGAAAAGGAAATATCTTCAAATAAAAACTAGACAGAATCATTCTCAGAAACTACTTTGTGATGTGTGCCTTCAAATCACAGAGTTTAACCTTTCTTTTCTTAGAGCAGTTTAGAAACACTCTGCTTGTTATGTCTGCAAGTGGATATTTGGACCTCTTTGAGGCCTTCGTTGCAAACGGGGTTTCTTCCTTTCATGCTAGACTAAGAAGAGTTCTCAGTAACTTTTTTGTGTTGTGTGTATTCAACTCACAGAGTTGAACCTTGCTTTAGAGAGAGCAGATTTAAAACACTCTTGCTGTGGCATTTTCAGGTGGAGATTTCAAGCGATTTGAGGACAATTGCAGAAAAGGAAATATCTTCGTATAATAACCAGACAGAATCATTCTCAGAAAGTGCTTTGTGATGTGTGCGTTCAACTCACAGAGTTTAACCTTTCTTTTCACAGAGGAGTTTGGAAACACACTGTTTGTAAATTCTGCAAGTGGATATATGGACCTGTTTGAGGCCTTCGTTGGAAACGGGATTTCTTCATTGAATGCTAGACGGAAGAATTCTCAGTAAATTCTTTGTGCTGTGTGCATTCAACTCACAGAGTGGAACGTCCCTTTAGACAGAGCAGATTTGAAACACTCTTTTTGCGGAATTTGCAAGTGGAGATTTCTAGCCATTTGATGCCAACAGTAGAAAGGGAAATATCTTCAAATAAAAACCAGACAGAATCATTCTCAGAAAATTCTTTGTGATGTGTGCGTTCAACTCACATAGTTTAACCTTTCTTTTCATAGAGCAGTTTGGAAACACTCTGTTTGTAAAGTCTGCAAGTGGATATATGGACCGCATTGAGGCCTTCGTTGGAAACGGGATTTCTTCATTTCATGCTAGACAGAAGAATTCTCAGTAACTTCTTTGTGCTGTGTGTATTCAACTCACAGAGTGGAACGTCCCTTTGCACAGAGCAGATTTGAAACACTCTTTTTGTGGAGTTTGCAAGTGGAGATTTCAAGCGATTTGATGCCAACAGTAGAAAAGGAAATATCTTCAAATAAAAACTAGACAGAATCATTCTCAGAAACTACTTTGTGATGTGTGCCTTCAACTCACAGAGTTTAACCTTTCTTTTCTTAGAGCAGTTTAGAAACACTCTGCTTGTTATGTCTGCGAGTGGATATTTGGACCTCTTTGAGGCCTTCGTTGCAAACGGGGTTTCTTCCTTTCATGCTAGACTAAGAAGAGTTCTCAGTAACTTTTTTGTGTTGTGTGTATTCAACTCACAGAGTTGAACCTTGCTTTAGAGAGAGCAGATTTGAAACACTCTTGCTGTGGCATTTTCAGGTGGAGATTTCAAGAGATTTGAGGACAATTGCAGAAAAGGAAATATCTTCTGTATAATAACCAGACAGAATCATTCTCAGAAAGTGCTTTGTGTTGTGTGCGTTCAACTCACAGAGTTTAACCTTTCTTTTCATAGAGGAGTTTGGAAACACACTGTTTGTAAAGTCTGCAATTGGATATATGGACCTGTTTGAGGCCTTCGTTGGAAACGGGATTTCTTCATTGAATGCTAGACGGAAGAATTCTCAGTAAATTCTTTGTGTTGTGTGCATTCAACTGACAGAGTGGAACGTCCCTTTAGACAGAGCAGATTTGAAACACTCTTTTTGCGGAATTTGCAAGTGGAGATTTCTAGCCATTTGATGCCAACAGTAGAAAGGGAAACATCTTCAAATAAAAACCAGACAGAATCATTCTCAGAAAATTCTTTGTGATGTGTGCGTTCAACTCACATAGTTTAACCTTTCTTTTCATAGAGCAGTTTGGAAACACTCTGTTTGTAAAGTCTGCAAGTGGATATATGGACCGCATTGAGGCCTTCGTTGGAAACGGGATTTCTTCATTTCATGCTAGACAGAAGAATTCTCAGTAACTTCTTTGTGCTGTGTGTATTCAACTCACAGAGTTGAACCTTGCTTTAGAGAGAGCAGATTTGAAACACTCTTGCTGTGGCATTTTCAGGTGGAGATTTCAAGCGATTTGAGGAAAATTGCCGAAAAGGGAATATCTTCGTATAATAACCAGACAGAATCATTCTCAGAAAGTGCTTTGTGATGTGTGCGTTCCACTCACAGAGTTTAACCTTTCTTTTCATAGAGGAGTTTGGAAACACACTGTTTGTAAACTCTGCAAGTGGATATATGGACCTGTTTGAGGCCTTCGTTGGAAACGGGATTTCTTCATTGAATGCTAGACGGAAGAATTCTCAGTAAATTCTTTGTGTTGTGTGCATTCAACTCACAGAGTGCAACGTCCCTTTAGACAGAGCAGATTTGAAACACTCTTTTTGCGGAATTTGCAAGTGGAGATTTCTAGCCATTTGATGACAACAGTAGAAAGGGAAATATCTTCAAATAAAAACCAGACAGAATCATTCTCAGAAAATTCTTTGTGATGTGTGCGTTCAACTCACATAGTTTAACCTTTCTTTTCATAGAGCAGTTTGGAAACACTCTGTTTGTAAAGTCTGCAAGTGGATATATGGACCGCATTGAGGCCTTCGTTGGAAACGGGATTTCTTCATTTCATGCTAGACAGAAGAATTCTCAGTAACTTCTTTGTGCTGTGTGTATTCAACTCACAGAGTGGAACGTCCCTTTACACAGAGCAGATTTGAAACACTCTTTTTGTGGAATTTGCAAGTGGAGATTTCAAGCGATTTGATGCCAACAGTAGAAAAGGAAATATCTTCAAATAAAAACTAGACAGAATCATTCTCAGAAACTACTTTGTGATGTGTGCCTTCAACTCACAGAGTTTAACCTTTCTTTTCTTAGAGCAGTTTAGAAACACTCTGCTTGTTATGTCTGCAAGTGGATATTTGGACCTCTTTGAGGCCTTCGTTGCAAACGGGGTTTCTTCCTTTCATGCTAGACTAAGAAGAGTTCTCAGTAACTTTTTTGTGTTGTGTGTATTCAACTCACAGAGTTGAACCTTGCTTTAGAGAGAGCAGATTTGAAACACTCTTGCTGTGGCATTTTCAGGTGGAGATTTCAAGCGATTTGAGGACAATTGCAGAAAAGGAAATATCTTCGTATAATAACCAGACAGAATCATTCTCAGAAAGTGCTTTGTGATGTGTGCGTTCAACTCACAGAGTTTAACCTTTCTTTTCATAGAGGAGTTTGGAAACACACTGTTTGTAAAGTCTGCAATTGGATATATGGACCTGTTTGAGGCCTTCGTTGGAAACGGGATTTCTTCATTGAATGCTAGACGGAAGAATTCTCAGTAAATTCTTTGTGTTGTGTGCATTCAACTCACAGAGTGGAACGTCCCTTTAGACACAGCAGATTTGAAACACTCTTTTTGCGGAATTTGCAAGTGGAGATTTCTAGCCATTTGATGCCAACAGTAGAAAGGGAAATATCTTCAAATAAAAACCAGACAGAATCATTCTCAGAAAATTCTTTGTGATGTGTGCGTTCAACTCACATAGTTTAACCTTTCTTTTCATAGAGCAGTTTGGAAACACTCTGTTTGTAAAGTCTGCAAGTGGATATATGGACCTGTTTGAGGCCTTCGTTGGAAACGGGATTTCTTCATTGAATGCTAGGCGGAAGAATTCTCAGTAACTTCTTTGTGCTGTGTGTATTCAACTCACAGAGTGGAACGTCCCTTTGCACAGAGCAGATTTGAAACACTCTTTTTGTGGAATTTGCAAGTGGAGATTTCAAGCGATTTGATGCCAACAGTAGAAAAGGAAATATCTTCAAATAAAAACTAGACAGAATCATTCTCAGAAACTACTTTGTGATGTGTGCCTTCAACTCACAGAGTTTAACCTTTCTTTTCTTAGAGCAGTTTAGAAACACTCTGCTTGTTATGTCTGCAAGTGGATATTTGGACCTCTTTGAGGCCTTCGTTGCAAACGGGGTTTCTTCCTTTAATGCTAGACTAAGAAGAGTTCTCAGTAACTTTTTTGTGTTGTGTGTATTCAACTCACAGAGCTGAACCTTGCTTTAGAGAGAGCAGATTTGAAACACTCTTGCTGTGGCATTTTCAGGTGGAGATTTCAAGCGATTTGAGGACAATTGCAGAAAAGGAAATATCTTCGTATAACAACCAGACAGAATCATTCTCAGAAAGTGCTTTGTGATGTGTGCGTTCAACTCAGAGTTTAACCTTTCTTTTCATAGAGGAGTTTGGAAACACACTGTTTGTAAAGTCTGCAATTGGATATATGGACCTGTTTGAGGCCTTCGTTGGAAACGGGATTTCTTCATTGAATGCTAGACGGAAGAATTCTCAGTAAATTCTTTGTGTTGTGTGCATTCAACTCACAGAGTGGAACGTCCCTTTAGACAGAGCAGATTTGAAACACTCTTTTTGCGGAATTTGCAAGTGGAGATTTCTAGCCATTTGATGCCAACAGTAGAAAGGGAAATATCTTCAAATAAAAACCAGACAGAATCATTCTCAGAAAATTCTTTGTGATGTGTGCGTTCAACTCACATAGTTTAACCTTTCTTTTCATAGAGCAGTTTGGAAACACTCTGTTTGTAAAGTCTGCAAGTGGATCTATGGACCGCATTGAGGCCTTCGTTGGAAACGGGATTTCTTCATTTCATGCTAGACAGAAGAATTCTCAGTAACTTCTTTGTGCTGTGTGTATTCAACTCACAGAGTGGAACGTCCCTTTACACAGAGCAGATTTGAAACACTCTATTTGTGGAGTTTGCAAGTGGAGATTTCAAGCGATTTGATGCCAACAGTAGAAAAGGAAATATCTTCAAATAAAAACTAGACAGAATCATTCTCAGAAACTACTTTGTGATGTGTGCCTTCAACTCACAGAGTTTAACCTTTCTTTTCTTAGAGCAGTTTAGAAACACTCTGCTTGTTATGTCTGCAAGTGGATATTTGGACCTCTTTGAGGCCTTCGTTGCAAACGGGGTTTCTTCCTTTCATGCTAGACTAAGAAGAGTTCTCAGTAACTTTTTTGTGTTGTGTGTATTCAACTCACAGAGTTGAACCTTGCTTTAGAGAGAGCAGATTTGAAACACTCTTGCTGTGGTATTTTCAGGTGGAGATTTCAAGCGATTTGAGGACAATTGCAGAAAAGGAAATATCTTCGTATAATAACCAGACAGAATCATTCTCAGAAAGTGCTTTGTGATGTGTGCGTTCAACTCACAGAGTTTAACCTTTCTTTTCATAGAGGAGTTTGGAAACACACTGTTTGTAAAGTCTGCAATTGGATATATGGACCTGTTTGAGGCCTTCGTTGGAAACGGGATTTCTTCATTGAATGCTAGACGGAAGAATTCTCAGTAACTTCTTTGTGCTGTGTGTATTCAACTCACAGAGTGGAACGTCCCTTTACACAGAGCAGATTTGGAACACTCTTTTTGTGGAATTTGCAAGTGGAGATTTCAAGCCATTTGATGCCAACAGTAGAAAAGGAAATATCTTCAAATAAAAACTAGACAGAATCATTCTCAGAAACTACTTTGTGATGTGTGCCTTCAACTCACAGAGTTTAACCTTTCTTTTCATAGAGCAGTTTGGAAACACTCTGTTGGTAAACTCTGCAAGTGGATATATGGACCGCATTGAGGCCTTCGTTGGAAACGGGATTTCTTCATTTCATGCTAGACAGAAGAATTCTCAGTAACTTCTTTGTGCTGTGTGTATTCAACTCACAGAGTGGAACGTCCCTTTGCACAGAGCAGATTTGAAACACTCTTTTTGTGGAGTTTGCAAGTGGAGATTTCAAGCGATTTGATGCCAACAGTAGAAAAGGAAATATCTTCAAATAAAAACTAGACAGAATCATTCTCAGAAACTACTTTGTGATGTGTGCCTTCAACTCACAGAGTTTAACCTTTCTTTTCTTAGAGCAGTTTAGAAACACTCTGCTTGTTATGTCTGCAAGTGGATATTTGGACCTCTTTTAGGCCTTCGTTGCAAACGGGGTTTCTTCCTTTAATGCTAGACTAAGAACAGTTCTCAGTAACTTTTTTGTGTTGTGTGTTTTCAACTCACAGAGTTGAACCTTGCTTTAGAGAGAGCAGATTTGAAACACTCTCGCTGTGGAATTTTCAGGTGGAGATTTCAAGCGATTTGAGGACAATTGCCGAAAAGGAAATATCTTCGTATAATAACCAGACAGAATCATTCTCAGAAAGTGCTTTGTGATGTGTGCGTTCAACTCACAGAGTTTAACCTTTCTTTTCATAGAGGAGTTTGGAAACACACTGTTTGTAAAGTCTGCAATTGGATATATGGACCTGTTTGAGGCCTTCGTTGGAAACGGGATTTCTTCATTGAATGCTAGACGGAAGAATTCTCAGTAAATTCTTTGTGTTGTGTGCATTCAACTCACAGAGTGGAACGTCCCTTTAGACAGAGCAGATTTGAAACACTCTTTTTGCGGAATTTGCAAGTGGAGATTTCTAGCCATTTGATGCCAACAGTAGAAAGGGAAATATCTTCAAATAAAAACCAGACAGAATCATTCTCAGAAAATTCTTTGTGATGTGTGCGTTCAACTCACAATAGTATAACCTTTCTTTTCATAGAGCAGTTTGGAAACACTCTGTTTGTAAAGTCTGCAAGTGGATATATGGACCGCATTGAGGCCTTCGTTGGAAACGGGATTTCTTCATTTCATGCTAGACAGAAGAATTCTCAGTAACTTCTTTGTGCTGTGTGTATTCAACTCACAGAGTGGAACGTCCCTTTGCACAGAGCAGATTTGAAACACTCTTTTTGTGGAATTTGCAAGTGGAGATTTCAAGCGATTTGATGCCAACAGTAGAAAAGGAAATATCTTCAAATAAAAACTAGACAGAATCATTCTCAGAAACTACTTTGTGATGTGTGCCTTCAACTCACAGAGTTTAACCTTTCTTTTCTTAGAGCAGTTTAGAAACACTCTGCTTGTTATGTCTGCAAGTGGATATTTGGACCTCTTTGAGGCCTTCGTTGCAAACGGGGTTTCTTCCTTTCATGCTAGACTAAGAAGAGTTCTCAGTAACTTTTTTGTGTTGTGTGTATTCAACTCACAGAGTTGAACCTTGCTTTAGAGAGAGCAGATTTGAAACACTCTTGCTGTGGCATTTTCAGGTGGAGATTTCAAGCGATTTGAGGACAATTGCAGAAAAGGAAATATCTTCGTATAATAACCAGACAGAATCATTCTCAGAAAGTGCTTTGTGATGTGTGCGTTCAACTCACAGAGTTTAACCTTTCTTTTCATAGAGGAGTTTGGAAACACACTGTTTGTAAAGTCTGCATGTGGATATATGGACCTGTTTGAGGCCTTCGTTGGAAACGGGATTTCTTCATTGAATGCTAGACGGAAGAATTCTCAGTAAATTCTTTGTGTTGTGTGCATTCAACTGACAGAGTGGAACGTCCCTTTAGACAGAGCAGATTTGAAACACTCTTTTTGCGGAATTTGCAAGTGGAGATTTCTAGCCATTTGATGCCAACAGTAGAAAGGGAAATATCTTCAAATAAAAACCAGACAGAATCATTCTCAGAAAATTCTTTGTGATGTGTGCGTTCAACTCACATAGTTTAACCTTTCTTTTCATAGAGCAGTTTGGAAACACTCTGTTTGTAAAGTCTGCAAGTGGATATATGGACCGCATTGAGGCCTTCGTTGGAAACGGGATTTCTTCATTTCATGCTAGACAGAAGAATTCTCAGTAACTTCTTTGTGCTGTGTGTATTCAACTCACAGAGTGGAACGTCCCTTTACACAGAGCAGATTTGAAACACTCTTTTTGTGGAGTTTGCAAGTGGAGATTTCAAGCGATTTGATGCCAACAGTAGAAAAGGAAATACCTTCAAATAAAAACTAGACAGAATCATTCTCAGAAACTACTTTGTGATGTGTGCCTTCAACTCACAGAGTTTAACCTTTCTTTTCTTAGAGCAGTTTAGAAACACTCTGCTTGTTATGTCTGCAAGTGGATATTTGGACCTCTTTGAGGCCTTCGTTGCAAACGGGGTTTCTTCCTTTCATGCTAGACTAAGAAGAGTTCTCAGTAACTTTTTTGTGTTGTGTGTATTCAACTCACAGAGCTGAACCTTGCTTTAGAGAGAGCAGATTTGAAACACTCTTGCTGTGGCATTTTCAGGTGGAGATTTCAAGCGATTTGAGGACAATTGCAGAAAAGGAAATATCTTCGTATAACAACCAGACAGAATCATTCTCAGAAAGTGCTTTGTGATGTGTGCGTTCAACTCACAGAGTTTAACCTTTCTTTTCATAGAGGAGTTTGGAAACACACTGTTTGTAAAGTCTGCAATTGGATATATGGACCTGTTTGAGGCCTTCGTTGGAAACGGGATTTCTTCATTGCATGCTAGACGGAAGAATTCTCAGTAAATTCTTTGTGTTGTGTGCATTCAACTCACAGAGTGGAACGTCCCTTTAGACAGAGCAGATTTGAAACACTCTTTTTGCGGAATTTGCAAGTGGAGATTTCTAGCCATTTGATGCCAACAGTAGAAAGGGAAATATCTTCAAATAAAAACCAGACAGAATCATTCTCAGAAAATTCTTTGTGATGTGTGCGTTCAACTCACATAGTTTAACCTTTCTTTTCATAGAGCAGTTTGGAAACACTCTGTTTGTAAAGTCTGCAAGTGGATATATGGACCGCATTGAGGCCTTCGTTGGAAACGGGATTTCTTCATTTCATGCTAGACAGAAGAATTCTCAGTAACTTCTTTGTGCTGTGTGTATTCAACTCACAGAGTGGAACGACCCTTTACACAGAGCAGATTTGAAACACTCTTTTTGTGGAGTTTGCAAGTGGAGATTTCAAGCGATTTGATGCCAACAGTAGAAAAGGAAATATCTTCAAATAAAAACTAGACAGAATCATTCTCAGAAACTACTTTGTGATGTGTGCCTTCAACTCACAGAGTTTAACCTTTCTTTTCTTAGAGCAGTTTAGAAACACTCTGCTTGTTATGTCTGCAAGTGGATATTTGGACCTCTTTGAGGCCTTCGTTGCAAACGGGGTTTCTTCCTTTCATGCTAGACTAAGAAGAGTTCTCAGTAACTTTTTTGTGTTGTGTGTATTCAACTCACGGAGTTGAACCTTGCTTTAGAGAGAGCAGATTTGAAACACTCTTGCTGTGGCATTTTCAGGTGGAGATTTCAAGCGATTTGAGGACAATTGCAGAAAAGGAAATATCTTCGTATAATAACCAGACAGAATCATTCTCAGAAAGTGCTTTGTGATGTGTGCGTTCAACTCACAGAGTTTAACCTTTCTTTCCATAGAGGAGTTTGGAAACACTCTGTTTGTAAAGTCTGCAAGTGGATATATGGACCTGTTTGAGGCCTTCGTTGGAAACGGGATTTCTTCATTGAATGCTAGACGGAAGAATTCTCAGTAAATTCTTTGTGTTGTGTGCATTCAACTCACAGAGTGGAACGTCCCTTTAGACAGAGCAGATTTGAAACACTCTTTTTGCGGAATTTGCAATTGGAGATTTCTAGCCATTTGATGCCAACAGTAGAAAGGGAAATATCTTCAAATGAAAACCAGACAGAATCATTCTCAGAAAATTCTTTGTGATGTGTGCGTTCAACTCACATAGTTTAACCTTTCTTTTCATAGAGCAGTTTGGAAACACTCTGTTTGTAAAGTCTGCAAGTGGATCTATGGACCGCATTGAGGCCTTCGTTGGAAACGGGATTTCTTCATTTCATGCTAGACAGAAGAATTCTCAGTAACTTCTTTGTGCTGTGTGTATTCAACTCACAGAGTTGAACCTTGCTTTAGAGAGAGCAGATTTGAAACACTCTTGCTGTGGCATTTTCAGGTGGAGATTTCAAGCGATTTGAGGACAATTGCAGAAAAGGAAATATCTTCAAATAATAACCAGACAGAATCATTCTCAGAAAGTGCTTTGTGATGTGTGCGTTCCACTCACAGAGTTTAACCTTTCTTTTCATAGAGGAGTTTGGAAACACACTGTTTGTAAAGTCTGCAAGTGGATATATGGACCTGTTTGAGGCCTTCGTTGGAAACGGGATTTCTTCATTGAATGCTAGACGGAGGAATTCTCAGTAAATTCTTTGTGTTGTGTGCATTCAACTCACAGAGTGGAACGTCCCTTTAGACAGAGCAGATTTGAAACACTCTTTTTGCGGAATTTGCAAGTGGAGATTTCTAGCCATTTGATGCCAACAGTAGAAAGGGAAATATCTTCAAATAAAAACCAGACAGAATCATTCTCAGAAAATTCTTTGTGATGTGTGCGTTCAACTCACATAGTTTAACCTTTCTTTTCATAGAGCAGTTTGGAAACACTCTGTTTGTGATGTCTGCAAGTGGATATATAGACCGCATTGAGGCCTTCGTTGGAAACGGGATTTCTTCATTTCATGCTAGACAGAAGAATTCTCAGTAACTTCTTTGTGCTGTGTGTATTCAACTCACAGAGTGGAACGTCCCTTTGCACAGAGCAGATTTGAAACACTCTTTTTGTGGAGTTTGCAAGTGGATATTTCAAGCGATTTGATGCCAACAGTAGAAAAGGAAATATCTTCAAATAAAAACTAGACAGAATCATTCTCAGAAACTACTTTGTGATGTGTGCCTTCAACTCACAGAGTTTAACCTTTCTTTTCTTAGAGCAGTTTAGAAACACTCTGCTTGTTATGTCTGCAAGTGGATATTTGGACCTCTTTGAGGCCTTCGTTGCAAACGGGGTTTCTTCCTTTCATGCTAGACTAAGAAGAGTTCTCAGTAACTTTTTTGTGTTGTGTGTATTCAACTCACAGAGTTGAACCTTGCTTTAGAGAGAGCAGATTTGAAACACTCTTGCTGTGGCATTTTCAGGTGGAGATTTCAAGCGATTTGAGGACAAATTGCAGAAAAGGAAATATCTTCGTATAATAACCAGACAGAATCATTCTCAGAAAGTGCTTTGTGATGTGTGCGTTCAACTCACAGAGTTTAACTTTTCTTTCCATAGAGGAGTTTGGAAACACACTGTTTGTAAAGTCTGCAAGTGGATATATGGACCTGTTTGAGGCCTTCGTTGGAAACGGGATTTCTTCATTGAATGCTAGACGGAAGAATTCTCAGTAAATTCTTTGTGTTGTGTGCATTCAACTCACAGAGTGGAACGTCCCTTTAGACAGAGCAGATTTGAAACACTCTTTTTGCGGAATTTGCAAGTGGAGATTTCTAGCCATTTGATGCCAACAGTAGAAAGGGAAATATCTTCAAATAAAAACCAGACAGAATCATTCTCAGAAAATTCTTTGTGATGTGTGCGTTCAACTCACATAGTTTAACCTTTCTTTTCATAGAGCAGTTTGGAAACACTCTGTTTGTAAAGTCTGCAAGTGGATATATGGACCGCATTGAGGCCTTCGTTGGAAACGGGATTTCTTCATTTCATGCTAGACAGAAGAATTCTCAGTAACTTCTCTGTGGTGTGTGTATTCAACTCACAGACTGGAACGTCCGTTTGCACAGAGCAGATTTGAAACACTCTTTTTGTGGAATTTGCAAGTGGAGATTTCAAGCGATTTGATGCCAACAGTAGAAAAGGAAATATCTTCAAATAAAAACTAGACAGAACCATTCTCAGAAACTACTTTGTGATGTGTGCCTTCAACTCACAGAGTTTAACCTTTCTTTTCTTAGAGCAGTTTAGAAACACTCTGCTTGTTATGTCTGCAAGTGGATATTTGGACCTCTTTGAGGCCTTCGTTGCAAACGGGGTTTCTTCCTTTCATGCTAGACTAAGAAGAGTTCTCAGTAACTTTTTTGTGTTGTGTGTATTCAACTCACAGAGTTGAACCTTGCTTTAGAGAGAGCAGATTTGAAACACTCTTGCTGTGGCATTTTCAGGTGGAGATTTCAAGCGATTTGAGGACAATTGCAGAAAAGGAAATATCTTCGTATAACAACCAGACAGAATCATTCTCAGAAAGTGCTTTGTGATGTGTGCGTTCAACTCACAGAGTTTAACCTTTCTTTTCATAGAGGAGTTTGGAAACACACTGTTTGTAAAGTCTGCAATTGGATATATGGACCTGTTTGAGGCCTTCGTTGGAAACGGGATTTCTTCATTGCATGCTAGACGGAAGAATTCTCAGTAAATTCTTTGTGTGGTGTGCATTCAACTCACAGAGTGGAACGTCCCTTTAGACAGAGCAGATTTGAAACACTCTTTTTGTGGAATTTGCAAGTGGAGATTTCAAGCGATTTGATGCCAACAGTAGAAAAGGAAATATCTTCAAATAAAAACTAGACAGAATCATTCTCAGAAACTACTTTGTGATGTGTGCCTTCAACTCACAGAGTTTAACCTTTCTTTTCTTAGAGCAGTTTAGAAACACTCTGCTTGTTATGTCTGCAAGTGGATATTTGGACCTCTTTGAGGCCTTCGTTGCAAACGGGGTTTCTTCCTTTCATGCTAGACTAAGAAGAGTTCTCAGTAACTTTTTTGTGTTGTGTGTATTCAAATCACAGAGTTGAACCTTGCTTTAGAGAGAGCAGATTTGAAACACTCTTGCTGTGGCATTTTCAGGTGGAGATTTCAAGCGATTTGAGGACAATTGCAGAAAAGGAAATATCTTCTTATAATAACCAGACAGAATCATTCTCAGAAAGTGCTTTGTGATGTGTGCGTTCAACTCACAGAGTTTAACCTTTCTTTTCATAGAGGAGTTTGGAAACACACTGTTTGTAAAGTCTGCAATTGGATATATGGACCTGTTTGAGGCCTTCTTTGGAAACGGGATTTCTTCATTGAATGCTAGACGGAAGAATTCTCAGTAAATTCTTTGTGTTGTGTGCATTCAACTGACAGAGTGGAACGTCCCTTTAGACAGAGCAGATTTGAAACACTCTTTTTGCGGAATTTGCAAGTGGAGATTTCTAGCCATTTGATGCCAACAGTAGAAAGGGAAATATCTTCAAATAAAAACCAGACAGAATCATTCTCAGAAAATTCTTTGTGATGTGTGCATTCAACTCACATAGTTTAACCTTTCTTTTCATAGAGCAGTTTGGAAACACTCTGTTTGTAAAGTCTGCAAGTGGATATATGGACCGCATTGAGGCCTTCGTTGGAAACGGGATTTCTTCATTTCATGCTAGACAGAAGAATTCTCAGTAACTTCTTTGTGCTGTGTGTATTCAACTCACAGAGTGGAACGTCCCTTTGCACAGAGCAGATTTGAAACACTCTTTTTGTGGAGATTGCAAGTGGAGATTTCAAGCGATTTGATGCCAACAGTAGAAGAGGAAATATCTTCAAATAAAAACTAGAGAGAATCATTCTCAGAAACTACTTTGTGATGTGTGCCTTCAACTCACAGAGTTCAACCTTTCTTTTCTTAGAGCAGTTT
This sequence comes from Homo sapiens, assembly GCF_000001405.40. Classification (NCBI taxonomy): domain Eukaryota; kingdom Metazoa; phylum Chordata; class Mammalia; order Primates; family Hominidae; genus Homo; species Homo sapiens. Next base: position 60,332,070 of record NC_000007.14, read on the forward strand.
AGAAACACTCTGCTTGTTATGTCTGCAAGTGGATATTTGGACCTCTTTGAGGCCTTCGTTGCAAACGGCGTTTCTTCCTTTCATGCTAGACTAAGAAGAGTTCTCAGTAACTTTTTTGTGTTGTGTGTATTCAACTCACAGAGTTGAACCTTGCTTTAGAGAGAGCAGATTTGAAACACTCTTGCTGTGGCATTTTCAGGTGGAGATTTCAAGCGATTTGAGGACAATTGCAGAAAAGGAAATATCTTCGTATAATAACCAGACAGAATCATTCTCAGAAAGTGCTTTGTGATGTGTGCGTTCAACTCACAGAGTTTAACCTTTCTTTTCATAGAGGAGTTTGGAAACACACTGTTTGTAAAGTCTGCAATTGGATATATGGACCTGTTTGAGGCCTTCGTTGGAAACGGGATTTCTTCATTGCATGCTAGACGGAAGAATTCTCAGTAAATTCTTTGTGTTGTGTGCATTCAACTCACAGAGTGGAACGTCCCTTTACACAGAGCAGATTTGAAACACTCTTTTTGCGGAATTTGCAAGTGGAGATTTCTAGCCATTTGATGCCAACAGTAGAAAGGGAAATATCTTCAAATAAAAACCAGACAGAATCATTCTCAGAAAATTCTTTGTGATGTGTGCGTTCAACTCACATAGTTTAACCTTTCTTTTCTTAGAGCAGTTTAGAAACACTCTGCTTGTTATGTCTGCAAGTGGATATTTGGACCTCTTTGAGGCCTTCGTTGCAAACGGGGTTTCTTCCTTTCATGCTAGACTAAGAAGAGTTCTCAGTAACTTTTTTGTGTTGTGTGTATTCAACTCACAGAGTTGAACCTTGCTTTAGAGAGAGCAGATTTGAAACACTCTTGCTGTGGCATTTTCAGGTGGAGATTTCAAGCGATTTGAGGACAATTGCAGAAAAGGAAATATCTTCGTATAATAACCAGACAGAATCATTCTCAGAAAGTGCTTTGTGATGTGTGCGTTCCACTCACAGAGTTTAACCTTTCTTTTCATAGAGGAGTTTGGAAACACACTGTTTGTAAAGTCTGCAAGTGGATATATGGACCTGTTTGAGGCCTTCGTTGGAAACGGGATTTCTTCATTGAATGCTAGACGGAAGAATTCTCAGTAAATTCTTTGTGTTGTGTGCATTCAACTCACAGAGTGGAACGTCCCTTTAGACAGAGCAGATTTGAAACACTCTTTTTGCGGAATTTGCAAGTGGAGATTTCTAGCCATTTGATGCCAACAGTAGAAAGGGAAATATCTTCAAATAAAAACCAGACAGAATCATTCTCAGAAAATTCTTTGTGATGTGTGCGTTCAACTCACATAGTTTAACCTTTCTTTTCATAGAGCAGTTTGGAAACACTCTGTTTGTAAAGTCTGCAAGTGGATATATGGACCGCATTGAGGCCTTCGTTGGAAACGGGATTTCTTCATTTCATGCTAGACAGAAGAATTCTCAGTGACTTCTTTGTGCTGTGTGTATTCAACTCACAGAGTGGAACGTCCCTTTGCACAGAGCAGATTTGAAACACTCTTTTTGTGGAGTTTGCAAGTGGAGATTTCAAGCGATTTGATGCCAACAGTAGAAAAGGAAATATCTTCAAATAAAAACTAGACAGAATCATTCTCAGAAACTACTTTGTGATGTGTGCCTTCAACTCACAGAGTTTAACCTTTCTTTTCTTAGAGCAGTTTAGAAACACTCTGCTTGTTATGTCTGCAAGTGGATATTTGGACCTCTTTGAGGCCTTCGTTGCAAACGGGGTTTCTTCCTTTCATGCTAGACTAAGAAGAGTTCTCAGTAACTTTTTTGTGCTGTGTGTATTCAACTCACAGAGTTGAACCTTGCTTTAGAGAGAGCAGATTTGAAACACTCTTGCTGTGGCATTTTCAGGTGGAGATTTCAAGCGATTTGAGGACAATTGCAGAAAAGGAAATATCTTCGTATAACAACCAGACAGAATCATTCTCAGAAAGTGCTTTGTGATGTGTGCGTTCAACTCACAGAGTTTAACCTTTCTTTTCATAGAGGAGTTTGGAAACACACTGTTTGTAAAGTCTGCAAGTGGATATATGGACCTGTTTGAGGCCTTCGTTGGAAACGGGATTTCTTCATTGAATGCTAGGCGGAAGAATTCTCAGTAAATTCTTTGTGTGGTGTGCATTCAACTCACAGAGTGGAACGTCCCTTTAGACAGAGCAGATTTGAAACACTCTTTTTGCGGAATTTGCAAGTGGAGATTTCTAGCCATTTGATGCCAACAGTAGAAAGGGAAATATCTTCAAATAAAAACCAGACAGAATCATTCTCAGAAAATTCTTTGTGATGTGTGCGTTCAACTCACATAGTTTAACCTTTCTTTTCATAGAGCAGTTTGGAAACACTCTGTTTGTGATGTCTGCAAGTGGATATATAGACCGCATTGAGGCCTTCGTTGGAAACGGGATTTCTTCATTTCATGCTAGACAAGAATTCTCAGTAACTTCTTTGTGCTGTGTGTATTCAACTCACAGAGTGGAACGTCCCTTTGCACAGAGCAGATTTGAAACACTCTTTTTGTGGAGTTTGCAAGTGGATATTTCAAGCGATTTGATGCCAACAGTAGAAAAGGAAATATCTTCAAATAAAAACTAGACAGAATCATTCTCAGAAACTACTTTGTGATGTGTGCCTTCAACTCACAGAGTTTAACCTTTCTTTTCTTAGAGCAGTTTAGAAACACTCTGCTTGTTATGTCTGCAAGTGGATATTTGGACCTCTTTGAGGCCTTCGTTGCAAACGGGGTTTCTTCCTTTCATGCTAGACTAAGAAGAGTTCTCAGTAACTTTTTTGTGTTGTGTGTATTCAACTCACAGAGTTGAACCTTGCTTTAGAGAGAGCAGATTTGAAACACTCTTGCTGTGGCATTTTCAGGTGGAGATTTCAAGCGATTTGAGGACAATTGCAGAAAAGGAAATATCTTCGTATAATAACCAGACAGAATCATTCTCAGAAAGTGCTTTGTGATGTGTGCGTTCAACTCACAGAGTTTAACCTTTCTTTTCATAGAGGAGTTTGGAAACACACTGTTTGTAAAGTCTGCAATTGGATATATGGACCTGTTTGAGGCCTTCTTTGGAAACGGGATTTCTTCATTGAATGCTAGACGGAAGAATTCTCAGTAAATTCTTTGTGTTGTGTGCATTCAACTCACAGAGTGGAACGTCCCTTTAGACAGAGCAGATTTGAAACACTCTTTTTGCGGAATTTGCAAGTGGAGATTTCTAGCCATTTGATGCCAACAGTAGAAAGGGAAATATCTTCAAATAAAAACCAGACAGAATCATTCTCAGAAAATTCTTTGTGATGTGTGCGTTCAACTCACATAGTTTAACCTTTCTTTTCATAGAGCAGTTTGGAAACACTCTGTTTGTAAAGTCTGCAAGTGGATATATGGACCGCATTGAGGCCTTCGTTGGAAACGGGATTTCTTCATTTCATGCTAGACAGAAGAATTCTCAGTAACTTCCTTGTGCTGTGTGTATTCAACTCACAGAGTGGAACGTCCCTTTGCACAGAGCAGATTTGAAACACTCTTTTTGTGGAGTTTGCAAGTGGAGATTTCAAGCGATTTGATGCCAACAGTAGGAAAGGAAATATCTTCAAATAAAAACTAGACAGAATCATTCTCAGAAACTACTTTGTGATGTGTGCCTTCAACTCACAGAGTTTAACCTTTCTTTTCTTAGAGCAGTTTAGAAACACTCTGCTTGTTATGTCTGCAAGTGGATATTTGGACCTCTTTGAGGCCTTCGTTGCAAACGGGGTTTCTTCCTTTCATGCTAGACTAAGAAGAGTTCTCAGTAACTTTTTTGTGTTGTGTGTATTCAACTCACAGAGTTGAACCTTGCTTTAGAGAGAGCAGATTTGAAACCCTCTTGCTGTGGCATTTTCAGGTGGAGATTTCAAGCGATTTGAGGACAATTGCAGAAAAGGAAATATCTTCGTATAATAACCAGACAGAATCATTCTCAAAAGTGCTTTGTGATGTGTGCGTTAAACTCACAGAGTTTAACCTTTCTTTTCATAGCGGAGATTGGAAACACACTGTTTGTAAAGTCTGCAATTGGATATATGGACCTGTTTGAGGCCTTCGTTGGAAACGGCTTTTCTTCATTGAATGCTAGACGGAAGAATTCTCAGTAAATTCTTTGTGTTGTGTGCATTCAACTCACAGAGTGGAACGTCCCTTTAGACAGAGCAGATTTGAAACACTCTTTTTGCGGAATTTGCAATTGGAGATTTCTAGCCATTTGATGCCAACAGTAGAAAGGGAAATATCTTCAAATAAAAACCAGAGAGAATCATTCTCAGAAAATTCTTTGTGATGTGTGCGTTCAACTCACATAGTTTAACCTTTCTTTTCATGGAGCAGTTTGGAAACACTCTGTTTGTAAAGTCTGCAAGTGGATATATGGACCGCATTGAGGCCTTCGTTGGAAACGGGATTTCTTCATTTCATACTAGACAGAAGAATTCTCAGTAACTTCTTTGTGCTGTGTGTATTCAACTCACAGAGTGGAACGTCCCTTTGCACAGAGCAGATTTGAAACACTCTTTTTGTGGAGTTTGCAAGTGGAGATTTCAAGCGATTTGATGCCAACAGTAGAAAAGGAAATATCTTCAAATAAAAACTAGACAGAATCATTCTCAGAAACTACTTTGTGATGTGTGCCTTCAACTCACAGAGTTTAACCTTTCTTTTCTTAGAGCAGTTTAGAAACACTCTGCTTGTTATGTCTGCAAGTGGATATTTGGACCTCTTTGAGGCCTTCGTTGCAAACGGGGTTTCTTCCTTTCATGCTAGACTAAGAAGAGTTCTCAGTAACTTTTTTGTGTTGTGTGTATTCAACTCACAGAGTTGAACCTTGCTTTAGAGAGAGCAGATTTGAAACACTCTTGCTGTGGCATTTTCAGGTGGAGATTTCAAGCGATTTGAGGACAATTGCAGAAAAGGAAATATCTTCGTATAATAACCAGACAGAATCATTCTCAGAAAGTGCTTTGTGATGTGTGCGTTCCACTCACAGAGTTTAACCTTTCTTTTCATAGAGGAGTTTGGAAACACACTGTTTGTAAAGTCTGCAAGTGGATATATGGACCTGTTTGAGGCCTTCGTTGGAAACGGGATTTCTTCATTGAATGCTAGACGGAAGAATTCTCAGTAAATTCTTTGTGTTGTGTGCATTCAACTCACAGAGTGGAACGTCCCTTTAGACAGAGCAGATTTGAAACACTTTTTGGCGGAATTTGCCAGTGGAGATTTCTAGCCATTTGATGCCAACAGTAGAAAGGGAAATATCTTCAAATAAAAACCAGACAGAATCATTCTCAGAAAATTCTTTGTGATGTGTGCGTTCAACTCACATAGTTTAACCTTTCTTTTCATAGAGCAGTTTGGAAACACTCTGTTTGTAAAGTCTGCAAGTGGATATATGGACCGCATTGAGGCCTTCGTTGGAAACGGGATTTCTTCATTTCATGCTAGACAGAAGAATACTCAGTAACTTCTTTGTGCTGTGTGTATTCAACTCACAGAGTGGAACGTCCCTTTACACAGAGCAGATTTGAAACACTCTTTTTGTGGAATTTGCAAGTGGAGATTTCAAGCGATTTGATGCCAACAGTAGAAAAGGAAATATCTTCAAATAAAAACTAGACAGAATCATTCTCAGAAACTACTTTGTGATGTGTGCCTTCAACTCACAGAGTTTAACCTTTCTTTTCTTAGAGCAGTTTAGAAACACTCTGCTTGTTATGTCTGCAAGTGGATATTTGGACCTCTTTGAGGACTTCGTTGCAAACGGGGTTTCTTCCTTTAATGCTAGACTAAGAAGAGTTCTCAGTAACTTTTTTGTGTTGTGTGCATTCAACTCACAGAGTGGAACGTCCCTTTAGACAGAGCAGATTTGAAACACTCTTTTTGCGGAAGTTGCAAGTGGAGATTTCTAGCCATTTGATGCCAACAATACAAAGGGAAATATCTTCAAATAAAAACTAGACAGAATCATTCTCAGAAAATTCTTTGTGATGTGTGCGTTCAACTCACATAGTTTAACCTTTCTTTTCATAGAGCAGTTTGGAAACACTCTGTTTGTAAAGTCTGCAAGTGGATATATGGACCGCATTGAGGCCTTCGTTGGAAACGGGATTTCTTCATTTCATGCTAGACAGAAGAATTCTCAGTAAATTCTTTGTGTTGTGTGCATTCAACTCACAGAGTGGAACGTCCCTTTAGACAGAGCAGATTTGAAACACTCTTTTTGCGGAATTTGCAAGTGGAGATTTCTAGCCATTTGATGCCAACAGTAGAAAGGGAAATATCTTCAAATAAAAACCAGACAGAATCATTCTCAGAAAATTCTTTGTGATGTGTGCAGTTCAACTCACATAGTTTAACCTTTCTTTTCATAGAGCAGTTTGGAAACACTCTGTTTGTAAAGTCTGCAAGTGGATATATGGACCGCATTGAGGCCTTCGTTGGAAACGGGATTTCTTCATTTCATGCTAGACAGAAGAATTCTCAGTAACTTCTTTGTGCTGTGTGTATTCAACTCACAGAGTGGAACGTCCCTTTGCACAGAGCAGATTTGAAACACTCTTTTTGTGGAATTTGCAAGTGGAGATTTCAAGCGATTTGATGCCAAGAGTAGAAAAGGAAATATCTTCAAATAAAAACTAGACAGAATCATTCTCAGAAACTACTTTGTGATGTGTGCCTTCAACTCACAGAGTTTAACCTTTCTTTTCTTAGAGCAGTTTAGAAACACTCTGCTTGTTATGTCTGCAAGTGGATATTTGGACCTCTTTGAGGCCTTCGTTGCAAACGGGGTTTTTTCCTTTAATGCTAGACTAAGAAGAGTTCTCAGTAACTTTTTTGTGTTGTGTGTATTCAACTCACAGAGTTGAACCTTGCTTTAGAGAGAGCAGATTTGAAACACTCTTGCTGTGGCATTTTCAGGTGGAGATTTCAAGCGATTTGAGGACAATTGCAGAAAAGGAAATATCTTCGTATAATAACCAGACAGAATCATTCTCAGAAAGTGCTTTGTGATGTGTGCGTTCAACTCACAGAGTTTAACCTTTCTTTTCATAGAGGAGTTTGGAAACACACTGTTTGTAAAGTCTGCAATTGGATATATGGACCTGTTTGAGGCCTTCGTTGGAAACGGGATTTCTTCATTGAATGCTAGACGGAAGAATTCTCAGTAAATTCTTTGTGTTGTGTGCATTCAACTCACAGAGTGGAACGTCCCTTTAGACAGAGCAGATTTGAAACACTCTTTTTGCGGAATTTGCAAGTGGAGATTTCTAGCCATTTGATGCCAACAGTAGAAAGGGAAATATCTTCAAATAAAAACCAGACAGAATCATTCTCAGAAAATTCTTTGTGATGTGTGCGTTCAACTCACATAGTTTAACCTTTCTTTTCATAGAGCAGTTTGGAAACACTCTGTTTGTAAAGTCTGCAAGTGGATATATGGACCGCATTGAGGCCTTCGTTGGAAACGGGATTTCTTCATTTCATGCTAGACAGAAGAATTCTCAGTAACTTCTCTGTGCTGTGTGTATTCAACTCACAGACTGGAACGTCCGTTTGCACAGAGCAGATTTGAAACACTCTTTTTGTGGAATTTGCAAGTGGAGATTTCAAGCGATTTGATGCCAACAGTAGAAAAGGAAATATCTTCAAATAAAAACTAGACAGAATCATTCTCAGAAACTACTTTGTGATGTGTGCCTTCAACTCACAGAGTTTAACCTTTCTTTTCTTAGAGCAGTTTAGAAACACTCTGCTTGTTATGTCTGCAAGTGGATATTTGGACCTCTTTGAGGCCTTCGTTGCAAACGGGGTTTCTTCCTTTCATGCTAGACTAAGAAGAGTTCTCAGTAACTTTTTTGTGTTGTGTGTATTCAACTCACAGTGTTGAACCTTGCTTTAGAGAGAGCAGATTTGAAACACTCTTGCTGTGGCATTTTCAGGTGGAGATTTCAAGCGATTTGAGGACAATTGCAGAAAAGGAAATATCTTCGTATAACAACCAGACAGAATCATTCTCAGAAAGTGCTTTGTGATGTGTGCGTTCCACTCACAGAGTTTAACCTTTCTTTTCATAGAGGAGTTTGGAAACACACTGTTTGTAAAGTCTGCAAGTGGATATATGGACCTCTTTGAGGCCTTCGTTGGAAACGGGATTTCTTCATTGAATGCTAGACGGAAGAATTCTCAGTAAATTCTTTGTGTTGTGTGCATTCAACTCACAGAGTGGAACGTCCCTTTAGACAGAGCAGATTTGAAACACTCTTTTTGCGGAATTTGCAAGTGGAGATTTCTAGCCATTTGATGCCAACAGTAGAAAGGGAAATATCTTCAAATAAAAACCAGACAGAATCATTCTCAGAAAATTCTTTGTGATGTGTGCGTTCAACTCACATAGTTTAACCTTTCTTTTCATAGAGCAGTTTGGAAACAGTCTGTTTGTAAAGTTTGCAAGTGGGTATATGGACCGCTTTGAGGCCTTCATTGGAAACGGGATTTCTTCATTTAATGCTAGACAGAAGAATTCTCAGTAACTACTTTGTGTTGTGTGTATTCAAGTCACAGAGTGGAAAGTCCCTTTAGACAGAGCAGACTTGAAACACTCTTTTTGTGGAATTTGAAGTGGAGATTTTAAGCGATTTGATGCCAACAGTAGAAAAGGAAATATCTTCAAATAAAAACTAGACAGAATCATTCTCAGAAACTACTTTGTGATGTCTGCCTTCAACTCACAGAGTTTAACCTTTCTTTTCTTAGAGCAGTTTAGAAACACTCTGCTTGTTATGTCTGCAAGTGGATATTTGGACCTTCTTTGAGGCCTTCGTTGCAAACGGGGTTTCTTCCTTTCATGCTAGACTAAGAAGAATTCTCAGTAAATTCTTTGTGTTGTGTGCATTCAACTCACAGAGTGGAACGTCCCTTTAGACAGAGCAGATTTGAAACACTCTTTTTGCGGAATTTGCAAGTGGAGATTTCTAGCCATTTGATGCCAACAGTAGAAAGGGAAATATCTTCAAATAAAAACCAGACAGAATCATTCTCAGAAAATTCTTTGTGATGTGTGCGTTCAACTCACATAGTTTAACCTTTCTTTTCATAGAGCAGTTTGGAAACACTCTGTTTGTAAAGTCTGCAAGTGGATCTATGGACCGCATTGAGGCCTTCGTTGGAAACGGGATTTCTTCATTTCATGCTAGACAGAAGAATTCTCAGTAACTTCTTTGTGCTGTGTGTATTCAACTCACAGAGTGGAACGTCCCTTTGCACAGAGCAGAGTTGAAACACTCTTTTTGTGGAATTTGCAAGTGGAGATTTCAAGCGATTTGATGCCAACAGTAGAAAAGGAAATATCTTCAAATAAAAACTAGACAGAATCATTCTCAGAAACTACTTTGTGATGTGTGCCTTCAACTCACAGAGTTTAACCTTTCTTTTCTTAGAGCAGTTTAGAAACACTCTGCTTGTTATGTCTGCAAGTGGATATTTGGACCTCTTTGAGGCCTTCGTTGCAAACGGGGTTTCTTCCTTTAATGCTAGACTAAGAAGAGTTCTCAGTAACTTTTTTGTGTTGTGTGTATTCAACTCACAGAGTTGAACCTTGCTTTAGAGAGAGCAGATTTGAAACACTCTTGCTGTGGCATTTTCAGGTGGAGATTTCAAGCGATTTGAGGACAATTGCAGAAAAGGAAATATCTTCGTATAACAACCAGACAGAATCATTCTCAGAAAGTGCTTTGTGATGTGTGTGTTCAACTCACAGAGTTTAACCTTTCTTTTCATAGAGGAGTTTGGAAACACACTGTTTGTAAAGTCTGCAAGTGGATATATGGACCTGTTTGAGGCCTTCGTTGGATACGGGATTTCTTCATTGAATGCTAGACGGAAGAATTCTCAGTAAATTCTTTGTGTTGTGTGCATTCAACTCACAGAGTGGAACGTCCCTTTAGACAGAGCAGATTTGAAACACTCTTTTTGCGGAATTTGCAAGTGGAGATTTCTAGCCATTTGATGCCAACAGTAGAAAGGGAAATATCTTCAAATAAAAACCAGACAGAATCATTCTCAGAAAATTCTTTGTGATGTGTGCGTTCAACTCACATAGTTTAACCTTTCTTTTCATAGAGCAGTTTGGAAACACTCTGTTTGTAAAGTCTGCAAGTGGATCTATGGACCGCATTGAGGCCTTCGTTGGAAACGGGATTTCTTCATTTCATGCTAGACAGAAGAATTCTCAGTAACTTCTTTGTGCTGTGTGTATTCAACTCACAGAGTGGAACGTCCCTTTGCACAGAGCGGATTTGAAACACTCTTTTTGTGGAGTTTGCAAGTGGAGATTTCAAGCGATTTGATGCCAACAGTAGAAAAGGAAATATCTTCAAATAAAAACTAGACAGAATCATTCTCAAAAACTACTTTGTGATGTGTGCCTTCAACTCACAGAGTTTAACCTTTCTTTTCTTAGAGCAGTTTAGAAACACTCTGCTTGTTATGTCTGCAAGTGGATATTTGGGCCTCTTTGAGGCCTTCGTTGCAAACGGGGTTTCTTCCTTTCATGCTAGACTAAGAAGAGTTCTCAGTAACTTTTTTGTGTTGTGTGTATTCAACTCACAGAGTTGAACCTTGCTTTAGAGAGAGCAGATTTGAAACACTCTTGCTGTGGCATTTTCAGGTGGAGATTTCAAGCGTTTTGAGGACAATTGCAGAAAAGGAAATATCTTCGTATAATAACCAGACAGAATCATTCTCAGAAAGTGCTTTGTGATGTGTGCGTTCCACTCACAGAGTTTAACCTTTCTTTTCATAGAGGAGTTTGGAAACACACTGTTTGTAAACTCTGCAAGTGGATATATGGACCTGTTTGAGGCCTTCGTTGGAAACGGGTTTTCTTCATTGAATGCTAGACGGAGGAATTCTCAGTAAATTCTTTGTGTTGTGTGCATTCAACTCACAGAGTGGAACGTCCCTTTAGACAGAGCAGATTTGAAACACTCTTTTTGCGGAATTTGCAAGTGGAGATTTCTAGCCATTTGATGCCAACAGTAGAAAGGGAAATATCTTCAAATAAAAACCAGACAGAATCATTCTCAGAAAATTCTTTGTGATGTGTGCGTTCAACTCACATAGTTTAACCTTTCTTTTCATAGAGCAGTTTGGAAACACTCTGTTTGTAAAGTCTGCAAGTGGATATATGGACCGCATTGAGGCCTTCGTTGGAAACGGGATTTCTTCATTTCATGCTAGACAGAAGAATTCTCAGTAACTTCTTTGTGCTGTGTGTATTCAACTCACAGAGTGGAACGTCCCTTTACACAGAGCAGATTTGAAACACTCTTTTTGTGGAGTTTGCAAGTGGAGATTTCAAGCGATTTGATGCCAACCGTAGAAAAGGAAATATCTTCAAATAAAAACTAGACAGAATCATTCTCAGAAACTACTTTGTGATGTGTGCCTTCAACTCACAGAGTTTAACCTTTCTTTTCTTAGAGCAGTTTAGAAACACTCTGCTTGTTATGTCTGCAAGTGGATATTTGGACCTCTTTGAGGCCTTCGTTGCAAACGGGGTTTCTTCCTTTCATGCTAGACTAAGAAGAGTTCTCAGTAACTTTTTTGTGTTGTGTGTATTCAACTCACAGAGTTGAACCTTGCTTTAGAGAGAGCAGATTTGAAACACTCTTGCTGTGGCATTTTCAGGTGGAGATTTCAAGCGTTTTGAGGACAATTGCAGAAAAGGAAATATCTTCCTATAACAACCAGACAGAATCATTCTCAGAAAGTGCTTTGTGATGTGTGCGTTCCACTCACAGAGTTTAACCTTTCTTTTCATAGAGGAGTTTGGAAACACACTGTTTGTAAAGTCTGCAATTGGATATATGGACCTGTTTGAGGCCTTCGTTGGAAACGGGATTTCTTCATTGAATGCTAGACGGAAGAATTCTCAGTAAATTCTTTGTGTTGTGTGCATTCAACTCACAGAGTGGAACGTCCCTTTAGACAGAGCAGAATTGAAACACTCTTTTTGCGGAATTTGCAAGTGGAGATTTCTAGCCATTTGATGCCAACAGTAGAAAGGGAAATATCTTCAAATAAAAACCAGACAGAATCATTCTCAGAAAATTCTTTGTGATGTGTGCGTTCAACTCACATAGTTTAACCTTTCTTTTCATAGAGCAGTTTGGAAACACTCTGTTTGTAAAGTCTGCAAGTGGATATATGGACCGCATTGAGGCCTTCGTTGGAAACGGGATTTCTTCATTTCATGCTAGACAGAAGAATTCTCAGTAACTTCTTTGTGCTGTGTGTACTCAACTCACAGAGTGGAACGTCCCTTTGCACAGAGCAGATTTGAAACACTCTTTTTGTGGAGTTTGCAAGTGGAGATTTCAAGCGATTTGATGCCAACAGTAGAAAAGGAAATATCTTCAAATAAAAACTAGACAGAATCATTCTCAGAAACTACTTTGTGATGTGTGCCTTCAACTCACAGAGTTTAACCTTTCTTTTCTTAGAGCAGTTTAGAAACACTCTGCTTGTTATGTCTGCAAGTGGATATTTGGACCTCTTTGAGGCCTTCGTTGCAAACGGGGTTTCTTCCTTTCATGCTAGACTAAGAAGAGTTCTCAGTAACTTTTTTGTGTTGTGTGTATTCAACTCACAGAGTTGAACCTTGCTTTAGAGAGAGCAGATTTGAAACACTCTTGCTGTGGCATTTTCAGGTGGAGATTTCAAGCGATTTGAGGACAATTGCAGAAAAGGAAATATCTTCGTATAATAACCAGACAGAATCATTCTCAGAAAGTGCTTTGTGATGTGTGCGTTCCACTCACAGAGTTTAACCTTTCTTTTCATAGAGGAGTTTGGAAACACACTGTTTGTAAAGTCTGCAAGTGGATATATGGACCTGTTTGAGGCCTTCGTTGGAAACGGGATTTCTTCATTGAATGCTAGACGGAAGAATTCTCAGTAAATTCTTTGTGTTGTGTGCATTCAACTGACAGAGTGGAACGTCCCTTTAGACAGAGCAGATTTGAAACACTCTTTTTGCGGAATTTGCAAGTGGAGATTTCTAGCCATTTGATGCCAACAGTAGAAAGGGAAATATCTTCAAATAAAAACCAGACAGAATCTTTCTCAGAAAATTCTTTGTGATGTGTGCGTTCAACTCACATAGTTTAACCTTTCTTTTCATAGAGCAGTTTGGAAACACTCTGTTTGTAAAGTCTGCAAGTGGATATATGGACCGCATTGAGGCCTTCGTTGGAAACGGGATTTCTTCATTTCATGCTAGACAGAAGAATTCTCAGTAACTTCTTTGTGCTGTGTGTATTCAACTCACAGAGTGGAACGTCCCTTTACACAGAGCAGATTTGTAACACTCTTTTTGTGGAGTTTGCAAGTGGAGATTTCAAGCGATTTGATGCCAACAGTAGAAAAGGAAATATCTTCAAATAAAAACTAGACAGAATCATTCTCAGAAACTACTTTGTGATGTGTGCCTTCAACTCACAGAGTTTAACCTTTCTTTTCTTAGAGCAGTTTAGAAACACTCTGCTTGTTATGTCTGCAAGTGGATATTTGGACCTCTTTGAGGCCTTCGTTGCAAACGGGGTTTCTTCCTTTCATGCTAGACTAAGAAGAGTTCTCAGTAACTTTTTTGTGTTGTGTGTATTCAACTCACAGAGTTGAACCTTGCTTTAGAGAGAGCAGATTTGAAACACTCTTGCTGTGGCATTTTCAGGTGGAGATTTCAAGCGATTTGAGGACAATAGCAGAAAAGGAAATATCTTCGTATAATAACCAGACAGAATCATTCTCAGGAAGTGCTTTGTGATGTGTGCGTTCATCTCACAGAGTTTAACCTTTCTTTTCATAGAGGAGTTTGGAAACACACTGTTTGTAAAGTCTGCAAGTGGATATATGGACCTGTTTGAGACCTTCGTTGGAAACGGGATTTCTTCATTGAATGCTAGACGGAAGAATTCTCAGTAAATTCTTTGTGTTGTGTGCATTCAACTCACAGAGTGGAACGTCCCTTTAGACAGAGCAGATTTGAAACACTCTTTTTGCAGAATTTGCAAGTGGAGATTTCTAGCCATTTGATGCCAACGGTAGAAAGGGAAATATCTTCAAATAAAAACTAGACAGAATCATTCTCAGAAAATTCTTTGTGATGTGTGCGTTCAACTCACATAGTTTAACCTTTCTTTTCATAGAGCAGTTTGGAAACACTCTGTTTGTAAAGTCTGCAAGTGGATATATGGACCGCATTGAGGCCTTCGTTGGAAACGGGATTTCTTCATTTCATGCTAGACAGAAGAATTCTCAGTAACTACTTTGTGCTGTGTGTATTCAACTCACAGAGTGGAACGTCCCTTTGCACAGAGCAGATTTGAAACACTCTTTGTGTGGAATTTGCAAGTGGAGTTTTCAAGCGATTTGATGCCAACAGTAGAAAAGGAAATATCTTCAAATAAAAACTAGACAGAATCATTCTCAGAAACTACTTTGTGATGTGTGCCTTCAACTCACAGAGTTTAACCTTTCTTTTCTTAGAGCAGTTTAGAAACACTCTGCTTGTTATGTCTGCAAGTGGATATTTGGACCTCTTTGAGGCCTTCGTTGCAAACGGGGTTTCTTCCTTTCATGCTAGACTAAGAAGAGTTGCTCAGTAACTTTTTTGTGTTGTGTGTATTCAACTCACAGAGTTGAACCTTGCTTTAGAGAGAGCAGATTTGAAACACTCTTGCTGTGGCATTTTCAGGTGGAGATTTCAAGCGATTTGAGGACAATTGCAGAAAAGGAAATATCTTCGTATAATAACCAGACAGAATCATTCTCAGAAAGTGCTTTGTGATGTGTGCGTTCCACTCACAGAGTTTAACCTTTCTTTTCATAGAGGAGTTTGGAAACACACTGTTTGTAAAGTCTGCAAGTGGATATATGGACCTGTTTGAGGCCTTCGTTGGAAACGGGATTTCTTCATTGAATGCTAGACGGAAGAATTCTCAGTAAATTCTTTGTGTTGTGTGCATTCAACTCACAGAGTGGAACGTCCCTTTAGACAGAGCAGATTTGAAACACTCTTTTTGCGGAATTTGCAAGTGGAGATTTCTAGCCATTTGATGCCAACAGTAGAAAGGGAAATATCTTCAAATAAAAACCAGACAGAATCATTCTCAGAAAATTCTTTGTGATGTGTGCGTTCAACTCACATAGTTTAACCTTTCTTTTCATAGAGCAGTTTGGAAACACTCTGTTTGTAAAGTCTGCAAGTAGATATATGGACCGCTTTGAGGCCTTCGTTGGAAACGGGATTTCTTCATTTCATGCTAGACAGAAGAATTCTCAGTAACTTCTTTGTGCTGTGTGTATTCAACTCACAGAGTGGAACGTCCCTTTACACAGAGCAGATTTGAAACACTCTTTTTGTGGAGTTTGCAAGTGGAGATTTCAAGCGATTTGATGCCAACAGTAGAAAAGGAAATATCTTCAAATAAAAACTAGACAGAATCATTCTCAGAAACTACTTTGTGATGTGTGCCTTCAACTCACAGAGTTTAACCTTTCTTTTCTTAGAGCAGTTTAGAAACACTCTGCTTGTTATGTCTGCAAGTGGATATTTGGACCTCTTTGAGGCCTTTGTTGCAAACGGGGTTTCTTCCTTTAATGCTAGACTAAGAAGAGTTCTCAGTAACTTTTTTGTGTTGTGTGTATTCAACTCACAGAGTTGAACCTTGCTTTAGAGAGAGCAGATTTGAAACACTCTCGCTGTGGAATTTTCAGGTGGAGATTTCAAGCGATTTGAGGACAATTGCAGAAAAGGAAATATCTTCGTATAATAACCAGACAGAATCATTCTCAGAAAGTGCTTTGTGATGTGTGCGTTCAACTCACAGAGTTTAACCTTTCTTTTCATAGAGGAGTTTGGAAACACACTGTTTGTAAAGTCTGCAATTGGATATATGGACCTGTTTGAGGCCTTCGTTGGAAACGGGATTTCTTCATTGAATGCTAGACGGAAGAATTCTCAGTAAATTCTTTGTGTTGTGTGCATTCAACTCACAGAGTGGAACGTCCCTTTAGACAGAGCAGATTTGAAACACTCTTTTTGCGGAATTTGCAAGTGGAGATTTCTAGCCATTTGATGCCAACAGTAGAAAGGGAAATATCTTCAAATAAAAACCAGACAGAATCATTCTCAGAAAATTCTTTGTGATGTGTGCGTTCAACTCACATAGTTTAACCTTTCTTTTCATAGAGCAGTTTGGAAACACTCTGTTTGTAAAGTCTGCAAGTGGATATATGGACCGCATTGAGGCCTTCGTTGGAAACGGGATTTCTTCATTTCATGCTAGACAGAAGAATTCTCAGTAACTTCTTTGTGCTGTGTGTATTCAACTCACAGAGTGGAATGTCCCTTTACACAGAGCAGATTTGAAACACTCTTTTTGTGGAGTTTGCAAGTGGAGATTTCAAGCGATTTGATGCCAACAGTAGAAAAGGAAATATCTTCAAATAAAAACTAGACAGAATCATTCTCAGAAACTACTTTGTGATGTGTGCCTTCAACTCACAGAGTTTAACCTTTCTTTTCTTAGAGCAGTTTAGAAACACTCTGCTTGTTATGTCTGCAAGTGGATATTTGGACCTCTTTGAGGCCTTCGTTGCAAACGGGGTTTCTTCCTTTCATGCTAGACTAAGAAGAGTTCTCAGTAACTTTTTTGTGTTGTGTGTATTCAACTCACAGAGTTGAACCTTGCTTTAGAGAGAGCAGATTTGAAAAACTCTTGCTGTGGCATTTTCAGGTGGAGATTTCAAGCGATTTGAGGACAATTGCAGAAAAGGAAATATCTTCGTATAACAACCAGACAGAATCATTCTCAGAAAGTGCTTTGTGATGTGTGCGTTCAACTCACAGAGTTTAACCTTTCTTTTCATAGAGGAGTTTGGAAACACACTGTTTGTAAAGTCTGCAAGTGGATATATGGACCTGTTTGAGGCCTTCGTTGGAAACGGGATTTCTTCATTGAATGCTAGACGGAAGAATTTCTCAGTAAATTCTTTGTGTTGTGTGCATTCAACTGACAGAGTGGAACGTCCCTTTAGACAGAGCAGATTTGAAACACTCTTTTTGCGGAATTTGCAAGTGGAGATTTCTAGCCATTTGATGCCAACAGTAGAAAGGGAAATATCTTCAAATAAAAACCAGACAGAATCATTCTCAGAAAATTCTTTGTGATGTGTGCGTTCAAATCACATTGTTTAACCTTTCTTTTCATAGAGCAGTTTGGAAACACTCTGTTTGTAAAGTCTGCAAGTGGATATATGGACCGCATTGAGGCCTTCGTTGGAAACGGGATTTCTCCATTTCATGCTAGACAGAAGAATTCTCAGTAACTTCTTTGTGCTGTGTGTACTCAACTCACAAAGTGGAACGTCCCTTTGCACAGAGCAGATTTGAAACACTCTTTTTGTGGAGTTTGCAAGTGGAGATTTCAAGCGATTTGATGCCAACAGTAGAAAAGGAAATATCTTCAAATAAAAACTAGACAGAATCATTCTCAGAAACTACTTTGTGATGTGTGCCTTCAACTCACAGAGTTTAACCTTTCTTTTCTTAGAGCAGTTTAGAAACACTCTGCTTGTTATGTCTGCAAGTGGATATTTGGACCTCTTTGAGGCCTTCGTTGCAAACGGGGTTTCTTCCTTTCATGCTAGACTAAGAAGAGTTCTCAGTAACTTTTCTGTGTTGTGTGTATTCAACTCACAGAGTTGAACCTTGCTTTAGAGAGAGCAGATTTGAAACACTCTTGCTGTGGCATTTTCAGGTGGAGATTTCAAGCGTTTTGAGGACAATTGCAGAAAAGGAAATATCTTCGTATAATAACCAGACAGAATCATTCTCAGAAAGTGCTTTGTGATGTGTGCGTTCCACTCACAGAGTTTAACCTTTCTTTTCATAGAGGAGTTTGGAAACACACTGTTTGTAAACTCTGCAAGTGGATATATGGACCTGTTTGAGGCCTTCGTTGGAAACGGGATTTCTTCATTGAATGCTAGACGGAAGAATTCTCAGTAAATTCTTTGTGTTGTGTGCATTCAACTCACAGAGTGGAACGTCCCTTTAGACAGAGCAGATTTGAAACACTCTTTTTGCGGAATTTGCAAGTGGAGATTTCTAGCCATTTGATGCCAACAGTAGAAAGGGAAATATCTTCAAATAAAAACCAGACAGAATCATTCTCAGAAAATTCTTTGTGATGTGTGCGTTCAACTCACAGAGTTTAACCTTTCTTTTCATAGAGCAGTTTGGAAACACTCTGTTTGTAAAGTCTGCAAGTGGATATATGGACCGCATTGAGGCCTTCGTTGGAAACGGGATTTCTTCATTTCATGCTAGACAGAAGAATTCTCAGTAACTTCTTTGTGCTGTGTGTATTCAACTCACAGAGTGGAACGTCCCTTTGCACAGAGCAGATTTGAAACACTCTTTTTGTGGAGTTTGCAAGTGGAGATTTCAAGCGATTTGATGCCAACAGTAGAAAAGGAAATATCTTCAAATAAAAACTAGACAGAATCATTCTCAGAAACTACTTTGTGATGTGTGCCTTCAACTCGCAGAGTTTAACCTTTCTTTTCTTAGAGCAGTTTAGAAACACTCTGCTTGTTATGTCTGCAAGTGGATATTTGGACCTCTTTGAGGCCTTCGTTGCAAACGGGATTTCTTCCTTTAATGCTAGACTAAGAAGAGTTCTCAGTAACTTTTTTGTGTTGTGTGTATTCAACTCACAGAGTTGAACCTTGCTTTAGAGAGAGCAGATTTGAAACACTCTTGCTGTGGCATTTTCAGGTGGAGATTTCAAGCGATTTGAGGACAATTGCAGAAAAGGAAATATCTTCGTATAATAACCAGACAGAATCATTCTCAGAAAGTGCTTTGTGATGTGTGCGTTCAACTCACAGAGTTTAACCTTTCTTTTCATAGAGGAGTTTGGAAACACACTGTTTGTAAAGTCTGCAATTGGATATATGGACCTGTTTGAGGCCTTCGTTGGAAACGGGATTTCTTCATTGAATGCTAGACGGAAGAAGTCTCAGTAAATTCTTTGTGTTGTGTGCATGCAACTGACAGAGTGGAGCGTCCCTTTAGACAGAGCAGATTTGAAACACTCTTTTTGCGGAATTTGCAA
This sequence comes from Homo sapiens, assembly GCF_000001405.40. Taxonomy (NCBI): domain Eukaryota; kingdom Metazoa; phylum Chordata; class Mammalia; order Primates; family Hominidae; genus Homo; species Homo sapiens. The sequence goes on from NC_000007.14 coordinate 60,351,346, forward strand.
GTGGAGATTTCTAGCCATTTGATGCCAAAAGTAGAAAGGGAAATATCTTCAAATAAAAACCAGACAGAATCATTCTCAGAAAATTCTTTGTGATGTGTGCGTTCAGCTCACATAGTTTAACCTTTCTTTTCATAGAGCAGTTTCGAAACACACTGTTTGTAAAATCTGCAAGTGGATATATGTACCGCTTTGAGGCATTCCTTGGAAACGGGATTTCTTCATTGAATGCTAGACAGAAGAATTCTCAGTAACTTCTTTGTGCTGTGTGTATTCAACTCACAGAGTGGAACGTCCCTTTACACAGAGCAGATTTGAAACACTCTTTTTGTGGAGTTTGCAAGTGGAGATTTCAAGCGATTTGATGCCAACAGTAGAAAAGGAAATATCTTCAAATAAAAACTAGACAGAATCATTCTCAGAAACTACTTTGTGATGTGTGCCTTCAACTCACAGAGTTTAACCTTTCTTTTCTTAGAGCAGTTTAGAAATACTCTGCTTGTTATGTCTGCAAGTGGATATTTGGACCTCTTTGAGGCCTTCGTTGCAAACGGGGTTTCTTCCTTTCATGCTAGACTAAGAAGAGTTCTCAGTAACTTTTTTGTGTTGTGTGTATTCAACTCACAGAGTTGAACCTTGCTTTAGAGAGAGCAGATTTGAAACACTCTTGCTGTGGCATTTTCAGGTGGAGATTTCAAGCGATTTGAGGACAATTGCAGAAAAGGAAATATCTTCGTATAATAACCAGACAGAATCATTCTCAGAAAGTGCTTTGTGATGTGTGCGTTCAACTCACAGAGTTTAACCTTTCTTTTCATAGAGGAGTTTGGAAACACACTGTTTGTAAAGTCTGCAATTGGATATATGGACCTGTTTGAGGCCTTCGTTGGAAACGGGATTTCTTCATTGAATGCTAGACGGAAGAATTCTCAGTAAATTCTTTGTGTTGTGTGCATTCAACTCACAGAGTGGAACGTCCCTTTAGACAGAGCAGATTTGAAACACTCTTTTTGCGGAATTTGCAAGTGGAGATTTCTAGCCATTTGATGCCAACAGTAGAAAGGGAAATATCTTCAAATAAAAACCAGACAGAATCATTCTCAGAAAATTCTTTGTGATGTGTGCGTTCAACTCACATAGTTTAACCTTTCTTTTCATAGAGCAGTTTGGAAACACTCTGTTTGTAAAGTCTGCAAGTGGATATATGGACCGCATTGAGGCCTTCGTTGGAAACGGGATTTCTTCATTTCATGCTAGACAGAAGAATTCTCAGTAACTTCTTTGTGCTGTGTGTATTCAACTCACAGAGTGGAACGTCCCTTTGCACAGAGCAGATTTGAAACACTCTTTTTGTGGAGTTTGCAAGTGGAGATTTCAAGCGATTTGATGCCAACAGTAGAAAAGGAAATATCTTCAAATAAAAACTAGACAGAATCATTCTCAGAAACTACTTTGTGATGTGTGCCTTCAACTCACAGAGTTTAACGTTTCTTTTCTTAGAGCAGTTTAGAAACACTCTGCTTGTTATGTCTGCAAGTGGATATTTGGACCTCTTTGAGGCCTTCGTTGCAAACGGGGTTTCTTCCTTTCATGCTAGACTAAGAAGAGTTCTCAGTAACTTTTTTGTGTTGTGTGTATTCAACTCACAGAGTTGAACCTTGCTTTAGAGAGAGCAGATTTGAAACACTCTTGCTGTGGCATTTTCAGGTGGAGATTTCAAGCGTTTTGAGGACAATTGCAGAAAAGGAAATATCTTCGTATAATAACCAGACAGAATCATTCTGAGAAAGTGCTTTGTGATGTGTGCGTTCCACTCACAGAGTTTAACCTTTCTTTTCATAGAGGAGTTTGGAAACACACTGTTTGTAAACTCTGCAAGTGGATATATGGACCTGTTTGAGGCCTTCGTTGGAAACGGGATTTCTTCATTGAATGCTAGACGGAAGAATTCTCAGTAAATTCTTTGTGTTGTGTGCATTCAACTGACAGAGTGGAACGTCCCTTTAGACAGAGCAGATTTGAAACACTCTTTTTGCGGAATTTGCAAGTGGAGATTTCTAGCCATTTGATGCCAACAGTAGAAAGGGAAATATCTTCAAATAAAAACCAGACAGAATCATTCTCAGAAAATTCTTTGTGATGTGTGCGTTCAACTCACATAGTTTCACCTTTCTTTTCATAGAGCAGTTTGGAAACACTCTGTTTGTAATGTCTGCAAGTGGATATATGGACCGCTTTGAGGCCTTCGTTGGAAACGGAATTTCTTCATTTCATGCTAGACAGAAGAATTCTCAGTAACTTCTTTGTGCTGTGTGTATTCAACTCACAGAGTGGAACGTCCCTTTGCACAGAGCAGATTTGAAACACTCTTTTTGTGGAATTTGCAAGTGGAGATTTCAAGCGATTTGATGCCAACAGTAGAAAAGGAAATATCTTCAAATAAAAACTAGACAGAATCATTCTCAGAAACTACTTTGTGATGTGTGCCTTCAACTCACAGAGTTTAACCTTTCTTTTCTTAGAGCACTTTAGAAACACTCTGCTTGTTATGTCTGCAAGTGGATATTTGGACCTCTTTGAGGCCTTCGTTGCAAACGGGGTTTCTTCCTTTAATGCTAGACTAAGAAGAGTTCTCAGTAACTTTTTTGTGTTGTGTGTATTCAACTCACAGAGTTGAACCTTGCTTTAGAGAGAGCAGATTTGAAACACTCTTGCTGTGGCATTTTCAGGTGGAGATTTCAAGCGATTTGAGGACAATTGCAGAAAAGGAAATATCTTCGTATAATAACCAGACAGAATCATTCTCAGAAAGTGCTTTGTGATGTGTGCGTTCAACTCACAGAGTTTAACCTTTCTTTTCATAGAGGAGTTTGGAAACACAATGTTTGTAAAGTCTGCAAGTGGATATATGGACCTGTTTGAGGCCTTCGTTGGAAACGGGATTTCTTCATTGAATGCTAGACGGAAGAATTCTCAGTAAATTCTTTGTGTTGTGTGCATTCAACTCACAGAGTGGAACGTCCCTTTAGACAGAGCAGATTTGAAACACTCTTTTTGCGGAATTTGCAAGTGGAGATTTCTAGCCATTTGATGCCAACAGTAGAAAGGGAAATATCTTCAAATAAAAACCAGACAGAAATCATTCTCAGAAAATTCTTTGTGATGTGTGCGTTCAACTCACATAGTTTTACCTTTCTTTTCATAGAGCATTTTGGAAACACTCTGTTTGTAAAGTCTGCAAGTGGATATATGGACCGCATTGAGGCCTTCGTTGGAAACGGGATTTCTTCATTTCATGCTAGACAGAAGAATTCTCAGTAACTTCTTTGTGCTGTGTGTATTCAACTCACAGAGTGGAACGTCCCTTTACACAGAGCAGATTTGAAACACTCTTTTTGTGGAGTTTGCAAGTGGAGATTTCAAGCGATTTGATGCCAACAGTAGAAAAGGAAATATCTTCAAATAAAAACTAGACAGAATCATTCTCAGAAACTACTTTGTGATGTGTGCCTTCAACTCACAGAGTTTAACCTTTCTTTTCTTAGAGCAGTTTAGAAACACTCTGCTTGTTATGTCTGCAAGTGGATATTTGGACCTCTTTGAGGCCTTCGTTGCAAACGGGGTTTCTTCCTTTCATGCTAGACTAAGAAGAGTTCTCAGTAACTTTTTTGTGTTGTGTGTATTCAACTCACAGAGTTGAACCTTGCTTTAGAGAGAGCAGATTTGAAACACTCTTGCTGTGACATTTTCAGGTGGAGATTTCAAGCGATTTGAGGACAATTGCAGAAAAGGAAATATCTTCGTATAACAACCAGACAGAATCATTCTCAGAAAGTGCTTTGTGATGTGTGCGTTCCACTCACAGAGTTTAACCTTTCTTTTCATAGAGGAGTTTGGAAACACACTGTTTGTAAAGTCTGCAAGTGGATATATGGACCTGTTTGAGGCCTTCGTTGGAAACGGGATTTCTTCATTGAATGCTAGACGGAAGAATTCTCAGTAAATTCTTTGTGTTGTGTGCATTCAACTCACAGAGTGGAACGTTCCTTTAGACAGAGCAGATTTGAAACACTCTTTTTGCGGAATTTGCAAGTGGAGATTTCTAGCCATTTGATGCCAACAGTAGAAAGGGAAATATCTTCAAATAAAAACCAGACAGAATCATTCTCAGAAAATTCTTTGTGATGTGTGCGTTCAACTCACATAGTTTAACCTTTCTTTTCATAGAGCTGTTTGGAAACACACTGTTTGTAAAGTCTGCAAGTGGATATATGGACCGCATTGAGGCCTTCGTTGGAAACGGGATTTCTTCATTTCATGCTAGACAGAAGAATTCTCAGTAACTTCTTTGTGCTGTGTGTATTCAACTCACAGAGTGGAACGTCCCTTTACACAGAGCAGATTTGAAACACTCTTTTTGTGAAGTTTGCAAGTGGAGATTTCAAGCGATTTGATGCCAGCAGTAGAAAAGGAAATATCTTCAAATAAAAACTAGACAGAATCATTCTCAGAAACTACTTTGTGATGTGTGCCTTCAACTCACAGAGTTTAACCTTTCTTTTCTTAGAGCAGTTTAGAAACACTCTGCTTGTTATGTCTGCAAGTGGATATTTGGACCTCTTTGAGGCCTTCGTTGCAAACGGGGTTTCTTCCTTTCATGCTAGACTAAGAAGAGTTCTCAGTAACTTTTTTGTGTTGTGTGTATTCAACTCACAGAGTTGAACCTTGCTTTAGAGAGAGCAGATTTGAAACACTCTTGCTGTGGCATTTTCAGGTGGAGATTTCAAGCGATTTGAGGACAATTGCAGAAAAGGAAATATCTTCGTATAACAACCAGACAGAATCATTCTCAGAAAGTGCTTTGTGATGTGTGCGTTCAACTCACAGAGTTTAACCTTTCTTTTCATAGAGGAGTTTGGAAACACACTGTTTGTAAAGTCTGCAATTGCATATATGGACCTGTTTGAGGCCTTCGTTGGAAACGGGATTTCTTCATTGAATGCTAGGCGGAAGAATTCTCAGTAAATTCTTTGTGTTGTGTGCATTCAACTCACAGAGTGGAACGTCCCTTTAGACAGAGCAGATTTGAAACACTCTTTTTGCGGAATTTGCAAGTGGAGATTTCTAGCCATTTGATGCCAACAGTAGAAAGGGAAATATCTTCAAATAAAAACCAGACAGAATCATTCTCAGAAAATTCTTTGTGATGTGTGCGTTCAACTCACATAGTTTAACCTTTCTTTTCATAGAGCAGTTTGGAAACACTCTGTTTGTAAAGTCTGCAAGTGGATATATGGACCGCATTGAGGCCTTCGTTGGAAACGGGATTTCTTCATTTCATGCTAGACAGAAGAATTCTCAGTAACTTCTTTGTGCTGTGTGTATTCAACTCACAGAGTGGAACGTCCCTTTACACAGAGCAGATTTGAAACACTCTTTTTGTGGAGTTTGCAAGTGGAGATTTCAAGCGATTTGATGCCAACAGTAGAAAAGGAAATATCTTCAAATAAAAACTAGACAGAATCATTCTCAGAAACTACTTTGTGATGTGTGCCTTCAACTCACAGAGTTTAACCTTTCTTTTCCTAGAGCAGTTTAGAAACACTCTGCTTGTTATGTCTGCAAGTGGATATTTGGACCTCTTTGAGGCCTTCGTTGCAAACGGGGTTTCTTCCTTTCATGCTAGACTAAGAAGAGTTCTCAGTAACTTTTTTGTGTTGTGTGTATTCAACTCACAGAGTTGAACCTTGCTTTAGAGAGAGCAGATTTGAAACACTCTTGCTGTGGCATTTTCAGGTGGAGATTTCAAGCGATTTGAGGACAATTGCAGAAAAGGAAATATCTTCGTATAACAACCAGACAGAATCATTCTCAGAAAGTGCTTTGTGATGTGTGCGTTCCACTCACAGAGTTTAACCTTTCTTTTCATAGAGGAGTTTGGAAACACACTGTTTGTAAAGTCTGCAAGTGGATATATGGACCTGTTTGAGGCCTTCGTTGGAAACGGGATTTCTTCATTGAATGCTAGACGGAAGAATTCTCAGTAAATTCTTTGTGTTGTGTGCATTCAACTCACAGAGTGGAACGTCCCTTTAGACACAGCAGATTTGAAACACTCTTTTTGCGGAATTTGCAAGTGGAGATTTCTAGCCATTTGATGCCAACAGTAGAAAGGGAAATATCTTCAAATAAAAACCAGACAGAATCATTCTCAGAAAATTCTTTGTGATGTGTGCGTTCAACTCACATAGTTTAACCTTTCTTTTCATAGAGCAGTTTGGAAACACTCTGTTTGTAAAGTCTGCAAGTGGATATATAGACCGCATTGAGGCCTTCGTTGGAAACGGGATTTCTTCATTTCATGCTAGACAGAAGAATTCTCAGTAACTTCTTTGTGCTGTGTGTATTCAACTCACAGAGTGGAACGTCCCTTTGCACAGAGCAGATTTGAAACACTCTTTTTGTGGAGTTTGCAATTGGAGATTTCAAGCGATTTGATGCCAACAGTAGAAAAGGAAATATCTTCAAATAAAAACTAGACAGAATCATTCTCAGAAACTACTTTGTGATGTGTGCCTTCAACTCACAGAGTTTAACCTTTCTTTTCTTAGAGCAGTTTAGAAACACTCTGCTTGTTATGTCTGCAAGTGGATATTTGGACCTCTTTGAGGCCTTCGTTGCAAACGGGGTTTCTTCCTTTAATGCTAGACTAAGAAGAGTTCTCAGTAACTTTTTTGTGTTGTGTGTATTCAACTCACAGAGTTGAACCTTGCTTTAGAGAGAGCAGATTTGAAACACTCTTGCTGTGGCATTTTCAGGTGGAGATTTCAAGCGATTTGAGGACAATTGCAGAAAAGGAAATATCTTCGTATAACAACCAGACAGAATCATTCTCAGAGAGTGCTTTGTGATGTGTGCGTTCCACTCACAGAGTTTAACCTTTCTTTTCATAGAGGAGTTTGGAAACACACTGTTTGTAAAGTCTGCAATTGGATATATGGATCTGTTTGAGGCCTTCGTTGGAAACGGGATTTCTTCATTGACTGCTAGACGGAAGAATTCTCAGTAAATTCTTTGTGTTGTGTGCATTCAACTCACAGAGTGGAACGTTCCTTTAGACAGAGCAGATTTGAAACACTCTTTTTGCGGAATTTGCAAGTGGAGATTTCTAGCCATTTGATGCCAACAGTAGAAAGGGAAATATCTTCAAATAAAAACCAGACAGAATCATTCTCAGAAAATTCCTTGTGATGTGCGCGTTCAACTCACATAGTTTAACCTTTCTTTTCATAGAGCAGTTTGGAAACACTCTGTTGGTAATGTCTGCAAGTGGATATATGGACCGCTTTGAGGCCTTCGTTGGAAACGGGATTTCTTCATTTCATGCTAGACAGAAGAATTCTCAGTAACTTCTTTGTGTTGTGTGTATTCAACTCACAGATTGGAACGTCGCTTTACACAGAGCAGATTTGAAACACTCTTTTTGTGGAATTTGCAAGTGGAGATTTCAAGCGATTTGATGCCAACAGTAGAAAAGGAAATATCTGCAAACAAAAACTAGACGGAATCATTCTCAGAAACTACTTTGTGATGTGTGCCTTCAACTCACAGAGTTCAACCTTTCTTTTCTTAGGAGCAGTTTAGAAACACTCTGCTTGTTATGTCTGCAAGTGGATATTTGGACCTCTTTGAGGCCTTCGTTGTAAACGGGGTTTCTTCCTTTCATGCTAGACTAAGAAGAGTTCTCAGTAACTTTTTTGTGTTGTGTGTATTCAACTCACAGAGTTGAACCTTGCTTTAGAGAGAGCAGATTTGAAACACTCTTGCTGTGGCATTTTCAGGTGGAGATTTCAAGCGATTTGAGGACAATTGCAGAAAAGGAAATATCTTCGTATAATAACCAGACAGAATCATTCTCAGAAAGTGCTTTGTGATGTGTGCGTTCAACTCACAGAGTTTAACCTTTCTTTTCATAGAGGAGTTTGGAAACACACTGTTTGTAAAGTCTGCAATTGGATATATGGACCTGTTTGAGGCCTTCGTTGGAAACGGGATTTCTTCATTGAATGCTAGACGGAAGAATTCTCAGTAAATTCTTTGTGTTGTGTGCATTCAACTCACAGAGTGGAACGTCCCTTTAGACAGAGCAGATTTGAAACACTCTTTTTGCGGAATTTGCAAGTGGAGATTTCTAGCCATTTGATGCCAACAGTAGAAAGGGAAATATCTTCAAATAAAAACCAGACAGAATCATTCTCAGAAAATTCTTTGTGATGTGTGCGTTCAACTCACATAGTTTAACCTTTCTTTTCATAGAGCAGTTTGGAAACACTCTGTTTGTAAAGTCTGCAAGTGGATATATGGACCGCATTGAGGCCTTCGTTGGAAACGGGATTTCTTCATTTCATGCTAGACAGAAGAATTCTCAGTAACTTCTTTGTGCTGTGTGTATTCAACTCACAGAGTGGAACGTCCCTTTGCACAGAGCAGATTTGAAACACTCTTTTTGTGGAGTTTGCAAGTGGAGATTTCAAGCGATTTGATGCCAACAGTAGAAAAGGAAATATCTTCAAATAAAAACTAGACAGAATCATTCTCAGAAACTACTTTGTGATGTGTGCCTTCAACTCACAGAGTTTAACCTTTCTTTTCTTAGAGCAGTTTAGAAACACTCTGCTTGTTATGTCTGCAAGTGGATATTTGGACCTCTTTGAGGCCTTCGTTGCAAACGGGGTTTCTTCCTTTCATGCTAGACTAAGAAGAGTTCTCAGTAACTTTTTTGTGTTGTGTGTATTCAACTCACAGAGTTGAACCTTGCTTTAGAGAGAGCAGATTTGAAACACTCTTGCTGTGGCATTTTCAGGTGGAGATTTCAAGCGATTTGAGGACAATTGCAGAAAAGGAAATATCTTCGTATAATAACCAGACAGAATCATTCTCAGAAAGTGCTTTGTGATGTGTGCGTTCAACTCACAGAGTTTAACCTTTCTTTTCATAGAGGAGTTTGGAAACACACTGTTTGTAAAGTCTGCAATTGGATATATGGACCTGTTTGAGGCCTTCGTTGGAAACGGGATTTCTTCATTGAATGCTAGACGGAAGAATTCTCCAGTAAACTCTTTTTGTTGTGTGCATTCAACTCACTGAGTGGAACGTCCCTTTAGACAGAGCAGATTTGAAACACTCTTTTTGCGAAATTTGGAAGTGCAGATTTCAAGCCATTTGATGCCAACAATAGAAAGGGAAATATCTTCAAATAAAAACTAGACAGAATCATTCTCAGAAAATTCTTTGTGATGTGTGCGTTCAACTCACATAGTTTAACCTTTCTTTTCATAGAGCAGTTTGGAAACACTCTGTTTGTAAAGTCTGCAAGTGGATATATGGACCGCATTGAGGCCTTCGTTGGAAACGGGATTTCTTCATTTCATGCTAGACAGAAGAATTCTCAGTAACTTCTTTGTGCTGTGTGTATTCAACTCACAGAGTGGAACGTCCCTTTACACAGAGCAGATTTGAAACACTCTTTTTGTGGAGTTTGCAAGTGGAGATTTCAAGCGATTTGATGCCAACAGTAGAAAAGGAAATATCTTCAAATAAAAACTAGACAGAATCATTCTCAGAAACTACTTTGTGATGTGTGCCTTCAACTCACAGAGTTTAACCTTTCTTTTCTTAGAGCAGTTTAGAAACACTCTGCTTGTTATGTCTGCAAGTGGATATTTGGACCTCTTTGAGGCCTTCGTTGCAAACGGGGTTTCTTCCTTTCATGCTAGACTAAGAAGAGTTCTCAGTAACTTTTTTGTGTTGTGTGTATTCAACTCACAGAGTTGAACCTTGCTTTAGAGAGAGCAGATTTGAAACACTCTCGCTGTGGAATTTTCAGGTGGAGATTTCAAGCGATTTGAGGACAATTGCAGAAAAGGAAATATCTTCGTATAATAACCAGACAGAATCATTCTCAGAAAGTGCTTTGTGTTGTGTGCGTTCAACTCACAGAGTTTAACCTTTCTTTTCATAGAGGAGTTTGGAAACACACTGTTTGTAAAGTCTGCAATTGGATATATGGACCTGTTTGAGGCCTTCGTTGGAAACGGGATTTCTTCATTGAATGCTAGACGGAAGAATTCTCAGTAAATTCTTTGTGTTGTGTGCATTCAACTGACAGAGTGGAACGTCCCTTTAGACAGAGCAGATTTGAAACACTCTTTTTGCGGAATTTGCAAGTGGAGATTTCTAGCCATTTGATGCCAACAGTAGAAAGGGAAATATCTTCAAATAAAAACCAGACAGAATCATTCTCAGAAAATTCTTTGTGATGTGTGCGTTCAACTCACATAGTTTAACCTTTCTTTTCATAGAGCAGTTTGGAAACACTCTGTTTGTAAAGTCTGCAAGTGGATATATGGACCGCATTGAGGCCTTCGTTGGAAACGGGATTTCTTCATTTCATGCTAGACAGAAGAATTCTCAGTAACTTCTTTGTGCTGTGTGTATTCAACTCACAGAGTGGAACGTCCCTTTGCACAGAGCAGATTTGAAACACTCTTTTTGTGGAGTTTGCAAGTGGAGATTTCAAGCGATTTGATGCCAACAGTAGAAAAGGAAATATCTTCAAATAAAAACTAGACAGAATCATTCTCAGAAACTACTTTGTGATGTGTGCCTTTAACTCACAGAGTTTAACCTTTCTTTTCTTAGAGCAGTTTAGAAACACTCTGCTTGTTATGTCTGCAAGTGGATATTTGGACCTCTTTGAGGCCTTCGTTGCAAACGGGGTTTCTTCCTTTCATGCTAGACTAAGAAGAGTTCTCAGCAACTTTTTTGTGTTGTGTGTATTCAACTCACAGAGTTGAACCTTGCTTTAGAGAGAGCAGATTTGAAACACTCTCGCTGTGGAATTTTCAGGTGGAGATTTCAAGCGATTTGAGGACAATTGCAGAAAAGGAAATATCTTCGTATAATAACCAGACAGAATCATTCTCAGAAAGTGCTTTGTGATGTGTGCGTTCAACTCACAGAGTTTAACCTTTCTTTTCATAGAGGAGTTTGGAAACACACTGTTTGTAAAGTCTGCAATTGGATATATGGACCTGTTTGAGGCCTTCGTTGGAAACGGGATTTCTTCATTGAATGCTAGACGGAAGAATTCTCAGTAAATTCTTTGTGTTGTGTGCATTCAACTCACAGAGTGTGGAACGTCCCTTTAGACAGAGCACATTTGAAACACTCTTTTTGCGGAATTTGCAAGTAGAGATTTCTAGCCATTTGATGCCAACAGTAGAAAGGGAAATATCTTCAAATAAAAACTAGACAGAATCATTCTCAGAAAATTCTTTGTGATGTGTGCGTTCAACTCACATAGTTTAACCTTTCTTTTCATAGAGCAGTTTGGAAACACTCTGTTTGTAAAGTCTGCAAGTGGATATATGGACCGCATTGAGGCCTTCGTTGGAAACGGGATTTCTTCATTTCATGCTAGACAGAAGAATTCTCAGTAACTTCTTTGTGCTGTGTGTATTCAACTCACAGAGTGGAACGTCCCTTTGCACAGAGCAGATTTGAAACACTCTTTTTGTGGAGTTTGCAAGTGGAGATTTCAAGCGATTTGATGCCAACAGTAGAAAAGGAAATATCTTCAAATAAAAACTAGACAGAATCATTCTCAGAAACTACTTTGTGATGTGTGCCTTCAACTCACAGAGTTTAACCTTTCTTTTCTTAGAGCAGTTTAGAAACACTCTGCTTGTTATGTCTGCAAGTGGATATTTGGACCTCTTTGAGGCCTTCGTTGCAAACGGGGTTTCTTCCTTTAATGCTAGACTAAGAAGAGTTCTCAGTAACTTTTTTGTGTTGTGTGTATTCAACTCACAGAGTTGAACCTTGCTTTAGAGAGAGCAGATTTGAAACACTCTTGCTGTGGCATTTTCAGGTGGAGATTTCAAGCGATTTGAGGACAATTGCAGAAAAGGAAATATCTTCGTATAATAACCAGACAGAATCATTCTCAGAAAGTGCTTTGTGATGTGTGCGTTCAACTCACAGAGTTCAACCTTTCTTTTCATAGAGGAGTTTGGAAACACACTGTTTGTAAAGTCTGCAAGTGGATATATGGACCTGTTTGATGCCTTCGTTGGAAACGGGATTTTATCATATAATGCTAGACGGAAGAATTCTCAGTAAATTCTTTGTGTGGTGTGCATTCAACTCACAGAGTGGAACGTCCCTTTAGACAGAGCAGATTTGAAACACTCTTTTTGCGGAATTTGCAAGTGGAGATTTCTAGCCATTTGATGCCAACAGTAGAAAGGGAAATATCTTCAAATAAAAACCAGACAGAATCATTCTCAGAAAATTCTTTGTGATGTGTGCGTTCAACTCACATAGATTAACCTTTCTTTTCATAGAGCAGTTTGGAAACACTCTGTTTGTAAAGTCTGCAAGTGGATATATGGACCGCATTGAGGCCTTCGTTGGAAACGGGATTTCTTCATTTCATGCTAGACAGAAGAATTCTCACTAATTTCTTTGTGTTGTGTGTATTCAACTCACAGAATGGAACGTCCCTTTAGACAGAGCAGATTTGAAACACTCTTTTTCTGGAATTTGCAAATGGAGATTTCAAGCGATTTGATGCCAACAGTAGAAAGGGAAATATCTTCAAATAAAAACTAGACAGAATCATTCTCAGAAACTACTATGTGATGTGTGCCTTCAACTCGCAGAGTTTAACCTTTCTTTTCTTAGAGCAGTTTAGAAACACTCTGCTTGTTATGTCTGCAAGTGGATATTTGGACCTCTTTGAGGCCTTCGTTGCAAACGGGATTTCTTCCTTTAATGCTAGACTAAGAAGAGTTCTCAGTAACTTTTTTGTGTTGTGTGTATTCAACTCACAGAGTTGAACCTTGCTTTAGAGAGAGCAGATTTGAAACACTCTTGCTGTGGCATTTTCAGGTGGAGATTTCAAGCGATTTGAGGACAATTGCAGAAAAGGAAATATCTTCGTATAATAACCAGACAGAATCATTCTCAGAAAGTGCTTTGTGTTGTGTGCGTTCAACTCACAGAGTTTAACCTTTCTTTTCATAGAGGAGTTTGGAAACACACTGTTTGTAAAGTCTGCAATTGGATATATGGACCTGTTTGAGGCCTTCGTTGGAAACGGGATTTCTTCATTGAATGCTAGACGGAAGAATTCTCAGTAAATTCTTTGTGTTGTGTGCATTCAACTCACAGAGTGGAACGTCCCTTTAGACAGAGCAGATTTGAAACACTCTTTTTGCGGAATTTGCAAGTGGAGATTTCTAGCCATTTGATGCCAACAGTAGAAAGGGAAATATCTTCAAATAAAAACCAGACAGAATCATTCTCAGAAAATTCTTTGTGATGTGTGCGTTCAACTCACATAGTTTAACCTTTCTTTTCATAGAGCAGTTTGGAAACACTCTGTTTGTAAAGTCTGCAAGTGGATATATGGACCGCATTGAGGCCCTTCGTTGGAAACGGGATTTCTTCATTTCATGCTAGACAGAAGAATTCTCAGTAACTTCTTTGTGCTGTGTGTATTCAACTCACAGAGTGGAACGTCCCTTTGCACAGAGCAGATTTGAAACACTCTTTTTGTGGAATTTGCAAGTGGAGATTTCAAGCGATTTGATGCCAACAGTAGAAAAGGAAATATCTTCAAATAAAAACTAGACAGAATCATTCTCAGAAACTACTTTGTGATGTGTGCCTTCAACTCACAGAGTTTAACCTTTCTTTTCTTAGAGCAGTTTAGAAACACTCTGCTTGTTATGTCTGCAAGTGGATATTTGGACCTCTTTGAGGCCTTCTTTGCAAACGGGGTTTCTTCCTTTCATGCTAGACTAAGAAGAGTTCTCAGTAACTTTTTTGTGTTGTGTGTATTCAACTCACAGAGTTGAACCTTGCTTTAGAGAGAGCAGATTTGAAACACTCTTGCTGTGGCATTTTCAGGTGGAGATTTCAAGCGATTTGAGGACAATTGCAGAAAAGGAAATATCTTCGTATAATAACCAGACAGAATCATTCTCAGAAAGTGCTTTGTGATGTGTGCGTTCAACTCACAGAGTTTAACTTTTCTTTCCATAGAGGAGTTTGGAAACACACTGTTTGTAAAGTCTGCAAGTGGATATATGGACCTGTTTGAGGCCTTCGTTGGAAACGGGATTTCTTCATTGAATGCTAGACGGAAGAATTCTCAGTAAATTCTTTGTGTTGTGTGCATTCATCTCACCGAGAGGAACGTCCTTGTAGACAGAGCAGATTTGAAACACTCTTTTTGCGAAATTTGGAAGTGGAGATTTCAAGCCATTTGATGCCAACAGTAGAAAGGGAAATATCTTCAAATAAAAACCAGACAGAATCATTCTCAGAAAATTCTTTGTGATGTGTGCATTCAACTGACATAGTTTAACCTTTCTTTTCATAGAGCAGTTTGGAAACACTCTGTTTGTAAAGTCTGCAAGTGGATATATGGACCGCATTGAGGCCTTCGTTGGAAACGGGATTTCTTCATTTCATGCTAGACAGAAGAATTCTCAGTAACTTCTTTGTGCTGTGTGTATTCAACTCACAGAGTGGAACGTCCCTTTACACAGAGCAGATTTGAAACACTCTTTTTGTGGAGTTTGCAAGTGGAGATTTCAAGCGATTTGATGCCAACAGTAGAAAAGGAAATATCTTCAAATAAAAACTAGACAGAATCATTCTCAGAAACTACTTTGTGATGTGTGCCTTCAACTCACAGAGTTTAACCTTTCTTTTCTTAGAGCAGTTTAGAAACACTCTGCTTGTTATGTCTGCAAGTGGATATTTGGACCTCTTTGAGGCCTTCGTTGCAAACGGGGTTTCTTCCTTTCATGCTAGACTAAGAAGAGTTCTCAGTAACTTTTCCGTGTTGTGTGTATTCAACTCACAGAGTTGAACCTTGCTTTAGAGAGAGCAGATTTGAAACACTCTTGCTGTGGCATTTTCAGGTGGAGATTTCAAGCGTTTTGAGGACAATTGCAGAAAAGGAAATATCTTCGTATAATAACCAGACAGAATCATTCTCAGAAAGTGCTTTGTGATGTGTGCGTTCAACTCACAGAGTTTAACCTTTCTTTTCATAGAGGAGTTTGGAAACACACTGTTTGTAAAGTCTGCAAGTGGATATATGGACCTGTTTGAGGCCTTCGTTGGAAACGGGATTTCTTCATTGAATGCTAGACGGAAGAATTCTCAGTAAATTCTTTGTGTTGTGCGCATTCAACTCACAGAGTGGAACGTCCCTTTAGACAGAGCAGATTTGAAACACTCTTTTTGCGGAATTTGCAAGTGGAGATTTCTAGCCTTTTGATGCCAACAGTAGAAAGGGAAATATCTTCAAATAAAAACCAGACAGAATCATTCTCAGAAAATTCATTGTGATGTGTGCGTTCAACTCACATAGTTTAACCTTTCTTTTCATAGAGCAGTTTGGAAACACTCTGTTTGTAAATTCTGCAAGTGCATATATGGACCGCATTGAGGCCTTCGTTGGAAACGGGATTTCTTCATTTCATGCTAGACACAAGAATTCTCAGTAACTTCTTTGTGCTGTGTGTATTCAACTCACAGAGTGGAACGTCCCTTTAGACAGAGCAGATTTGAAACACTCTTTTTGTGGAATTTGCAAGTGGAGATTTCAAGCGATTTGATGCCAACAGTAGAAAAGGAAATATCTTCAAATAAAAACTAGACAGAATCATTCTCAGAAACTACTTTGTGATGTGTGCCTTCAACTCACAGAGTTTAACCTTTCTTTTCTTAGAGCAGTTTAGAAACACTCTGCTTGTTATGTCTGCAAGTGGATATTTGGACCTCTTTGAGGCCTTCGTTGCAAACGGGGTTTCTTCCTTTCATGCTAGACTAAGAAGAGTTCTCAGTAACTTTTTTGTGTTGTGTGTATTCAACTCACAGAGTTGAACCTTGCTTTAGAGAGAGCAGATTTGAAACACTCTTGCTGTGTCATTTTCAGGTGGAGATTTCAAGCGATTTGAGGACAATTGCAGTAAAGGAAATATCTTCGTATAACAACCAGACAGAATCATTCTCAGAAAGTGCTTTGTGATGTGTGCGTTCAACTCACAGAGTTTAACCTTTCTTTTCATAGAGGAGTTTGGAAACACACTGTTTGTAAAGTCTGCAATTGGATATATGGACCTGTTTGAGGCCTTCGTTGGAAACGGGATTTCTTCATTGAATGCTAGACGGAAGAATTCTCAGTAAATTCTTTGTGTTGTGTGCATTCAACTCACAGAGTGGAACGTCCCTTTAGACAGAGCAGATTTGAAACACTCTTTTTGCGGAATTTGCAAGTGGAGATTTCTAGCCATTTGATGCCAACAGTAGAAAGGGAAATATCTTCAAATAAAAACCAGACAGAATCATTCTCAGAAAATTCTTTGTGATGTGTGCGTTCAACTCACATAGTTTAACCTTTCTTTTCATAGAGCAGTTTGGAAACACTCTGTTTGTAAAGTCTGCAAGTGGATCTATGGACCGCATTGAGGCCTTCGTTGGAAACGGGATTTCTTCATTTCATGCTAGACAGAAGAATTCTCAGTAACTTCTTTGTGCTGTGTGTATTGAACTCACAGAGTGGAACGTCCCTTTGCACAGAGCAGATTTGAAACACTCTTTTTGTGGAATTTGCAAGTGGAGATTTCAAGCGATCTGATGCCAACAGTAGAAAAGGAAATATCTTCAAATAAAAACTAGACAGAATCATTCTCAGAAACTACTTTGTGATGTGTGCCTTCAACTCACAGAGTTTAACCTTTCTTTTCTTAGAGCAGTTTAGAAACACTCTGCTTGTTATGTCTGCAAGTGGATATTTGGACCTCTTTGAGGCCTTCGTTGCAAACGGGGTTTCTTCCTTTCATGCTAGACTAAGAAGAGTTCTCAGTAACTTTTTTGTGTTGTGTGTATTCAAATCACAGAGTTGAACCTTGCTTTAGAGAGAGCAGATTTGAAACACTCTTGCTGTGGCATTTTCAGGTGGAGATTTCAAGCGATTTGAGGACAATTGCAGAAAAGGAAATATCTTCGTATAATAACCAGACAGAATCATTCTCAGAAAGTGCTTTGTGATGTGTGCGTTCAACTCACAGAGTTTAACCTTTCTTTTCATAGAGGAGTTTGGAAACACACTGTTTGTAAAGTCTGCATTTGGATATATGGACCTGTTTGAGGCCTTCGTTGGAAACGGGATTTCTTCATTGAATGCTAGACGGAAGAATTCTCAGTAAATTCTTTGTGTTGTGTGCATTCAACTCACAGAGTGGAACGTCCCTTTAGACAGAGCAGATTTGAAACACTCTTTTTGCGGAATTTGCAAGTGGAGATTTCTAGCCATTTGATGCCAACAGTAGAAAGGGAAATATCTTCAAATAAAAACCAGACAGAATCATTCTCAGAAAATTCTTTGTGATGTGTGCGTTCAACTCACATAGTTTAACCTTTCTTTTCATAGAGCAGTTTGGAAACACTCTGTTTGTAAAGTCTGCAAGTGGATATATGGACCGCATTGAGGCCTTCGTTGGAAACGGGATTTCTTCATTTCATGCTAGACAGAAGAATTCTCAGTAACTTCTTTGTGCTGTGTGTATTCAACTCACAGAGTGGAACGTCCCTTTGCACAGAGCAGATTTGAAACACTCTTTTTGTGGAATTTGCAAGTGGAGATTTCAAGCGATTTGATGCCAACAGTAGAAAAGGAAATATCTTCAAATAAAAACTAGACAGAATCATTCTCAGAAACTACTTTGTGATGTGTGCCTTCAACTCACAGAGTTTAACCTTTCTTTTCTTAGAGCAGTTTAGAAACACTCTGCTTGTTATGTCTGCAAGTGGATATTTGGACCTCTTTGAGGCCTTCGTTGCAAACGGGGTTTCTTCCTTTCATGCTAGACTAAGAAGAGTTCTCAGTAACTTTTTTGTGTTGTGTGTATTCAACTCACAGAGCTGAACCTTGCTTTAGAGAGAGCAGATTTGAAACACTCTTGCTGTGGCATTTTCAGGTGGAGATTTCAAGCGATTTGAGGACAATTGCAGAAAAGGAAATATCTTCGTATAATAACCAGACAGAATCATTCTCAGAAAGTGCTTTGTGATGTGTGCGTTCAACTCACAGAGTTTAACCTTTCTTTTCATAGAGGAGTTTGGAAACACACTGTTTGTAAAGTCTGCAAGTGGATATATGGACCTGTTTGAGGCCTTCGTTGGAAACGGGATTTCTTCATTGAATGCTAGACGGAAGAATTCTCAGTAAATTCTTTGTGTTGTGTGCATTCAACTCACAGAGTGGAACGTCCCTTTAGACAGAGCAGATTTGAAACACTCTTTTTGTGGAGTTTGCAAGTGGAGATTTCAAGCGATTTGATGCCAACAGTAGAAAAGGAAATATCTTCAAATAAAAACTAGACAGAATCATTCTCAGAAACTACTTTGTGATGTGTGCCTTCAACTCACAGAGTTTAACCTTTCTTTTCTTAGAGCAGTTTAGAAACACTCTGCTTGTTATGTCTGCAAGTGGATATTTGGACCTCTTTGAGGCCTTCGTTGCAAACGGGGTTTCTTCCTTTCATGCTAGACTAAGAAGAGTTCTCAGTAACTTTTTTGTGTTGTGTGTATTCAACTCACAGAGTTGAACCTTGCTTTAGAGAGAGCAGATTTGAAACACTCTTGCTGTGGCATTTTCAGGTGGAGATTTCAAGCGTTTTGAGGACAATTGCAGAAAAGGAAATATCTTCGTATAATAACCAGACAGAATCATTCTCAGAAAGTGCTTTGTGATGTGTGCCGTTCAACTCACAGAGTTTAACCTTTCTTTTCATAGAGGAGTTTGGAAACACACTGTTTGTAAAGTCTGCAAGTGGATATATGGACCTGTTTGAGGCCTTCGTTGGAAACGGGATTTCTTCATTGAATGCTAGACGGAAGAATTCTCAGTAAATTCTTTGTGTTGTGTGCATTCAACTCACAGAGTGGAACGTCCCTTTAGACAGAGCAGATTTGAAACACTCTTTTTGCGGAATTTGCAAGTGGAGATTTCTAGCCATTTGATGCCAACAGTAGAAAGGGAAATATCTTCAAATAAAAACCAGACAGAATCATTCTCAGAAAATTCTTTGTGATGTGTGCGTTCAACTCACATAGTTTAACCTTTCTTTTCATAGAGCAGTTTGGAAACACTCTGTTTGTAAAGTCTGCAAGTGGATATATGGACCGCATTGAGGCCTTCGTTGGAAACGGGATTTCTTCATTTCATGCTAGACAGAAGAATTCTCAGTAACTTCTTTGTGCTGTGTGTATTCAACTCACAGAGTGGAACGTCCCTTTACACAGAGCAGATTTGAAACACTCTTTTTGTGGAGTTTGCAAGTGGAGATTTCAAGCGATTTGATGCCAACAGTAGAAAAGGAAATATCTTCAAATAAAAACTAGACAGAATCATTCTCAGAAACTACTTTGTGATGTGTGCCTTCAACTCACAGAGTTTAACCTTTCTTTTCTTAGAGCAGTTTAGAAACACTCTGCTTGTTATGTCTGCAAGTGGATATTTGGACCTCTTTGAGGCCTTCGTTGCAAACGGGGTTTCTTCCTTTCATGCTAGACTAAGAAGAGTTCTCAGTAACTTTTTTGTGTTGTGTGTATTCAACTCACAGAGTTGAACCTTGCTTTAGAGAGAGCAGATTTGAAACACTCTTGCTGTGGCATTTTCAGGTGGAGATTTCAAGCGATTTGAGGACAATTGCAGAAAAGGAAATATCTTCGTATAACAACCAGACAGAATCATTCTCAGAAAGTGCTTTGTGATGTGTGCGTTCAACTCACAGAGTTTAACCTTTCTTTTCATAGAGGAGTTTGGAAACACACTGTTTGTAAAGTCTGCAAGTGGATATATGGACCTGTTTGAGGCTTCGTTGGAAACGGGATTTCTTCATTGAATGCTAGACGGAAGAATTCTCAGTAAATTCTTTGTGTTGTGTGCATTCAACTCACAGAGTGGAACGTCCCTTTAGACAGAGCAGATTTGAAACACTCTTTTTGCGGAATTTGCAAGTGGAGATTTCTAGCCATTTGATGCCAACAGTAGAAAGGGAAATATCTTCAAATAAAAACCAGACAGAATCATTCTCAGAAAATTCTTTGTGATGTGTGCGTTCAACTCACATAGTTTAACCTTTCTTTTCATAGAGCAGTTTGGAAACACTCTGTTTGTAAAGTCTGCAAGTGGATATATGGACCGCATTGAGGCCTTCGTTGGAAACGGGATTTCTTCATTTCATGCTAGACAGAAGAATTCTCAGTAACTCCTTTGTGTTGTGTGTATTCAACTCACAGTGTGGAACGTCCCTTTAGACAGAGCAGATTTGAAACACTCTTTTTGTGGAATTTGCAAGTGGAGATTTCAAGCGATTTGATGCCAGCAGTAGAAAAGCAAATATCTTCTAATAAAAACTAGACAGAATCATTCTCAGAAACTACTTTGTGATGTGTGCCTTCAACTCACAGAGTTTAACCTTTCTTTTCTTAGAGCAGTTTAGAAACACTCTGCTTGTTATGTCTGCAAGTGGATATTTGGACCTCTTTGAGGCCTTCGTTGCAAACGGGGTTTCTTCCTTTCATGCTAGACTAAGAAGAGTTCTCAGTAACTTTTTTGTGTTGTGTGTATTCAACTCACAGAGCTGAACCTTGCTTTAGAGAGAGCAGATTTGAAACACTCTTGCTGTGGCATTTTCAGGTGGAGATTTCAAGCGATTTGAGGACAATTGCAGAAAAGGAAATATCCTTCGTATAACAACCAGACAGAATAATTCTCAGAAAGTGCTTTGTGATGTGTGCGTTCAACTCACAGAGTTTAACCTTTCTTTTCATAGAGGAGTTTGGAAACACACTGTTTGTAAAGTCTGCAATTGGATATATGGACCTGTTTAAGGCCTTCGTTGGAAACGGGATTTCTTCATTGAATGCTAGACGGAAGAATTCTCAGTAAATACTTTGTGTTGTGTGCATTCAACTGACAGAGTGGAACGTCCCTTTAGACAGAGCAGATTTGAAACACTCTTTTTGTGGAATTTGCAAGTGGAGATTTCTAGCCATTTGATGCCAACAGTAGAAAGGGAAATATCTTCAAATAAAAACCAGACAGAATCATTCTCAGAAAATTCTTTGTGATGTGTGCGTTCAACTCACATAGTTTAACCTTTCTTTTCATAGAGCAGTTTGGAAACACTCTGTTTGTAAAGTCTGCAAGTGGATATATGGACCGCATTGAGGCCTTCGTTGGAAACGGGATTTCTTCATTTCATGCTAGACAGAAGAATTCTCAGTAACTTCTTTGTGCTGTGTGTATTCAACTCACATAGTGGAACGTCCCTTTGCACAGAGCACATTTGAAACACTCTTTTTGTGGAGTTTGCAAGTGGATATTTCAAGCGATTTGATGCCAACAGTAGAAAAGGAAATATCTTCAAATAAAAACTAGACAGAATCATTCTCAGAAACTACTTTGTGATGTGTGCCTTCAACTCACAGAGTTTAACCTTTCTTTTCTTAGAGCAGTTTAGAAACACTCTGCTTGTTATGTCTGCAAGTGGATATTTGGACCTCTTTGAGGCCTTCGTTGCAAACGGGGTTTCTTCCTTTCATGCTAGACTAAGAAGAGTTCTCAGTAACTTTTTTGTGTTGTGTGTATTCAAATCACAGAGTTGAACCTTGCTTTAGAGAGAGCAGATTTGAAACACTCTTGCTGTGGCATTTTCAGGTGGAGATTTCAAGCGATTTGAGGACAATTGCAGAAAAGGAAATATCTTCGTATAATAACCAGACAGAATCATTCTCAGAAAGTGCTTTGTGATGTGTGCGTTCCACTCACAGAGTTTAACCTTTCTTTTCATAGAGGAGTTTGGAAACACACTGTTTGTAAAGTCTGCAAGTGGATATATGGACCTGTTTGAGGCCTTCGTTGGAAACGGGATTTCTTCATTGAATGCTAGACGGAAGAATTCTCAGTAAATTCTTTGTGTTGTGTGCATTCAACTCACAGAGTGGAACGTCTCTTTAGACAGAGCAGATTTGAAACACTCTTTTTGCGGAATTTACAAGTGGAGATTTCTAGCCGTTTGATGCCAACAGTAGAAAGGGAAATATCTTCAAATAAAAACCAGACAGAATCATTCTCAGAAAATTCTTTGTGATGTGTGCGTTCAACTCACATAGTTTAACCTTTCTTTTCATAGAGCAGTTTGGAAACACTCTGTTTGTAAAGTCTGCAAGTGGATATATGGACTGCATTGAGGCCTTCGTTGGAAACGGGATTTCTTCATTTCATGCTAGACCGAAGAATTCTCAGTAACTTCTTTGTGCTGTGTGTATTCAACTCACAGAGTGGAACGTCCCTTTACACAGAGCAGATTTGAAACACTCTTTTTGTGGAGTTTGCAAGTGGAGATTTCAAGCGATTTGATGCCAACAGTAGAAAAGGAAATATCTTCAAATAAAAACTAGACAGAATCATTCTCAGAAACTACTTTGTGATGTGTGCCTTCAACTCACAGAGTTTAACCTTTCTTTTCTTAGAGCAGTTTAGAAACACTCTGCTTGTTATGTCTGCAAGTGGATATTTGGACCTCTTTGAGGCCTTCGTTGCAAACAGGGTTTCTTCCTTTCATGCTAGACTAAGAAGAGTTCTCAGTAACTTTTTTGTGTTGTGTGTATTCAACTCACAGAGTTGAACCTTGCTTTAGAGAGAGCAGATTTGAAACACTCTTGCTGTGGCATTTTCAGGTGGAGATTTCAAGCGATTTGAGGACAATTGCAGAAAAGGAAATATCTTCGTATAACAACCAGACAGAATCATTCTCAGAAAGTGCTTTGTGATGTGTGCGTTCAACTCACAGAGTTTAACCTTTCTTTTCATAGAGGAGTTTGGAAACACACTGTTTGTAAAGTCTGCAATTGGATATATGGACCTGTTTGAGGCCTTCGTTGGAAACGGGATTTCTTCATTGAATGCTAGACGGAAGAATTCTCAGTAAATTCTTTGTGTTGTGTGCATTCAACTCACAGAGTGGAACGTCCCTTTAGACAGAGCAGATTTGAAACACTCTTTTTGCGGAATTTGCAAGTGGAGATTTCTAGCCATTTGATGCCAACAGTAGAAAGGGAAATATCTTCAAATAAAAACCAGACAGAATCATTCTCAGAAAATTCTTTGTGATGTGTGCGTTCAACTCACATAGTTTAACCTTTCTTTTCATAGAGCAGTTTGGAAACACTCTGTTTGTAAAGTCTGCAAGTGGATATATGGACCGCATTGAGGCCTTCGTTGGAAACGGGATTTCTTCATTTCATGCTAGACAGAAGAATTCTCAGTAACTTCTTTGTGCTGTGTGTATTCAACTCACAGAGTGGAACGTTCCTTTACACAGAGAAGATTTGAAACACTCTTTTTGTGGAATTTGCAAGTGGAGATTTCAAGCGATTTGATGCCAACAGTAGAAAAGGAAATATCTTCAAATAAAAACTAGACAGAATCATTCTCAGAAACTACTTTGTGATGTGTGCCTTCAACTCACAGAGTTTAACCTTTCTTTTCTTAGAGCAGTTTAGAAACACTCTGCTTGTTATGTCTGCAAGTGGATATTTGGACCTCTTTGAGGCCTTCCTTGCAAACGGGGTTTCTTCCTTTCATGCTAGACTAAGAAGAGTTCTCAGTAACTTTTTTGTGTTGTGTGTATTCAACTCACAGAGTTGAACCTTGCTTTAGAGAGAGCAGATTTGAAACACTCTTGCTGTGGCATTTTCAGGTGGAGATTTCAAGCGATTTGAGGACAATTGCAGAAAAGGAAATATCTTCGTATAATAACCAGACAAAATCATTCTCAGAAAGTGCTTTGTGATGTGTGCGTTCAACTCACAGAGTTTAACCTTTCTTTTCATAGAGGAGTTTGGAAACACACTGTTTGTAAAGTCTGCAATTGGATATATGGAGCTGTTTGAGGCCTTCGTTGGAAACGGGATTTCTTCATTGAATGCTAGACGGAAGAATTCTCAGTAAATTCTTTGTGTTGTGTGCATTCAACTCACAGAGTGGAACGTCCCTTTAGACAGAGCAGATTTGAAACACTCTTTTTGCGGAATTTGCAAGTGGAGATTTCTAGCCATTTGATGCCAACAGTAGAAAGGGAAATATCTTCAAATAAAAACCAGACAGAATCATTCTCAGAAAATTCTTTGTGATGTGTGCGTTCAACTCACATAGTTTAACCTTTCTTTTCATAGAGCAGTTTGGAAACACTCTGTTTGTAAAGTCTGCAAGTGGATATATGGACCGCATTGAGGCCTTCGTTGGAAACGGGATTTCTTCATTTCATGCTAGACAGAAGAATTCTCAGTAACTTCTTTGTGCTGTGTGTATTCAACTCACAGAGTGGAACGTCCCTTTACACAGAGAAGATTTGAAACACTCTTTTTGTGGAGTTTGCAAGTGGAGATTTCAAGCGATTTGATGCCAACAGTAGAAAAGGAAATATCTTCAAATAAAAACTAGACAGAATCATTCTCAGAAACTACTTTGTGATGTGTGCCTTCAACTCACAGAGTTTAACCTTTCTTTTCTTAGAGCAGTTTAGAAACACTCTGCTTGTTATGTCTGCAAGTGGATATTTGGACCTCTTTGAGGCCTTCGTTGCAAACGGGGTTTCTTCCTTTCATGCTAGACTAAGAATAGTTCTCAGTAACTTTTTTGTGTTGTGTGTATTCAACTCACAGAGTTGAACCTTGCTTTAGAGAGAGCAGATTTGAAACACTCTTGCTGTGGCATTTTCAGGTGGAGATTTCAAGCGATTTGAGGACAATTGCAGAAAAGGAAATATCTTCGTATAATAACCAGACAGAATCATTCTCAGAAAGTGCTTTGTGATGTGTGCGTTCAACTCACAGAGTTTAACCTTTCTTTTCATAGAGGAGTTTGGAAACACACTGTTTGTAAAGTCTGCAAGTGGATATATGGACCTGTTTGAGGCCTTCGTTGGAAACGGGATTTCTTCATTGAATGCTAGACGGAAGAATTCTCAGTAAATTCTTTGTGTTGTGTGCATTGAACTCACAGAGTGGAACGTCCCTTTAGACAGAGCAGATTTGAAACACTCTTTTTGCGGAATTTGCAAGTGGAGATTTCTAGCCATTTGATGCCAACAGTAGAAAGGGAAATATCTTCAAATAAAAACCAGACAGAATCATTCTCAGAAAATTCTTTGTGATGTGTGCGTTCAACTCACATAGTTTAACCTTTCTTTTCATAGAGCAGTTTGGAAACACTCTGTTTGTAAAGTCTGCAAGTGGATATATGGACCGCATTGAGGCCTTCGTTGGAAACGGGATTTCTTCATTTCATGCTAGACAGAAGAATTCTCAGTAACTTCTTTGTGCTGTGTGTATTCAACTCACAGAGTGGAACGTCCCTTTGCACAGAGCAGATTTGAAACACTCTTTTTGTGGAGTTTGCAAGTGGAGATTTCAAGCGATTTGATGCCAACAGTAGAAAAGGAAATATCTTCAAATAAAAACTAGACAGAATCATTCTCAGGAACTACTTTGTGATGTGTGCCTTCAACTCACAGAGTTTAACCTTTATTTTCTTAGAGCAGTTTAGAAACACTCTGCTTGTTATGTCTGCAAGTGGATATTTGGACCTCTTTGAGGCCTTCGTTGCAAACGGGGTTTCTTCCTTTAATGCTAGACTAAGAAGAGTTCTCAGTAACTTTTTTGTGTTGTGTGTATTCAACTCACAGAGTTGAACCTTGCTTTAGAGAGAGCAGATTTGAAACACTCTTGCTGTGGAATTTTCAGGTGGAGATTTCAAGCGATTTGAGGACAATTGCAGAAAAGGAAATATCTTCGTATAATAACCAGACAGAATCATTCTCAGAAAGTGCTTTGTGATGTGTGCGTTCAACTCACAGAGTTTAACCTTTCTTTTCATAGAGGAGTTTGGAAACACACTGTTTGTAAAGTCTGCAATTGGATATATGGACCTGTTTGAGGCCTTCGTTGGAAACGGGATTTCTTCATTGAATGCTAGGCGGAAGAATTCTCAGTAAATTCTTTGTGTTGTGTGCATTCAACTCACAGAGTGGAACGTCCCTTTAGACAGAGCAGATTTGAAACACTCTTTTTGCGGAATTTGCAAGTGGAGATTTCTAGCCATTTGATGCCAACAGTAGAAAGGGAAATATCTTCAAATAAAAACCAGACAGAATCATTCTCAGAAAATTCTTTGTGATGTGTGCGTTCAGCTCACATAGTTTAACCTTTCTTTTCATAGAGCAGTTTCGAAACACACTGTTTGTAAAATCTGCAAGTGGATATATGTACCGCTTTCAGGCATTCCTTGGAAACGGGATTTCTTCATTGAATGCTAGACAGAAGAATTCTCAGTATCTTCTTTGTGTTGTGAGTATTCAACTCACAGATTGGAACGTCCCTTTACACAGAGCAGATTTGAAACACTCTTTTTTTGGAATTTGCAAGTGGAGATTTCAAGCGATTTGATGCCAACAGTAGAAAGGAAATATCTGCAAATAAAAACTAGACAGAATCATTCTCAGAAAGTGCTTTGTGATGTGTGCGTTCAACTCACAGAGTTTTACCTTTCTTTTCATAGAGGAGTTTGGAAACACACTGTTTGTAAACTCTGCAATTGGATATATCGACCTGTTTGAGGCCTTCGTTGGAAACGGGATTTCTTCATTGAATGCTAGACGGAAGAATTCTCAGTAAATTCTTTGTGTGGTGTGCATTCAACTCACAGAGTGGAACGTCCCTTTAGACAGAGCAGATTTGAAACACTCTTTTTGCGGAATTTGCAAGTGGAGATTTCTAGCCATTTGATGCCAACAGTAGAAAGGGAAATATCTTCAAATAAAAACCAGACAGAATCATTCTCAGAAAATTCTTTGTGATGTGTGCATTCAACTCACATAGTTTAACCTTTCTTTTCATAGAGCAGTTTGGAAACACTCTGTTTGTAAAGTCTGCAAGTGGATATATGGACCGCATTGAGGCCTTCGTTGGAAACGGGATTTCTTCATTTCATGCTAGACAGAAGAATTCTCAGTAACTTCTTTGTGCTGTGTGTATTCAACTCACAGAGTGGAACGTCCCTTTGCACAGAGCAGATTTGAAACACTCTTTTTGTGGAGTTTGCAAGTGGAGATTTCAAGCGATTTGATGCCAACAGTAGAAAAGGAAATATCTTCAAATAAAAACTAGACAGAATCATTCTCAGAAACTACTTTGTGATGTGTGCCTTCAACTCACAGAGTTTAACCTTTCTTTTCTTAGAGCAGTTTAGAAACACTCTGCTTGTTATGTCTGCAAGTGGATATTTGGACCTCTTTGAGGCCTTCGTTGCAAACGGGGTTTCTTCCTTTCATGGTAGACTAAGAAGAGTTCTCAGTAACTTTTTTGTGTTGTGTGTATTCAACTCACAGAGTTGAACCTTGCTTTAGAGAGAGCAGATTTGAAACACTCTTGCTGTGGCATTTTCAGGTGGAGATTTCAAGCGATTTGAGGACAATTGCAGAAAAGGAAATATCTTCGTATAATAACCAGACAGAATCATTCTCAGAAAGTGCTTTGTGATGTGTGCGTTCAACTCACAGAGTTTAACCTTTCTTTTCATAGAGGAGTTTGGAAACACACTGTTTGTAAAGTCTGCAGGTGGATATATGGACCTGTTTGAGGCCTTCGTTGGAAACGGGATTTCTTCATTGAATGCTAGACGGAAGAATTCTCAGTAAATTCTTTGTGTTGTGTGCATTCAACTCACAGAGTGGAACGTCCCTTTAGACAGAGCAGATTTGAAACACTCTTTTTGCGGAATTTGCAAGTGGAGATTTCTAGCCATTTGATGCCAACAGTAGAAAGGGAAATATCTTCAAATAAAAACCAGACAGAATCATTCTCAGAAAATTCTTTGTGATGTGTGCGTTCAACTCACATAGTTTAACCTTTCTTTTCATAGAGCAGTTTGGAAACACTCTGTTTGTAAAGTCTGCAAGTGGATATATGGACCGCATTGAGGCCTTCGTTGGAAACGGGATTTCTTCATTTCATGCTAGACAGAAGAATTCTCAGTAACTTCTTTGTGCTGTGTGTATTCAACTCACAGAGTGGAACGTCCCTTTGCACAGAGCAGATTTGAAACACTCTTTTTGTGGAGTTTGCAAGTGGAGATTTCAAGCGATTTGATGCCAACAGTAGAAAAGGAAATATCTTCAAATAAAAACTAGACAGAATCATTCTCAGAAACTACTTTGTGATGTGTGCCTTCAACTCACAGAGTTTAACCTTTCTTTTCTTAGAGCAGTTTAGAAACACTCTGCTTGTTATGTCTGCAAGTGGATATTTGGACCTCTTTGAGGCCTTCGTTGCAAACGGGGTTTCTTCCTTTCATGCTAGACTAAGAAGAGTTCTCAGTAACTTTTTTGTGTTGTGTGTATTCAACTCACAGAGTTGAACCTTGCTTTAGAGAGAGCAGATTTGAAACACTCTTGCTGTGGCATTTTCAGGTGGAGATTTCAAGCGATTTGAGGACAATTGCAGAAAAGGAAATATCTTCGTATAATAACCAGACAGAAATCATTCTCAGAAAGTGCTTCGTGATGTGTGCCTTCAACTCACAGAGTTTAACCTTTCTTTTCATAGAGGAGTTTGGAAACACACTGTTTGTAAAGTCTGCAATTGGATATATGGACCTGTTTGAGGCCTTCGTTGGAAACGGGATTTCTTCATTGAATGCTAGACGGAAGAATTCTCAGTAAATTCTTTGTGTTGTGTGCATTCAACTCACAGAGTGGAACGTCCCTTTAGACAGAGCAGATTTGAAACACTCTTTTTGCGGAATTTGCAAGTGGAGATTTCTAGCCATTTGATGCCAACAGTAGAAAGGGAAATATCTTCAAATAAAAACCAGACAGAATCATTCTCAGAAAATTCTTTGTGATGTGTGCGTTCAACTCACATAGTTTAACCTTTCTTTTCATAGAGCAGTTTGGGAACACTCTGTTGGTAATGTCTGCAAGTGGATATATGGACCGCTTTGAGGCCTTCGTTGGAAACGGGATTTCTTCATTTCATGCTAGACAGAAGAATTCTCAGTAACTTCTTTGTGCTGTGTGTATTCAACTCACAGAGTGGAACGTCCCTTTGCACAGAGCAGATTTGAAACACTCTTTTTGTGGAGTTTGCAAGTGGAGATTTCAAGCGATTTGATGCCAACAGTAGAAAAGGAAATATCTTCAAATAAAAACTAGACAGAATCATTCTCAGAAACTACTTTGTGATGTGTGCCTTCAACTCACAGAGTTTAACCTTTCTTTTCTTAGAGCAGTTTAGAAACACTCTGCTTGTTATGTCTGCAAGTGGATATTTGGACCTCTTTGAGGCCTTCGTTGCAAACGGGGTTTCTTCCTTTAATGCTAGACTAAGAAGAGTTCTCAGTAACTTTTTTGTGTTGTGTGTATTCAACTCACAGAGTTGAACTTTGCTTTAGAGAGAGCAGATTTGAAACACTCTTGCTGTGGCATTTTCAGGTGGAGATTTCAAGCGATTTGAGGACAATTGCAGAAAAGGAAATATCTTCGTATAATAACCAGACAGAATCATTCTCAGAAAAGTGCTTTGTGATGTGTGCGTTCAACTCACAGAGTTTAACCTTTCTTTTCATAGAGGAGTTTGGAAACACACTGTTTGTAAAGTCTGCAATTGGATATATGGACCTGTTTGAGGCCTTCGTTGGAAACGGGATTTCTTCATTGAATGCTAGGCAGAAGAATTCTCAGTAAATTCTTTGTGTTGTGTGCATTCAACTGACAGAGTGGAACGTCCCTTTAGACAGAGCAGATTTGAAACACTCTTTTTGCGGAATTTGCAAGTGGAGATTTCTAGCCATTTGATGCCAACAGTAGAAAGGGAAATATCTTCAAATAAAAACCAGACAGAATCATTCTCAGAAAATTCTTTGTGATGTGTGCGTTCAACTCACATAGTTTAACCTTTCTTTTCATAGAGCAGTTTGGAAACACTCTGTTTGTAAAGTCTGCAAGTGGATATATGGACCGCATTGAGGCCTTCGTTGGAAACGGGATTTCTTCATTTCATGCTAGACAGAAGAATTCTCAGTAACTTCTTTGTGCTGTGTGTATTCAACTCACAGAGTGGAACGTCCCTTTACACAGAGCAGATTTGAAACACTCTTTTTGTGGAGTTTGCAAGTGGAGATTTCAAGCGATTTGATGCCAACAGTAGAAAAGGAAATATCTTCAAATAAAAACTAGACAGAATCATTCTCAGAAACTACTTTGTGATGTGTGCCTTCAACTCACAGAGTTTAACCTTTCTTTTCTTAGAGCAGTTTAGAAACACTCTGCTTGTTATGTCTGCAAGTGGATATTTGGACCTCTTTGAGGCCTTCGTTGCAAACGGGGTTTCTTCCGTTCATGCTAGACTAAGAAGAGTTCTCAGTAACTTTTTTGTGTTGTGTGTATTCAACTCACAGAGTTGAACCTTGCTTTAGAGAGAGCAGATTTGAAACACTCTTGCTGTGACATTTTCAGGTGGAGATTTCAAGCGATTTGAGGACAATTGCAGAAAAGGAAATATCTTCGTATAACAACCAGACAGAATCATTCTCAGAAAGTGCTTTGTGATGTGTGCGTTCCACTCACAGAGTTTAACCTTTCTTTTCATAGAGGAGTTTGGAAACACACTGTTTGTAAAGTCTGCAAGTGGATATATGGACCTGTTTGAGGCCTTCGTTGGAAACGGGATTTCTTCATTGAATGCTAGACGGAAGAATTCTCAGTAAATTCTTTGTGTTGTGTGCATTCAACTCACAGAGTGGAACGTCCCTTTAGACAGAGCAGATTTGAAACACTCTTTTTGCGGAATTTGCAAGTGGAGATTTCTAGCCATTTGATGCCAACAGTAGAAAGGGAAATATCTTCAAATAAAAACCAGACAGAATCATTCTCAGAAAATTCTTTGTGATGTGTGCGTTCAACTCACATAGTTTAACCTTTCTTTTCATAGAGCAGTTTGGAAACACTCTGTTTGTGATGTCTGCAAGTGGATATATAGACCGCATTGAGGCCTTCGTTGGAAACGGGATTTCTTCATTTCATGCTAGACAGAAGAATTCTCAGTAACTTCTTTGTGCTGTGTGTATTCAACTCACAGAGTGGAACGTCCCTTTGCACAGAGCAGATTTGAAACACTCTTTTTGTGGAGTTTGCAAGTGGAGATTTCAAGCGATTTGATGCCAACAGTAGAAAAGGAAATATCTTCAAATAAAAACTAGACAGAATCATTCTCAGAAACTACTTTGTGATGTGTGCCTTCAACTCACAGAGTTTAACCTTTCTTTTCTTAGAGCAGTTTAGAAACACTCTGCTTGTTATGTCTGCAAGTGGATATTTGGACCTCTTTGAGGCCTTCGTTGCAAACGGGGTTTCTTCCTTTAATGCTAGACTAAGAGGAGCATTCTCAGTAACTTTTTTGTGTTGTGTGTATTCAACTCACAGAGTTGAACCTTGCTTTAGAGAGAGCAGATTTGAAACACTCTTGCTGTGGCATTTTCAGGTGGAGATTTCAAGCGTTTTGAGGACAATTGCAGAAAAGGAAATATCTTCGTATAATAACCAGACAGAATCATTCTCAGAAAGTGCTTTGTGATGTGTGCGGTTCAACTCACAGAGTTTAACCTTTCTTTTCATAGAGGAGTTTGGAAACACACTGTTTGTAAAGTCTGCAAGTGGATACATGGACCTGTTTGAGGCCTTCGTTGGAAACGGGATTTCTTCATTGAATGCTAGACGGAAGAATTCTCAGTAAATTCTTTGTGTTGTGTGCATTCAACTCACAGAGTGGAACGTCCCTTTAGACAGAGCAGATTTGAAACTCTCTTTTTGCGGAATTTGCAAGTGGAGATTTCTAGCCATTTGATGCCAACAGTAGAAAGGGAAATATCTTCAAATAAAAACCAGACAGAATCATTCTCAGAAAATTCTTTGTGATGTGTGCGTTCAACTCACATAGTTTAACCTTTCTTTTCATAGAGCAGTTTGGAAACACTCTGTTTGTAAAGTCTGCAAGTGGATATATGGACCGCATTGAGGCCCTTCGTTGGAAACGGGATTTCTTCATTTCATGCTAGACAGAAGAATTCTCAGTAACTTCTTTGTGCTGTGTGTATTCAACTCACAGAGTGGAACGTCCCTTTACACAGAGCAGATTTGAAACACTCTTTTTGTGGAGTTTGCAAGTGGAGATTTCAAGCGATTTGATGCCAACAGTAGAAAAGGAAATATCTTCAAATAAAAACTAGACAGAATCATTCTCAGAAACTACTTTGTGATGTGTGCCTTCAACTCACAGAGTTCAACCTTTCTTTTCTTAGAGCAGTTTAGAAACACTCTGCTTCTTATGTCTGCAAGTGGATATTTGGACCTCTTTGAGGCCTTCGTTGCAAACGGGGTTTCTTCCTTTAATGCTAGACTAAGAAGAGTTCTCAGTAACTTTTTTGTGTTGTGTGTATTCAACTCACAGAGTTGAACCTTGCTTTAGAGAGAGCAGATTTGAAACACTCTTGCTGTGGCATTTTCAGGTGGAGATTTCAAGCGTTTTGAGGACAATTGCAGAAAAGGAAATATCTTCGTATAATAACCAGACAGAATCATTCTCAGAAAGTGCTTTGTGATGTGTGCGTTCCACTCACAGAGTTTAACCTTTCTTTTCATAGAGGAGTTTGGAAACACACTGTTTGTAAAGTCTGCAAGTGGATATATGGACCGCATTGAGGCCTTCGTTGGAAACGGGATTTCTTCATTTCATGCTAGACAGAAGAATTCTCAGTAACTTCTTTGTGTTGTGTGCATTCAACTCACAGAGTGGAACGTCCCTTTAGACAGAGCAGATTTGAAACACTCTTTTTGCGGAATTTGCAAGTGGAGATTTCTAGCCATTTGATGCCAACAGTAGAAAGGGAAATATCTTCAAATAAAAACCAGACAGAATCATTCTCAGAAAATTCTTTGTGATGTGTGCGTTCAACTCACATAGTTTAACCTTTCTTTTCATAGAGCAGTTTGGAAACACTCTGTTTGTAAAGTCTGCAAGTGGATATATGGACCGCATTGAGGCCTTCGTTGGAAACGGGATTTCTTCATTTCATACTAGACAGAAGAATTCTCAGTAACTTCTTTGTGCTGTGTGTATTCAACTCACAGAGTGGAACGTCCCTTTGCACAGAGCAGATTTGAAACACTCTTTTTGTGGAGTTTGCAAGTGGAGATTTCAAGCGATTTGATGCCAACAGTAGAAAAGGAAATATCTTCAAATAAAAACTAGACAGAATCATTCTCAGAAACTACTTTGTGATGTGTGCCTTCAACTCACAGAGTTTAACCTTTCTTTTCTTAGAGCAGTTTAGAAACACTCTGCTTGTTATGTCTGCAAGTGGATATTTGGACCTCTTTGAGGCCTTCGTTGCAAACGGGGTTTCTTCCTTTCATGCTAGACTAACAAGAGTTCTCAGTAACTTTTTTGTGTTGTGTGTATTCAACTCACAGAGTTGAACCTTGCTTTAGAGAGAGCAGATTTGAAACACTCTTGCTGTGGCATTTTCAGGTGGAGATTTCAAGCGATTTGAGGACAATTGCAGAAAAGGAAATATCTTCGTATAATAACCAGACAGAATCATTCTCAGAAAGTGCTTTGTGATGTGTGCGTTCAACTCACAGAGTTTAACCTTTCTTTTCATAGAGGAGTTTGGAAACACACTGTTTGTAAAGTCTGCAATTGGATATATGGACCTGTTTGAGGCCTTCGTTGGAAACGGGATTTCTTCATTGAATGCTAGACGGAAGAATTCTCAGTAAATTCTTTGTGTTGTGTGCATTCAACTCACAGAGTGGAACGTCCCTTTAGACAGAGCAGATTTGAAACACTCTTTTTGCGGAATTTGCAAGTGGAGATTTCTAGCCATTTGATGCCAACAGTAGAAAGGGAAATATCTTCAAATAAAAACCAGACAGAATCATTCTCAGAAAATTCTTTGTGATGTGTGCGTTCAACTCACATAGTTTAACCTTTCTTTTCATAGAGCAGTTTGGAAACACTCTGTTTGTAAAGTCTGCAAGTGGATATATGGACCGCATTGAGGCCTTCGTTGGAAACGGGATTTCTTCATTTCATGCTAGACAGAAGAATTCTCAGTAACTTCTTTGTGCTGTGTGTATTCAACTCACAGAGTGGAACGTCCCTTTACACAGAGCAGATTTGAAACACTCTTTTTGTGGAGTTTGCAAGTGGAGATTTCAAGCGATTTGATGCCAGCAGTAGAAAAGGAAATATCTTCAAATAAAAACTAGACAGAATCATTCTCAGAAACTACTTTGTGATGTGTGCCTTCAACTCACAGAGTTTAACCTTTCTTTTCTTAGAGCAGTTTAGAAACACTCTGCTTGTTATGTCTGCAAGTGGATATTTGGACCTCTTTGAGGCCTTCGTTGCAAACGGGGTTTCTTCCTTTCATGCTAGACTAAGAAGAGTTCTCAGTAACTTTTTTGTGTTGTGTGTATTCAACTCACAGAGTTGAACCTTGCTTTAGAGAGAGCAGATTTGAAACACTCTTGCTGTGGCATTTTCAGTTGGAGATTTCAAGCGATTTGAGGACAATTGCAGAAAAGGAAATATCTTCGTATAACAACCAGACAGAATCATTCTCAGAGAGTGCTTTGTGATGTGTGCGTTCCACTCACAGAGTTTAACCTTTCTTTTCATAGAGGAGTTTGGAAACACACTGTTTGTAAAGTCTGCAAGTGGATATATGGACCTGTTTGAGGCCTTCGTTGGAAACGGGATTTCTTCATTGAATGCTAGACGGAAGAATTCTCAGTAAATTCTTTGTGTTGTGTGCATTCAACTGACAGAGTGGAACGTCCCTTTAGACAGAGCAGATTTGAAACACTCTTTTTGCGGAATTTGCAAGTGGAGATTTCTAGCCATTTGATGCCAACAGTAGAAAGGGAAATATCTTCAAATAAAAACCAGACAGAATCATTCTCAGAAAATTCTTTGTGATGTGTGCGTTCAACTCACATAGTTTAACCTTTCTTTTCATAGAGCAGTTTGGAAACACTCTGTTTGTAAAGTCTGCAAGTGGATATATGGACCGCATTGAGGCCTTCGTTGGAAACGGGATTTCTTCATTTCATGCTAGACAGAAGAATTCTCAGTAACTTCTTTGTGCTGTGTGTATTCAACTCACAGAGTGGAACGTCCCTTTGCACAGAGCAGATTTGAAACACTCTTTTTGTGGAGTTTGCAAGTGGAGATTTCAAGCGATTTGATGCCAACAGTAGAAAAGGAAATATCTTCAAATAAAAACTAGACAGAATCATTCTCAGAAACTACTTTGTGATGTGTGCCTTCAACTCACAGAGTTTAACCTTTCTTTTCTTAGAGCAGTTTAGAAACACTCTGCTTTTTATGTCTGCAAGTGGATATTTGGACCTCTTTGAGGCCTTCGTTGCAAACGGGGTTTCTTCCTTTAATGCTAGACTAAGAAGAATTCTCAGTAAATTCTTTGTGTGGTGTGCATTCAACTCACAGAGTGGAACGTCCCTTTAGACAGAGCAGATTTGAAACACTCTTTTTGCGGAATTTGCAAGTGGAGATTTACTAGCCATTTGATGCCAACAGTAGAAAGGGAAATATCTTCAAATAAAAACCAGACAGAATCATTCTCAGAAAATTCTTTGTGATGTGTGCGTTCAACTCACATAGTTTAACCTTTCTTTTCATAGAGCAGTTTGGAAACACTCTGTTTGTAAAGTCTGCAAGTGGATATATGGACCGCATTGAGGCCTTCGTTGGAAACGGGATTTCTTCATTTCATGCTAGACAGAAGAATTCTCAGTAACTTCTTTGTGCTGTGTGTATTCAACTCACAGAGTGGAACGTCCCTTTGCACAGAGCAGATTTGAAACACTCTTTTTGTGGAGTTTGCAAGTGGAGATTTCAAGCGATTTGATGCCAACAGTAGAAAAGGAAATATCTTCAAATAAAAACTAGACAGAATCATTCTCAGAAACTACTTTGTGATGTGTGCCTTCAACTCACAGAGTTTAACCTTTCTTTTCATAGAGCAGTTTAGAAACACTCTGCTTGTTATGTCTGCAAGTGGATATTTGGACCTCTTTGAGGCCTTCGTTGCAAACGGGGTTTCTTCCTTTCATGCTAGACTAAGAAGAGTTCTCAGTAACTTTTTTGTGTTGTGTGTATTCAACTCACAGAGTTGAACCTTGCTTTAGAGAGAGCAGATTTGAAACACTCTTGCTGTGGCATTTTCAGGTGGAGATTTCAAGCGATTTGAGGACAATTGCAGAAAAGGAAATATCTTCGTATAATAACCAGACAGAATCATTCTCAGAAAGTGCTTTGTGATGTGTGCGTTCAACTCACAGAGTTTAACCTTTCTTTTCATAGAGGAGTTTGGAAACACACTGTTTGTAAAGTCTGCAATTGGATATATGGACCTGTTTCAGGCCTTCGTTGGAAACGGGATTTCTTCATTGAATGCTAGACGGAAGAATTCTCAGTAAATTCTTTGTGTTGTGTGCATTCAACTCACAGAGTGGAACGTCCCTTTAGACAGAGCAGATTTGAAACACTCTTTTTGCGGAATTTGCAAGTGGAGATTTCTAGCCATTTGATGCCAACAGTAGAAAGGGAAATATTTTCAAATAAAAACCAGACAGAATCATTCTCAGAAAATTCTTTGTGATGTGTGCGTTCAACTCACATAGTTTAACCTTTCTTTTCATAGAGCAGTTTGGAAACACTCTGTTTGTAAAGTCTGCAAGTGGATATATGGACCGCATTGAGGCCTTCGTTGGAAACGGGATTTCTTCACTTCATGCTAGACAGAAGAATTCTCAGTAACTTCTTTGTGCTGTGTGTATTCAACTCACAGAGTGGAACGTCCCTTTACACAGAGCAGATTTGAAACACTCTTTTTGTGGAGTTTGCAAGTGGAGATTTCAAGCGATTTGATGCCAACAGTAGAAAAGGAAAT
The DNA here is from genome assembly GCF_000001405.40 of Homo sapiens. NCBI lineage: Eukaryota > Metazoa > Chordata > Mammalia > Primates > Hominidae > Homo > Homo sapiens. The sequence goes on from NC_000007.14 coordinate 60,388,535, forward strand.
ATCTTCAAATAAAAACTAGACAGAATCATTCTCAGAAACTACTTTGTGATGTGTGCCTTCAACTCACAGAGTTTAACCTTTCTTTTCTTAGAGCAGTTTAGAAACACTCTGCTTGTTATGTCTGCAAGTGGATATTTGGACCTCTTTGAGGCCTTCGTTGCAAACGGGGTTTCTTCCTTTCATGCTAGACTAAGAGAGTTCTCAGTAACTTTTTTGTGTTGTGTGTATTCAACTCACAGAGTTGAACCTTGCTTTAGAGAGAGCAGATTTGAAACACTCTTGCTGTGGCATTTTCAGGTGGAGATTTCAAGCGATTTGAGGACAATTGCAGAAAAGGAAATATCTTCGTATAACAACCAGACAGAATCATTCTCAGAAAGTGCTTTGTGATGTGTGCGTTCAACTCACAGAGTTTAACCTTTCTTTTCATAGAGGAGTTTGGAAACACACTGTTTGTAAAGTCTGCAAGTGGATATATGGACCTGTTTGAGGCCTTCGTTGGAAACGGGATTTCTTCATTGAATGCTAGACGGAAGAATTCTCAGTAAATTCTTTGTGTTGTGTGCATTCAACTGACACAGTGGAACGTCCCTTTAGACAGAGCAGATTTGAAACACTCTTTTTGCGGAATTTGCAAGTGGAGATTTCTAGCCATTTGATGCCAACAGTAGAAAGGGAAATATCTTCAAATAAAAACCAGACAGAATCATTCTCAGAAAATTCTTTGTGATGTGTGCGTTCAACTCACATAGTTTAACCTTTCTTTTCATAGAGCAGTTTGGAAACACTCTGTTTGTAAAGTCTGCAAGTGGATATATGGACCGCATTGAGGCCTTCGTTGGAAACGGGATTTCTTCATTTCATGCTAGACAGAAGAATTCTCAGTAACTTCTTTGTGCTGTGTGTATTCAACTCACAGAGTGGAACGTCCCTTTGCACAGAGCAGATTTGAAACACTCTTTTTGTGGAATTTGCAAGTGGAGATTTCAAGCGATTTGATGCCAACAGTAGAAAAGGAAATATCTTCAAATAAAAACTAGACAGAATCATTCTCAGAAACTACTTTGTGATGTGTGCCTTCAACACACAGAGTTTAACCTTTCTTTTCTTAGAGCAGTTTAGAAACACTCTGCTTGTTATGTCTGCAAGTGGATATTTGGACCTCTTTGAGGCCTTCGTTGCAAACGGGGTTTCTTCCTTTAATGCTAGACTAAGAAGAGTTCTCAGTAACTTTTTTGTGTTGTGTGTATTCAACTCACAGAGTTGAACCTTGCTTTAGAGAGAGCAGATTTGAAACACTCTTGCTGTGGCATTTTCAGGTGGAGATTTCAAGCGATTTGAGGACAATTGCAGAAAAGGAAATATCTTCGTATAATAACCAGACAGAATCATTCTCAGAAAGTGCTTTGTGATGTGTGCGTTCAACTCACAGAGTTTAACCTTTCTTTTCATAGAGGAGTTTGGAAACACACTGTTTGTAAAGTCTGCAATTGGATATATGGACCTGTTTGAGGCCTTCGTTGGAAACGGGATTTCTTCATTGCATGCTAGACGGAAGAATTCTCAGTAAATTCTTTGTGTTGTGTGCATTCAACTCACAGAGTGGAACGTCCCTTTAGACATAGCAGATTTGAAACACTCTTTTTGCGGAATTTGCAAGTGGAGATTTCTAGCCATTTGATGCCAACAGTAGAAAGGGAAATATCTTCAAATAAAAACCAGACAGAATCATTCTCAGAAAATTCTTTGTGATGTGTGCGTTCAACTCACATAGTTTAACCTTTCTTTTCATAGAGCAGTTTGGAAACACTCTGTTTGTAAAGTCTGCAAGTGGATATATGGACCGCATTGAGGCCTTCGTTGGAAACGGGATTTCTTCATTTCATGCTAGACAGAAGAATTCTCAGTAACTTCTTTGTGCTGTGTGTATTCAACTCACAGAGTGGAACGTCCCTTTACACAGAGCAGATTTGAAACACTCTTTTTGTGGAGTTTGCAAGTGGAGATTTCAAGCGATTTGATGCCAACAGTAGAAAAGGAAATATCTTCAAATAAAAACTAGACAGAATCATTCTCAGAAACTACTTTGTGATGTGTGCCTTCAACTCACAGAGTTTAACCTTTCTTTTCTTAGAGCAGTTTAGAAACACTCTGCTTGTTATGTCTGCAAGTGGATATTTGGACCTACTTTGAGGCCTTCGTTGCAAACGGGGTTTCTTCCTTTAATGCTAGACTAAGAAGAGTTCTCAGTAACTTTTTTGTGTTGTGTGTATTCAACTCACAGAGTTGAACCTTGCTTTAGAGAGAGCAGATTTGAAACACTCTTGCTGTGGCATTTTCAGGTGGAGATTTCAAGCGATTTGAGGACAATTGCAGAAAAGGAAATATCTTCGTATAACAGCCAGACAGAATCATTCTCAGAAAGTGCTTTGTGATGTGTGCGTTCAACTCACAGAGTTTAACCTTTCTTTTCATAGAGGAGTTTGGAAACACACTGTTTGTAAAGTCTGCAATTGGATATATGGACCTGTTTGAGGCCTTCGTTGGAAACGGGATTTCTTCATTGAATGCTAGACGGAAGAATTCTCAGTAAATTCTTTGTGTTGTCTGCATTCAACTCACAGAGTGGAACGTCCCTTTAGACAGAGCAGATTTGAAACACTCTTTTTGCGGAATTTGCAAGTGGAGATTTCTAGCCATTTGATGCCAACAGTAGAAAGGGAAATATCTTCAAATAAAAACCAGACAGAATCATTCTCAGAAAATTCTTTGTGATGTGTGCGTTCAACTCACATAGTTTAACCTTTCTTTTCATAGAGCAGTTTGGAAACACTCTGTTTGTAAAGTCTGCAAGTGGATATATGGACCGCATTGAGGCCTTCGTTGGAAACGGGATTTCTTCATTTCATGCTAGACAGAAGAATTCTCAGTAACTTCTTTGTGCTGTGTGTATTCAACTCACAGAGTGGAACGTCCCTTTACACAGAGCAGATTTGAAACACTCTTTTTGTGGAGTTTGCAAGTGGAGATTTCAAGCGATTTGATGCCAACAGTAGAAAAGGAAATATCTTCAAATAAAAACTAGACAGAATCATTCTCAGAAACTACTTTGTGATGTGTGCCTTCAACTCACAGAGTTTAACCTTTCTTTTCTTAGAGCAGTTTAGAAACACTCTGCTTGTTATGTCTGCAAGTGGATATTTGGACCTCTTTGAGGCCTTCGTTGCAAACGTGGTTTCTTCCTTTCATGCTAGACTAAGAAGAGTTCTCAGTAACTTTTTTGTGTTGTGTGTATTCAACTCACAGAGTTGAACCTTGCTTTAGAGAGAGCAGATGTGAAACACTCTTGCTGTGGCATTTTCAGGTGGAGATTTCAAGCGATTTGAGGACAATTGCAGAAAAGGAAATATCTTCGTATAATAACCAGACAGAATCATTCTCAGAAAGTGCTTTGTGATGTGTGCGTTCAACTCACAGAGTTTAACCTTTCTTTTCATAGAGGAGTTTGGAAACACACTGTTTGTAACGTCTGCAATTGGATATATGGACCTGTTTGAGGCCTTCGTTGGAAACGGGATTTCTTCATTGAATGCTAGACGGAAGAATTCTCAGTAAATTCTTTGTGTGGTGTGCATTCAACTCACAGAGTGGAACGTCCCTTTAGACAGAGCAGATTTGAAACACTCTTTTTGCGGAATTTGCAAGTGGAGATTTCTAGCCATTTGATGCCAACAGTAGAAAGGGAAATATCTTCAAATAAAAACCAGACAGAATCATTCTCAGAAAATTCTTTGTGATGTGTGCGTTCAACTCACATAGTTTAACCTTTCTTTTCATAGAGCAGTTTGGAAACACTCTGTTTGTAAAGTCTGCAAGTGGATATATAGACCGCATTGAGGCCTTCGTTGGAAACGGGATTTCTTCATTTCGTGCTAGACAGAAGAATTCTCAGTAACTTCTTTGTGCTGTGTGTATTCAACTCACAGAGTGGAACGTCCCTTTACACAGAGCAGATTTGAAACACTCTTTTTGTGGAGTTTGCAAGTGGAGATTTCAAGCGATTTGATGCCAACAGTAGAAAAGGAAATATCTTCAAATAAAAACTAGACAGAATCATTCTAAGAAACTACTTTGTGATGTGTGCCTTCAACTCACAGAGTTCAACCTTTCTTTTCTTAGAGCAGTTTAGAAACACTCTGCTTGTTATGTCTGCAAGTGGATATTTGGACCTCTTTGAGGCCTTCGTTGCAAACGGGGTTTCTTCCTTTCATGCTAGACTAAGAAGAGTTCTCAGTAACTTTTTTGTGTTGTGTGTATTCAACTCACAGAGTTGAACCTTGCTTTAGAGAGAGCAGATTTGAAACACTCTTGCTGTGGCATTTTCAGGTGGAGATTTCAAGCGATTTGAGGACAATTGCAGAAAAGGAAATATCTTCGTATAATAACCAGACAGAATCATTCTCAGAAAGTGCTTTGTGATGTGTGCGTTCCACTCACAGAGTTTAACCTTTCTTTTCATAGAGGAGTTTGGAAACACACTGTTTGTAAAGTCTGCAAGTGGATATATGGACCTGTTTGAGGCCTTCGTTGGAAACGGGATTTCTTCATTGAATGCTAGACGGAAGAATTCTCAGTAAATTCTTTGTGTTGTGTGCATTCAACTGACAGAGTGGAACGTCCCTTTAGACAGAGCAGATTTGAAACACTCTTTTTGCGGAATTTGCAAGTGGAGATTTCTAGCCATTTGATGCCAACAGTAGAAAGGGAAATATCTTCAAATAAAAACCAGACAGAATCATTCTCAGAAAATTCTTTGTGATGTGTGCGTTCAACTCACATAGTTTAACCTTTCTTTTCATAGAGCAGTTTGGAAACACTCTGTTTGTAAAGTCTGCAAGTGGATATATGGACCGCATTGAGGCCTTCGTTGGAAACGGGATTTCTTCATTTCATGCTAGACAGAAGAATTCTCAGTAACTTCTTTGTGCTGTGTGTATTCAACTCACAGAGTGGAACGTCCCTTTGCACAGAGCAGATTTGAAACACTCTTTTTGTGGAATTTGCAAGTGGAGATTTCAAGCGATTTGATGCCAACAGTAGAAAAGGAAATATCTTCAAATAAAAACTAGACAGAATCATTCTCAGAAACTACTTTGTGATGTGTGCCTTCAACTCACAGAGTTTAACCTTTCTTTTCTTAGAGCAGTTTAGAAACACTCTGCTTGTTATGTCTGCAAGTGGATATTTGGACCTCTTTGAGGACTTCGTTGCAAACGGGGTTTCTTCCTTTCATGCTAGACTAAGAAGAGTTCTCAGTAACTTTTTTGTGTTGTGTGTATTCAACTCACAGAGTTGAACCTTGCTTTAGAGAGAGCAGATTTGAAACACTCTTGCTGTGGCATTTTCAGGTGGAGATTTCAAGCGATTTGAGGACAATTGCAGAAAAGGAAATATCTTCGTATAATAACCAGACAGAATCATTCTCAGAAAGTGCTTTGTGATGTGTGCGTTCCACTCACAGAGTTTAACCTTTCTTTTCATAGAGGAGTTTGGAAACACACTGTTTGTAAAGTCTGCAAGTGGATATATGGACCTGTTTGAGGCCTTCGTTGGAAACGGGATTTCTTCATTGAATGCTAGACGGAAGAATTCTCAGTAAATTCTTTGTGTTGTGTGCATTCAACTCACAGAGTGGAACCGTCCCTTTAGACAGAGCAGATTTGAAACACTCTTTTTGCGGAATTTGCAAGTGGAGATTTCTAGCCATTTGATGCCAACAGTTGAAAGGGAAATATCTTCAAATAAAAACCAGACAGAATCATTCTCATAAAATTCTTTGTGATGTGTGCGTTCAACTCACATAGTTTAACCTTTCTTTTCATAGAGCAGTTTGGAAACACTCTGTTTGTAAAGTCTGCAAGTGGATATATGGACCGCATTGAGGCCTTCGTTGGAAACGGGATTTCTTCATTTCATGCTAGACAGAAGAATTCTCAGTAACTTCTTTGTGCTGTGTGTATTCAACTCACAGAGTGGAACGTCCCTTTGCACAGAGCAGATATGAAACACTCTTTTTGTGGAATTTGCAAGTGGAGATTTCAAGCGATTTGATGCCAACAGTAGAAAAGGAAATATCTTCAAATAAAAACTAGACAGAGTCATTCTCAGAAACTACTTTGTGATGTGTGCCTTCAACTCACAGAGTTTAACCTTTCTTTTCTTAGAGCAGTTTAGAAACACTCTGCTTGTTATGTCTGCAAGTGGATATTTGGACCTTCTTTGAGGCCTTCGTTGCAAACGGGGTTTCTTCCTTTCATGCTAGACTAAGAAGAGTTCTCAGTAACTTTTTTGTGTTGTGTGTATTCAACTCACAGAGTTGAACCTTGCTTTAGAGAGAGCAGATTTGAAACACTCTTGCTGTGGCATTTTCAGGTGGAGATTTCAAGCGTTTTGAGGACAATTGCAGAAAAGGAAATATCTTCGTATAATAACCAGACAGAATCATTCTCAGAAAGTGCTTTGTGATGTGTGCGTTCAACTCACAGAGTTTAACTTTTCTTTCCATAGAGGAGTTTGGAAACACACTGTTTGTAAAGTCTGCAAGTGGATATATGGACCTGTTTGAGGCCTTCGTTGGAAACGGGATTTCTTCATTGAATGCTAGACGGAAGAATTCTCAGTAAATTCTTTGTGTTGTGTGCATTCAACTCACAGAGTGGAACGTCCCTTTAGACAGAGCAGATTTGAAACACTCTTTTTGCGGAATTTGCAAGTGGAGATTTCTAGCCATTTGATGCCAACAGTAGAAAGGGAAATATCTTCAAATAAAAACCAGACAGAATCATTCTCAGAAAATTCTTTGTGATGTGTGCGTTCAACTCACATAGTTTAACCTTTCTTTTCATAGAGCAGTTTGGAAACACTCTGTTTGTAAAGTCTGCAAGTGGATATATGGACCGCATTGAGGCCTTCGTTGGAAACGGGATTTCTTCATTTCATGCTAGACAGAAGAATTCTCAGTAACTTCTTTGTGCTGTGTGTATTCAACTCACAGAGTGGAACGTCCCTTTGCACAGAGCAGATTTGAAACACTCTTTTTGTGGAGTTTGCTAGTGGAGATTTCAAGCGATTTGATGCCAACAGTAGAAAAGGAAATATCTTCAAATAAAAACTAGACAGAATCATTCTCAGAAACTACTTTGTGATGTGTGCCTTCAACTCACAGAGTTTAACCTTTCTTTTCTTAGAGCAGTTTAGAAACACTCTGCTTGTTATGTCTGCAAGTGGATATTTGGACCTCTTTGAGGCCTTCGTTGCAAACGGGGTTTCTTCCTTTCATGCTAGACTAAGAAGAGTTCTCAGTAACTTTTTTGTGTTGTGTGTATTCAACTCACAGAGTTGAACCTGGCTTTAGAGAGAGCAGATTTGAAACACTCTTGCTGTGGCATTTTCAGGTGGAGATTTCAAGCGATTTGAGGACAATTGCAGAAAAGGAAATATCTTCGTATAATAACCAGACAGAATCATTCTCAGAAAGTGCTTTGTGATGTGTGCGTTCAACTCACAGAGTTTAACCTTTCTTTTCATAGAGGAGTTTGGAAACACACTGTTTGTAAAGTCTGCAAGTGGATATATGGACCTGTTTGAGGCCTTCGTTGGAAACGGGATTTCTTCATTGAATGCTAGACGGAAGAATTCTCAGTAAATTCTTTGTGTTGTGTGCATTCAACTCACAGAGTGGAACGTCCCTTTAGACAGAGCAGATTTGAAACACTCTTTTTGCGGAATTTGCAAGTGGAGATTTCTAGCCATTTGATGCCAACAGTAGAAAGGGAAATATCTTCAAATAAAAACCAGACAGAATCATTCTCAGAAAATTCTTTGTGATGTGTGCGTTCAACTCACATAGTTTAACCTTTCTTTTCATAGAGCAGTTTGGAAACACTCTGTTTGTAAAGTCTGCAAGTGGATATATGGACCGCATTGAGGCCTTCGTTGGAAACGGGATTTCTTCATTTCATGCGAGACAGAAGAATTCTCAGTAACTTCTTTGTGCTGTGTGTACTCAACTCACAGAGTGGAACGTCCCTTTGCACAGAGCAGATTTGAAACACTCCTTCTGTGGAGTTTGCAAGTGGAGATTTCAAGCGATTTGATGCCAACAGTAGAAAAGGAAATATCTTCAAATAAAAACTAGACAGAATCATTCTCAGAAACTACTTTGTGATGTCTGCCTTCAACTCACAGAGTTTAACCTTTCTTTTCTTAGAGCAGTTTAGAAACACTCTGCTTGTTATGTCTGCAAGTGGATATTTGGACCTCTTTGAGGCCTTCGTTGCAAACGGGGTTTCTTCCTTTCATGCTAGACTAAGAAGAGTTCTCAGTAACTTTTTTGTGTTGTGTGTATTCAACTCACAGAGTTGAACCTTGCTTTAGAGAGAGCAGATTTGAAACACTCTTGCTGTGGCATTTTCAGGTGGAGATTTCAAGCGATTTGAGGACAATTGCAGAAAAGGAAATATCTTCGTATAATAACCAGACAGAATCATTCTCAGAAAGTGCTTTGTGATGTGTGCGTTCCACTCACAGAGTTTAACCTTTCTTTTCATAGAGGAGTTTGGAAACACACTGTTTGTAAAGTCTGCAAGTGGATATATGGACCTGTTTGAGGCCTTCGTTGGAAACGGGATTTCTTCATTGAATGCTAGGCGGAAGAATTCTCAGTAAATTCTTTGTGTTGTGTGCATTCAACTCACAGAGTGGAACGTCCCTTTAGACAGAGCAGATTTGAAACACTCTTTTTGCGGAATTTGCAAGTGGAGATTTCTAGCCATTTGATGCCAACAGTAGAAAGGGAAATATCTTCAAATAAAAACCAGACAGAATCATTCTCAGAAAATTCTTTGTGATGTGTGCGTTCAACTCACATAGTTTAACCTTTCTTTTCATAGAGCAGTTTGGAAACACTCTGTTTGTAAAGTCTGCAAGTGGATATATGGACCGCATTGAGGCCTTCGTTGGAAACGGGATTTCTTCATTTCATGCTAGACAGAAGAATTCTCAGTAACTTCTTTGTGCTGTGTGTATTCAACTCACAGAGTGGAACGTCCCTTTGCACAGAGCAGATTTGAAACACTCTTTTTGTGGAATTTGCAAGTGGAGATTTCAAGCGATTTGATGCCAACAGTAGAAAAGGAAATATCTTCAAATAAAAACTAGACAGAATCATTCTCAGAAACTACTTTGTGATGTGTGCCTTCAACTCACAGAGTTTAACCTTTCTTTTCTTAGAGCAGTTTAGAAACACTCTGCTTGTTATGTCTGCAAGTGGATATTTGGACCTCTTTGAGGCCTTCGTTGCCAACGGGGTTTCTTCCTTTCATGCTAGACTAAGAAGAGTTCTCAGTAACTTTTTTGTGTTGTGTGTATTCAACTCACAGAGCTGAACCTTGCTTTAGAGAGAGCAGATTTGAAACACTCTTGCTGTGGCATTTTCAGGTGGAGATTTCAAGCGATTTGAGGACAATTGCAGAAAAGGAAATATCTTCGTATAACAACCAGACAGAATCATTCTCAGAAAGTGCTTTGTGATGTGTGCGTTCCACTCACAGAGTTTAACCTTTCTTTTCATAGAGGAGTTTGGAAACACACTGTTTGTAAAGTCTGCAAGTGGATATATGGACCTGTTTGAGGCCTTCGTTGGAAACGGGATTTCTTCATTGAATGCTAGACGGAAGAATTCTCAGTAAATTCTTTGTGTTGTGTGCATTCAACTCACAGAGTGGAACGTCCCTTTAGACAGAGCAGATTTGAAACACTCTTTTTGCGGAATTTGCAAGTGGAGATTTCTAGCCATTTGATGCCAACAGTAGAAAGGGAAATATCTTCAAATAAAAACCAGACAGAATCATTCTCAGAAAATTCTTTGTGATGTGTGCGTTCAACTCACATAGTTTAACCTTTCTTTTCATAGAGCAGTTTGGAAACACTCTGTTTGTAAAGTCTGCAAGTGGATATATGGACCGCATTGAGGCCTTCGTTGGAAACGGGATTTCTTCATTTCATGCTAGACAGAAGAATTCTCAGTAACTTCTTTGTGCTGTGTGTATTCAACTCACAGAGTGGAACGTCCCTTTACACAGAGCAGATTTGAAACACTCTTTTTGTGGAGTTTGCAAGTGGAGATTTCAAGCGATTTGATGCCAACAGTAGAAAAGGAAATATCTTCAAATAAAAACTAGACAGAATCATTCTCAGAAACTACTTTGTGATGTGTGCCTTCAACTCACAGAGTTTAACCTTTCTTTTCTTAGAGCAGTTTAGAAACACTCTGCTTGTTATGTCTGCAAGTGGATATTTGGACCTCTTTGAGGCCTTCGTTGCAAACGGGGTTTCTTCCTTTCATGCTAGACTAAGAAGAGTTCTCAGTAACTTTTTTGTGTTGTGTGTATTCAACTCACAGAGTTGAACCTTGCTTTAGAGAGAGCAGATTTGAAACACTCTTGCTGTGGCATTTTCAGGTGGAGATTTCAAGCGATTTGAGGACAATTGCAGAAAAGGAAATATCTTCGTATAACAACCAGACAGAATCATTCTCAGAAAGTGCTTTGTGATGTGTGCGTTCCACTCACAGAGTTTAACCTTTCTTTTCATAGAGGAGTTTGGAAACACACTGTTTGTAAAGTCTGCAAGTGGATATATGGACCTGTTTGAGGCCTTCGTTGGAAACGGGATTTCTTCATTGAATGCTAGACGGAAGAATTCTCAGTAAATTCTTTGTGTTGTGTGCATTCAACTCACAGAGTGGAACGTCCCTTTAGACAGAGCAGATTTGAAACACTCTTTTTGCGGAATTTGCAAGTGGAGATTTCTAGCCATTTGATGCCAACAGTAGAAAGGGAAATATCTTCAAATAAAAACCAGACAGAATCATTCTCAGAAAATTCTTTGTGATGTGTGCGTTCAACTCACATAGTTTAACCTTTCTTTTCATAGAGCAGTTTGGAAACACTCTGTTTGTAAAGTCTGCAAGTGGATATATGGACCGCATTGAGGCCTTCGTTGGAAACGGGATTTCTTCATTTCATGCTAGACAGAAGAATTCTCAGTAACTTCTTTGTGTTGTGTGTATTCAACTCACAGGGTGGAACGTCCCTTTACACAGAGCAGATTTGAAACACTCTTTTTGTGGAATTTGCAAGTGGAGATTTCAAGCGATTTGATGCCAGCAATAGAAAAGGAAATATCTTCAAATAAAAACTAGACAGAAATCATTCTCAGAAACTACTTTGTGATGTGTGCCTTCAACTCACAGAGTTTAACCTTTCTTTTCTTAGAGCAGGTTAGAAACACTCTGCTTGTTATGTCTGCAAGTGGATATTTGGACCTCTTTGAGGCCTTCGTTGCAAACGGGGTTTCTTCCTTTCATGCTAGACTAAGAAGAGTTCTCAGTAACTTTTTTGTGTTGTGTGTATTCAACTCACAGAGTTGAACCTTGCTTTAGAGAGAGCAGATTTGAAACACTCTTGCTGTGGCATTTTCAGGTGGAGATTTCAAGCGATTTGAGGACAATTGCAGAAAAGGAAATATCTTCGTATAACAACCAGACAGAATCATTCTCAGAAAGTGCTTTGTGATGTGTGCGTTCCACTCACAGAGTTTAACCTTTCTTTTCATAGAGGAGTTTGGAAACACACTGTTTGTAAAGTCTGCAAGTGGATATATGGACCTGTTTGAGGCCTTCGTTGGAAACGGGATTTCTTCATTGAATGCTAGACGGAAGAATTCTCAGTAAATTCTTTGTGTTGTGTGCATTCAACTCACAGAGTGGAACGTCCCTTTAGACAGAGCAGATTTGAAACACTCTTTTTGCGGAATTTGCAAGTGGAGATTTCTAGCCATTTGATGCCAACAGTAGAAAGGGAAATATCTTCAAATAAAAACCAGACAGAATCATTCTCAGAAAATTCTTTGTGATGTGTGCGTTCAACTCACAGTTTAACCTTTCTTTTCATAGAGCAGTTTGGAAACACTCTGTTTGTAAAGTCTGCAAGTGGATATATGGACCGCATTGAGGCCTTCGTTGGAAACGGGATTTCTTCATTTCATGCTAGACAGAAGAATTCTCAGTAACTTCTTTGTGCTGTGTGTATTCAACTCACAGAGTGGAACGTCCCTTTACACAGAGCAGATTTGAAACACTCTTTTTGTGGAGTTTGCAAGTGGAGATTTCAAGCGATTTGATGCCAACAGTAGAAAAGGAAATATCTTCAAATAAAAACTAGACAGAATCATTCTCAGAAACTACTTTGTGATGTGTGCCTTCAACTCACAGAGTTTAACCTTTCTTTTCTTAGAGCAGTTTAGAAACACTCTGCTTGTTATGTCTGCAAGTGGATATTTGGACCTCTTTGAGGCCTTCGTTGCAAACGGGGTTTCTTCCTTTCATGCTAGACTAAGAAGAGTTCTCAGTAACTTTTTTGTGTTGTGTGTATTCAACTCACAGAGTTGAACCTTGCTTTAGAGAGAGCAGATTTGAAACACTCTTGCTGTGGCATTTTCAGCTGGAGATTTCAAGCGACTTGAGGACAATTGCAGAAAAGGAAATATCTTCGTATAATAACCAGACAGAATCATTCTCAGAAAGTGCTTTGTGATGTGTGCATTCAACTCACAGAGTTTAACCTTTCTTTTCATAGAGGAGTTTGGAAACACACTGTTTGTAAAGACTGCAAGTGGATATATGGACCTGTTTGAGGCCTTCGTTGGAAACGGGATTTCTTCATTGAATGCTAGACGGAAGAATTCTCAGTAAATTCTTTGTGTTGTGTGCATTCAACTCACAGAGTGGAACGTCCCTTTAGACAGAGCAGATTTGAAACACTCTTTTTGCGGAATTTGCAAGTGGAGATTTCTAGCCATTTGATGCCAACAGTAGAAAGGGAAATATCTTCAAATAAAAACCAGACAGAATCATTCTCAGAAAATTCTTTGTGATGTGTGCGTTCAACTCACATAGTTTAACCTTTCTTTTCATAGAGCAGTTTGGAAACACTCTGTTTGTAAAGTCTGCAAGTGGATATATGGACCGCATTGAGGCCTTCGTTGGAAACGGGATTTCTTCATTTCATGCTAGACAGAAGAATTCCTCAGTAACTTCTTTGTGCTGTGTGTATTCAACTCACAGAGTGGAACGTCCCTTTGCACAGAGCAGATTTGAAACACTCTTTTTGTGGAATTTGCAAGTGGAGATTTCAAGCGATTTGATGCCAACAGTAGAAAAGGAAATATCTTCAAATAAAAACTAGACAGAATCATTCTCAGAAACTACTTTGTGATGTGTGCCTTCAACTCACAGAGTTTAACCTTTCTTTTCTTAGAGCAGTTTAGAAACACTCTGCTTGTTATGTCTGCAAGTGGATATTTGGACCTCTTTGAGGCCTTCGTTGCAAACGGGGTTTCTTCCTTTCATGCTAGACTAAGAAGAGTTCTCAGTAACTTTTTTGCGTTGTGTGTATTCAACTCACAAAGTTGAACCTTGCTTTAGAGAGAGCAGATTTGAAACACTCTTGCTGTGGCATTTTCAGGTGGAGATTTCAAGCGATTTGAGGACAATTGCAGAAAAGGAAATATCTTCGTATAACAACCAGACAGAATCATTCTCAGAAAGTGCTTTGTGATGTGTGCGTTCAACTCACAGAGTTTAACCTTTCTTTTCATAGAGGAGTTTGGAAACACACTGTTTGTAAAGTCTGCAATTGGATATATGGACCTGTTTGAGGCCTTCGTTGGAAACGGGATTTCTTCATTGAATGCTAGACGGAAGAATTCTCAGTAAATTCTTTGTGTGGTGTGCATTCAACTCACAGAGTGGAACGTCCCTTTAGACAGAGCAGATTTGAAACACTCTTTTTGCGGAATTTGCAAGTGGAGATTTCTAGCCATTTGATGCCAACAGTAGAAAGGGAAATATCTTCAAATAAAAACCAGACAGAATCATTCTCAGAAAATTCTTTGTGATGTGTGCGTTCAACTCACATAGTTTAACCTTTCTTTTCATAGAGCAGTTTGGAAACACTCTGTTTGTAAAGTCTGCAAGTGGATATATGGACCGCATTGAGGCCTTCGTTGGAAACGGGATTTCTTCATTTCATGCTAGACAGAAGAATTCTCAGTAACTTCTTTGTGCTGTGTGTATTCAACTCACAGAGTGGAACGTCCCTTTACACAGAGCAGATTTGAAACACTCTTTTTGTGGAGTTTGCAAGTGGAGATTTCAAGCGATTTGATGCCAACAGTAGAAAAGGAAATATCTTCAAATAAAAACTAGACAGAATCATTCTCAGAAACTACTTTGTGATGTGTGCCTTCAACTCACAGAGTTTAACCTTTCTTTTCTTAGAGCAGTTTAGAAACACTCTGCTTGTTATGTCTGCAAGTGGATATTTGGACCTCTTTGAGGCCTTCTTTGCAAACGGGGTTTCTTCCTTTCATGCTAGACTAAGAAGAGTTCTCAGTAACTTTTTTGTGTTGTGTGTATTCAACTCACAGAGCTGAACCTTGCTTTAGAGAGAGCAGATTTGAAACACTCTTGCTGTGGCATTTTCAGGTGGAGATTTCAAGCGATTTGAGGACAATTGCAGAAAAGGAAATATCTTCGTATAACAACCAGACAGAATCATTCTCAGAAAGTGCTTTGTGATGTGTGGGTTCAACTCACAGAGTTTAACCTTTCTTTTCATAGAGGAGTTTGGAAACACACTGTTTGTAAAGTCTGCAATTGGATATATGGACCTGTTTGAGGCCTTCGTTGGAAACGGGATTTCTTCATTGACTGCTAGACAGAAGAATTCTCAGTAAATTCTTTGTGTTGTGTGCATTCAACTCACAGAGTGGAACGTCCCTTTAGACAGAGCAGATTTGAAACACTCTTTTTGCGGAATTTGCAAGTGGAGATTTCTAGCCATTTGATGCCAACAGTAGAAAGGGAAATATCTTCAAATAAAAACCAGACAGAATCATTCTCAGAAAATTCTTTGTGATGTGTGCGTTCAACTCACATAGTTTAACCTTTCTTTTCATAGAGCAGTTTGGAAACACTCTGTTTGTAAAGTCTGCAAGTGGATATATGGACCGCATTGAGGCCTTCGTTGGAAACGGGATTTCTTCATTTCATGCTAGACAGAAGAATTCTCAGTAACTTCTTTGTGCTGTGTGTATTCAACTCACAGAGTGGAACGTCCCTTTGCACAGAGCAGATTTGAAACACTCTTTTTGTGGAGTTTGCAAGTGGAGATTTCAAGCGATTTGATGCCAACAGTAGAAAAGGAAATATCTTCAAATAAAAACTAGACAGAATCATTCTCAGAAACTACTTTGTGATGTGTGCCTTCAACTCACAGAGTTTAACCTTTCTTTTCTTAGAGCAGTTTAGAAACACTCTGCTTGTTATGTCTGCAAGTGGATATTTGGACCTCTTTGAGGCCTTCGTTGCAAACGGGGTTTCTTCCTTTAATGCTAGACTAAGAAGAGTTCTCAGTAACTTTTTTGTGTTGTGTGTATTCAACTCACAGAGTTGAACCTTGCTTTAGAGAGAGCAGATTTGAAACACTCTTGCTGTGGCATTTTCAGGTGGAGATTTCAAGCGTTTTGAGGACAATTGCAGAAAAGGAAATATCTTCGTATAATAACCAGACAGAATCATTCTCAGAAAGTGCTTTGTGATGTGTGCGTTCCACTCACAGAGTTTAACCTTTCTTTTCATAGAGGAGTTTGGAAACAAACTGTTTGTAAACTCTGCAAGTGGATATATGGACCTGTTTGAGGCCTTTGTTGGAAACGGGATTTCTTCATTGAATGCTAGACGGAAGAATTCTCAGTAAATTCTTTGTGTTGTGTGCATTCAACTCACAGAGTAGAACGTCCCTTTAGGCAGAGCAGATTTGAAACACTCTTTTTGCGGAATTTGCAAGTGGAGATTTCTAGCCATTTGATGCCAACAGTAGAAAGGGAAATATCTTCAAATAAAAACCAGACAGAATCATTCTCAGAAAATTCTTTGTGATGTGTGCGTTCAACTCACATAGTTTAACCTTTCTTTTCATAGAGCAGTTTGGAAACACTCTGTAAAGTCTGCAAGTGGATATATGGACCGCATTGAGGCCTTCGTTGGAAACGGGATTTCTTCATTTCATGCTAGACAGAAGAATTCTCAGTAACTTCTTTGTGCTGTGTGTATTCAACTCACAGAGTGGAACGTCCCTTTACACAGAGCAGATTTGAAACACTCTTTTTGTGGAGTTTGCAAGTGGAGATTTCAAGCGATTTGATGCCAACAGTAGAAAAGGAAATATCTTCAAATAAAAACTAGACAGAATCATTCTCAGAAACTACTTTGTGATGTGTGCCTTCAACTCACAGAGTTTAACCTTTCTTTTCTTAGAGCAGTTTAGAAACACTCTGCTTGTTATGTCTGCAAGTGGATATTTGGACCTCTTTGAGGCCTTCGTTGCAAAAGGGGTTTCTTCCTTTAATGCTAGACTAAGAAGAGTTCTCAGTAACTTTTTTGTGTTGTGTGTATTCAACTCACAGAGTTGAACCTTGCTTTAGAGAGAGCAGATTTGAAACACTCTCGCTGTGGAATTTTCAGGTGGAGATTTCAAGCGATTTGAGGACAATTGCAGAAAAGGAAATATCTTCGTATAATAACCAGACAGAATCATTCTCAGAAAGTGCTTTGTGATGTGTGCGTTCAACTCACAGAGTTTAACCTTTCTTTTCATAGAGGAGTTTGGAAACACACTGTTTGTAAAGTCTGCAATTGGATATATGGACCTGTTTGAGGCCTTCGTTGGAAACGGGATTTCTTCATTGCATGCTAGACGGAAGAATTCTCAGTAAATTCTTTGTGTGGTGTGCATTCAACTCACAGAGTGGAACGTCCCTTTAGACAGAGCAGATTTGAAACACTCTTTTTGTGGAATTTGCAAGTGGAGATTTCAAGCGATTTGATGCCAACAGTAGAAAAGGAAATATCTTCAAATAAAAACTAGACAGAATCATTCTCAGAAACTACTTTGTGATGTGTGCCTTCAACTCACAGAGTTTAACCTTTCTTTTCTTAGAGCAGTTTAGAAACACTCTGCTTGTTATGTCTGCAAGTGGATATTTGGACCTCTTTGAGGCCTTCGTTGCAAACGGGGTTTCTTCCTTTCATGCTAGACTAAGAAGAGTTCTCAGTAACTTTTTTGTGTTGTGTGTATTTAACTCACAGAGTTGAACCTTGCTTTAGAGAGAGCAGATTTGAAACACTCTTGCTGTGGCATTTTCAGGTGGAGATTTCAAGCGATTTGAGGACAATTGCAGAAAAGGAAATATCTTCGTATAATAACCAGACAGAATCATTCTCAGAAAGTGCTTTGTGATGTGTGCGTTCAACTCACAGAGTTTAACCTTTCTTTTCATAGAGGAGTTTGGAAACACACTGTTTGTAAAGTCTGCAAGTGGATATATGGACCTGTTTGAGGCCTTCGTTGGAAACGGGATTTCTTCATTGAATGCTAGACGGAAGAATTCTCAGTAAATTCTTTGTGTTGTGTGCATTCAACTCACAGAGTGGAACCGTCCCTTTAGACAGAGCAGATTTGAAACACTCTTTTTGCGGAATTTGCAAGTGGAGATTTCTAGCCATTTGATGCCAACAGTTGAAAGGGAAATATCTTCAAATAAAAACCAGACAGACAATCATTCTCAGAAAATTCTTTGTGATGTGTGCGTTCAACTCACATAGTTTAACCTTTCTTTTCATAGAGCAGTTTGGGAACACTCTGTTGGTAATGTCTGCAAGTGGATATATGGACCGCTTTGAGGCCTTCGTTGGAAACGGGATTTCTTCATTTCATGCTAGACAGAAGAATTCTCAGTAACTTCTTTGTGCTGTGTGTATTCAACTCACAGAGTGGAACGTCCCTTTACACAGAGCAGATTTGAAACACTCTTTTTGTGGAGTTTGCAAGTGGAGATTTCAAGCGATTTGATGCCAACAGTAGAAAAGGAAATATCTTCAAATAAAAACTAGACAGAATCATTCTCAGAAACTACTTTGTGATGTGTGCCTTCAACTCACAGAGTTTAACCTTTCTTTTCTTAGAGCAGTTTAGAAACACTCTGCTTGTTATGTCTGCAAGTGGATATTTGGACCTCTTTGAGGCCTTCGTTGCAAACGGGGTTTCTTCCGTTCATGCTAGACTAAGAAGAGTTCTCAGTAACTTTTTTGTGTTGTGTGTATTCAACTCACAGAGTTGAACCTTGCTTTAGAGAGAGCAGATTTGAAACACTCTTGCTGTGGCATTTTCAGGTGGAGATTTCAAGCGATTTGAGGACAATTGCAGAAAAGGAAATATCTTCGTATAACAACCAGACAGAATCATTCTCAGAAAGTGCTTTGTGATGTGTGCGTTCAACTCACAGAGTTTAACCTTTCTTTTCATAGAGGAGTTTGGAAACACACTGTTTGTAAAGTCTGCAATTGGATATATGGACCTGTTTGAGGCCTTCGTTGGAAACGGGATTTCTTCATTGAATGCTAGACGGAAGAATTCTCAGTAAATTCTTTGTGTTGTGTGCATTCAACTCACAGAGTGGAACGTCCCTTTAGACAGAGCAGATTTGAAACACTCTTTTTGCGGAATTTGCAAGTGGAGATTTCTAGCCATTTGATGCCAACAGTAGAAAGGGAAATATCTTCAAATAAAAACCAGACAGAATCATTCTCAGAAAATTCTTTGTGATGTGTGCGTTCAACTCACATAGTTTAACCTTTCTTTTCATAGAGCAGTTTGGAAACACTCTGTTTGTAAAGTCTGCAAGTGGATACATGGACCGCATTGAGGCCTTCGTTGGAAACGGGATTTCTTCATTTCATGCTAGACAGAAGAATTCTCAGTAACTTCTTTGTGCTGTGTGTATTCAACTCACAGAGTGGAACGTCCCTTTGCACAGAGCAGATTTGAAACACTCTTTTTGTGGAATTTGCAAGTGGAGATTTCAAGCGATTTGATGCCAACAGTAGAAAAGGAAATATCTTCAAATAAAAACTAGACAGAATCATTCTCAGAAACTACTTTGTGATGTGTGCCTTCAACTCACAGAGTTTAACCTTTCTTTTCTTAGAGCAGTTTAGAAACACTCTGCTTGTTATGTCTGCAAGTGGATATTTGGACCTCTTTGAGGCCTTCGTTGCAAACGGGGTTTCTTCCTTTAATGCTAGACTAAGAAGAGTTCTCAGTAACTTTTTTGTGTTGTGTGTATTCAACTCACAGAGTTGAACCTTGCTTTAGAGAGAGCAGATTTGAAACACTCTTGCTGTGGCATTTTCAGGTGGAGATTTCAAGCGATTTGAGGACAATTACAGAAAAGGAAATATCTTCGTATAACAACCAGACAGAATCATTCTCAGAAAGTGCTTTGTGATGTGTGCGTTCAACTCACAGAGTTTAACCTTTCTTTTCATAGAGGAGTTTGGAAACACACTGTTTGTAAAGTCTGCAAGTGGATATATGGACCTGTTTGAGGCCTTCGTTGGAAACGGGATTTCTTCATTGAATGCTAGACGGAAGAATTCTCAGTAAATTCTTTGTGTTGTGTGCATTCAACTCACAGAGTGGAACGTCCCTTTAGACAGAGCAGATTTGAAACACTCTTTTTGCGGAATTTGCAAGTGGAGATTTCTAGCCATTTGATGGCCAACAGTAGAAAGGGAAATATCTTCAAATAAAAACCAGACAGAATCATTCTCAGAAAATTCTTTGTGATGTGTGCGTTCAACTCACATAGTTTAACCTTTCTTTTCATAGAGCAGTTTGGAAACACTCTGTTTGTAAAGTCTGCAAGTGGATATATGGACCGCATTGAGGCCTTCGTTGGAAACGGGATTTCTTCATTTCATGCTAGACAGAAGAATTCTCAGTAACTTCTTTGTGCTGTGTGTATTCAACTCACAGAGTGGAACGTCCCTTTGCACAGAGCAGATTTGAAACACTCTTTTTGTGGAATTTGCAAGTGGAGATTTCAAGCGATTTGATGCCAACAGTAGAAAAGGAAATATCTTCAAATAAAAACTAGACAGAATCATTCTCAGAAACTACTTTGTGATGTGTGCCTTCAACTCACAGAGTTTAACCTTTCTTTTCTTAGAGCAGTTTAGAAACACTCTGCTTGTTATGTCTGCAAGTGGATATTTGGACCTCTTTGAGGCCTTCGTTGCAAACGGGGTTTCTTCCTTTCATGCTAGACTAACAAGAGTTCTCAGTAACTTTTTTGTGTTGTGTGTATTCAACTCACAGAGTTGAACCTTGCTTTAGAGAGAGCAGATTTGAAACACTCTTGCTGTGGCATTTTCAGGTGGAGATTTCAAGCGATTTGAGGACAATTGCAGAAAAGGAAATATCTTCGTATAATAACCAGACAGAATCATTCTCAGAAAGTGCTTTGTGATGTGTGCGTTCAACTCACAGAGTTTAACTTTTCTTTCCATAGAGGAGTTTGGAAACACACTGTTTGTAAAGTCTGCAAGTGGATATATGGACCTGTTTGAGGCCTTCGTTGGAAACGGGATTTCTTCATTGAATGCTAGACGGAAGAATTCTCAGTAAATTCTTTGTGTTGTGTGCATTCAACTCACAGAGTGGAACGTCCCTTTAGACAGAGCAGATTTGAAACACTCTTTTTGCGGAATTTGCAAGTGGAGATTTCTAGCCATTTGATGCCAACAGTAGAAAGGGAAATATCTTCAAATAAAAACCAGACAGAATCATTCTCAGAAAATTCTTTGTGATGTGTGCGTTCAACTCACATAGTTTAACCTTTCTTTTCATAGAGCAGTTTGGAAACACTCTGTTTGTAAAGTCTGCAAGTGGATATATGGACCGCATTGAGGCCTTCGTTGGAAACGGGATTTCTTCATTTCATGCTAGACAGAAGAATTCTCAGTAACTTCTTTGTGCTGTGTGTATTCAACTCACAGAGTGGAACGTCCCTTTACACAGAGCAGATTTGAAACACTCTTTTTGTGGAGTTTGCAAGTGGAGATTTCAAGCGATTTGATGCCAACCGTAGAAAAGGAAATATCTTCAAATAAAAACTAGACAGAATCATTCTCAGAAACTACTTTGTGATGTGTGCCTTCAACTCACAGAGTTTAACCTTTCTTTTCTTAGAGCAGTTTAGAAACACTCTGCTTGTTATGTCTGCAAGTGGATATTTGGACCTCTTTGAGGCCTTCGTTGCAAACGGGGTTTCTTCCTTTAATGCTAGACTAAGAAGAGTTCTCAGTAACTTTTTTGTGTTGTGTGTATTCAACTCACAGAGTTGAACCTTGCTTTAGAGAGAGCAGATTTGAAACACTCTTGCTGTGGCATTTTCAGGTGGAGATTTCAAGCGATTTGAGGACAATTGCAGAAAAGGAAATATCTTCGTATAATAACCAGACAGAATCATTCTCAGAAAGTGCTTTGTGATGTGTGCGTTCAACTCACAGAGTTTAACCTTTCTTTTCTTAGAGGAGCTTGGAAACACACTGTTTGTAAAGTCTGCAATTGGATATATAGACCTGTTTGAGGCCTCCGTTGGAAACGGAATTTCTTCATTGAATGCTAGACGGAAGAATTCTCAGTAAATTCTTCGTGTTGTGTGCATTCAACTCACAGAGTGGAACGTCCCTTTAGACAGAGCAGATTTGAAACACTCTTTTTGCGGAATTTGCAAGTGGAGATTTCTAGCCATTTGATGCCAACAGTAGAAAGGGAAATATCTTCAAATAAAAACCAGACAGAATCATTCTCAGAAAATTCTTTGTGATGTGTGCGTTCAACTCACATAGTTTAACCTTTCTTTTCATAGAGCAGTTTGGAAACACTCTGTTTGTAAAGTCTGCAAGTGGATATATAGACCGCATTGAGGCCTTCGTTGGAAACGGGATTTCTTCATTTCGTGCTAGACAGAAGAATTCTCAGTAACTTCTTTGTGCTGTGTGTATTCAACTCACAGAGTGGAACGTCCCTTTACACAGAGCAGATTTGAAACACTCTTTTTGTGGAGTTTGCAAGTGGAGATTTCAAGCGATTTGATGCCAGCAGTAGAAAAGGAAATATCTTCAAATAAAAACTAGACAGAATCATTCTCAGAAACTACTTTGTGATGTGTGCCTTCAACTCACAGAGTTTAACCTTTCTTTTCTTAGAGCAGTTTAGAAACACTCTGCTTGTTATGTCTGCAAGTGGATATTTGGACCTCTTTGAGGCCTTCGTTGCAAACGGGGTTTCTTCCTTTCATGCTAGACTAAGAAGAGTTCTCAGTAACTTTTTTGTGTTGTGTGTATTCAACTCACAGAGTTGAACCTTGCTTTAGAGAGAGCAGATTTGAAACACTCTTGCTGTGGCATTTTCAGGTGGAGATTTCAAGCGATTTGAGGACAATTGCAGAAAAGGAACTACTTCGTATAATAACCAGACAGAATCATTCTCAGAAAGTGCTTTGTGATGTGTGCGTTCAACTCACAGAGTTTAACCTTTCTTTTCATAGAGGAGTTTGGAAACACACTGTTTGTAAAGTCTGCAATTGGATATA
This sequence comes from Homo sapiens, assembly GCF_000001405.40. Taxonomy (NCBI): domain Eukaryota; kingdom Metazoa; phylum Chordata; class Mammalia; order Primates; family Hominidae; genus Homo; species Homo sapiens. Next base: position 60,411,158 of record NC_000007.14, read on the forward strand.
TGGACCTGTTTGAGGCCTTCGTTGGAAACGGGATTTCTTCATTGAATGCTAGACGGAAGAATTCTCAGTAAATTCTTTGTGTTGTGTGCATTCAACTCACAGAGTGGAACGTCCCTTTAGACAGAGCAGATTTGAAACACTCTTTTTGCGGAATTTGCAAGTGGAGATTTCTAGCCATTTGATGCCAACAGTAGAAAGGGAAATATCTTCAAATAAAAACCAGACAGAATCATTCTCAGAAAATTCTTTGTGATGTGTGCGTTCAACTCACATAGTTTAACCTTTCTTTTCATAGAGCAGTTTGGAAACACTCTGTTTGTAAAGTCTGCAAGTGGATATATGGACCGCATTGAGGCCTTCGTTGGAAACGGGATTTCTTCATTTCATGCTAGACAGAAGAATTCTCAGTAACTTCTTTGTGCTGTGTGTACTCAACTCACAGAGTGGAACGTCCCTTTGCACAGAGCAGATTTGAAACACTCTTTTTGTGGAGTTTGCAAGTGGAGATTTCAAGCGATTTGATGCCAACAGTAGAAAAGGAAATATCTTCAAATAAAAACTAGACAGAATCATTCTCAAAAACTACTTTGTGATGTGTGCCTTCAACTCACAGAGTTTAACCTTTCTTTTCTTAGAGCAGTTTAGAAACACTCTGCTTGTTATGTCTGCAAGTGGATATTTGGACCTCTTTGAGGCCTTCGTTGCAAACGGGGTTTCTTCCTTTCATGCTAGACTAAGAAGAGTTCTCAGTAACTTTTTTGTGTTGTGTGTATTCAACTCACAGAGTTGAACCTTGCTTTAGAGAGAGCAGATTTGAAACACTCTTGCTGTGGCATTTTCAGGTGGAGATTTCAAGCGTTTTGAGGACAATTGCAGAAAAGGAAATATCTTCGTATAATAACCAGACAGAATCATTCTCAGAAAGTGCTTTGTGATGTGTGCGTTCCACTCACAGAGTTTAACCTTTCTTTTCATAGAGGAGTTTGGAAACAAACTGTTTGTAAACTCTGCAAGTGGATATATGGACCTGTTTGAGGCCTTCGTTGGAAACGGGATTTCTTCATTGAATGCTAGACGGAAGAATTCTCAGTAAATTCTTTGTGTTGAGTGCATTCAACTCACAGAGTGGAACGTCCCTTTAGACAGAGCAGATTTGAAACACTCTTTTTGCGGAATTTGCAAGTGGAGATTTCTAGCCATTTGATGCCAACAGTAGAAAGGGAAATATCTTCAAATAAAAAACAGACAGAATCATTCTCAGAAAATTCTTTGTGATGTGTGCGTTCAACTCACATAGTTTAACCTTTCTTTTCATAGAGCAGTTTGGAAACACTCTGTTTGTAAAGTCTGCAAGTGGATATATGGACCGCATTGAGGCCTTCGTTGGAAACGGGATTTCTTCATTTCATGCTAGACAGAAGAATTCTCAGTAACTTCTTTGTGCTGTGTGTATTCAACTCACAGAGTGGAACGTCCCTTTACACAGAGCAGATTTGAAACACTCTTTTTGTGGAGTTTGCAAGTGGAGATTTCAAGCGATTTGATGCCAACAGTAGAAAAGGAAATATCTTCAAATAAAAACTAGACAGAATCATTCTCAGAAACTACTTTGTGATGTGTGCCTTCAACTCACAGAGTTTAACCTTTCTTTTCTTAGAGCAGTTTAGAAACACTCTGCTTGTTATGTCTGCAAGTGAATATTTGGACCTCTTTGAGGCCTTCGTTGCAAACGGGGTTTCTTCCTTTAATGCTAGACTAAGAAGAGTTCTCAGTAACTTTTTTGTGTTGTGTGTATTCAACTCACAGAGTTGAACCTTGCTTTAGAGAGAGCAGATTTGAAACACTCTTGCTGTGGCATTTTCAGGTGGAGATTTCAAGCGATTTGAGGATAATTGCAGAAAAGGAAATATCTTCGTATAACAACCAGACAGAATCATTCTGAGAAAGTGCTTTGTGATGTGTGCGTTCAACTCACAGAGTTTAATCTTTCTTTTCATAGAGGAGTTTGGAAACACACTGTTTGTAAAGTCTGCAATTGGATATATGGACCTGTTTGAGGCCTTCGTTGGAAACGGGATTTCTTCATTGAATGCTAGACGGAAGGATTCTCAGTAAATTCTTTGTGTTGTGTGCATTCAACTCACAGAGTGGAACGTCCCTTTAGACAGAGCAGATTTGAAACACTCTTTTTGCGGAATTTGCAAGTGGAGATATCTAGCCATTTGATGCCAACAGTAGAAAGGGAAATATCTTCAAATAAAAACCAGACAGAATCATTCTCAGAAAATTCTTTGTGATGTGTGCGTTCAACTCACATAGTTTAACCTTTCTTTTCATAGAGCAGTTTGGAAACACTCTGTTTGTAAAGTCTGCAAGTGGATATATGGACCGCATTGAGGCCTTCGTTGGAAACGGGATTTCTTCATTTCATGCTAGACAGAAGAATTCTCAGTAACTTCTTTGTGCTGTGTGTATTCAACTCACAGAGTGGAACGTCCCTTTGCACAGAGCAGATTTGAAACACTCTTTTTGTGGAGTTTGCAAGTGGAGATTTCAAGCGATTTGATGCCAACAGTAGAAAAGGAAATATCTTCAAATAAAAACTAGACAGAATCATTCTCAGAAACTACTTTGTGATGTGTGCCTTCAACTCACAGAGTTTAACCTTTCTTTTCTTAGAGCAGTTTAGAAACACTCTGCTTGTTATGTCTGCAAGTGGATATTTGGACCTCTTTGAGGCCTTCGTTGCAAACGGGGTTTCTTCCTTTAATGCTAGACTAAGAAGAGTTCTCAGTAACTTTTTTGTGTTGTGTGTATTCAACTCACAGAGTTGAACCTTGCTTTAGAGAGAGCAGATTTGAAACACTCTTGCTGTGGCATTTTCAGGTGGAGATTTCAAGCGATTTGAGGACAAATGCAGAAAAGGAAATATCTTCAGTATAATAACCAGACAGAATCATTCTCAGAAAGTGCTTTGTGATGTGTGCGTTCAACTCACAGAGTTTAACTTTTCTTTCCATAGAGGAGTTTGGAAACACACTGTTTGTAAAGTCTGCAAGTGGATATATGGACCTGTTTGAGGCCTTCGTTGGAAACGGGATTTCTTCATTGAATGCTAGACGGAAGAATTCTCAGTAAATTCTTTGTGTTGTGTGCATTCAACTCACAGAGTGGAACGTCCCTTTAGACAGAGCAGATTTGAAACACTCTTTTTGCGGAATTTGCAAGTGGAGATTTCTAGCCATTTGATGCCAACAGTAGAAAGGGAAATATCTTCAAATAAAAACCAGACAGAATCATTCTCAGAAAATTCTTTGTGATGTGTGCGTTCAACTCACATAGTTTAACCTTTCTTTTCATAGAGCAGTTTGGAAACACTCTGTTTGTAAAGTCTGCAAGTGGATATATGGACCGCATTGAGGCCTTCGTTGGAAACGGGATTTCTTCATTTCATGCTAGACAGAAGAATTCTCAGTAACTTCTTTGTGCTGTGTGTATTCAACTCACAGAGTGGAACGTCCCTTTGCACAGAGCAGATTTGAAACACTCTTTTTGTGGAGTTTGCAAGTGGAGATTTCAAGCGATTTGATGCCAACAGTAGAAAAGGAAATATCTTCAAATAAAAACTAGACAGAATCATTCTCAGAAACTACTTTGTGATGTGTGCCTTCAACTCACAGAGTTTAACCTTTCTTTTCTTAGAGCAGTTTAGAAACACTCTGCTTGTTATGTCTGCAAGTGGATATTTGGACCTCTTTGAGGCCTTCGTTGCAAACGGGGTTTCTTCCTTTCATGCTAGACTAAGAAGAGTTCTCAGTAACTTTTTTGTGTTGTGTGTATTCAACTCACAGAGTTGAACCTTGCTTTAGAGAGAGCAGATTTGAAACACTCTTGCTGTGGCATTTTCAGGTGGAGATTTCAAGCGATTTGAGGACAATTGCAGAAAAGGAAATATCTTCGTATAATAACCAGACAGAATCATTCACAGAAAGTGCTTTGTGATGTGTGCGTTCAACTCACAGAGTTTAACCTTTCTTTTCATAGAGGAGTTTGGAAACACACTGTTTGTAAAGTCTGCAATTGGATATATGGACCTGTTTGAGGCCTTCGTTGGAAACGGGATTTCTTCATTGAATGCTAGACGGAAGAATTCTCAGTAAATTCTTTGTGTGGTGTGCATTCAACTCACAGAGTGGAACGTCCCTTTAGACAGAGCAGATTTGAAACACTCTTTTTGCGGAATTTGCAAGTGGAGATTTCTAGCCATTTGATGCCAACAGTAGAAAGGGAAATATCTTCAAATAAAAACCAGACAGAATCATTCTCAGAAAATTCTTTGTGATGTGTGCGTTCAACTCACATAGTTTAACCTTTCTTTTCATAGAGCAGTTTGGAAACACTCTGTTTGTAAAGTCTGCAAGTGGATATATGGACCGCATTGAGGCCTTCGTTGGAAACGGGATTTCTTCATTTCATGCTAGACAGAAGAATTCTCAGTAACTTCTTTGTGCTGTGTGTATTCAACTCACAGAGTGGAACGTCCCTTTGCACAGAGCAGATTTGAAACACTCTTTTTGTGGAGTTTGCAAGTGGAGATTTCAAGCGATTTGATGCCAACAGTAGAAAAGGAAATATCTTCAAATAAAAACTAGACAGAATCATTCTCAGAAACTACTTTGTGATGTGTGCCTTCAACTCACAGAGTTTAACCTTTCTTTTCTTAGAGCAGTTTAGAAACACTCTGCTTGTTATGTCTGCAAGTGGATATTTGGACCTCTTTGAGGCCTTCGTTGCAAACGGGGTTTCTTCCTTTCATGCTAGACTAAGAAGAGTTCTCAGTAACTTTTTTGTGTTGTGTGTATTCAACTCACAGAGTTGAACCTTGCTTTAGAGAGAGCAGATTTGAAACACTCTTGCTGTGGCATTTTCAGGTGGAGATTTCAAGCGATTTGAGGACAATTGCAGAAAAGGAACTACTTCGTATAATAACCAGACAGAATCATTCTCAGAAAGTGCTTTGTGATGTGTGCGTTCAACTCACAGAGTTTAACCTTTCTTTTCATAGAGGAGTTTGGAAACACACTGTTTGTAAAGTCTGCAATTGGATATATGGACCTGTTTGAGGCCTTCGTTGGAAACGGGATTTCTTCATTGAATGCTAGACGGAAGAATTCTCAGTAAATTCTTTGTGTTGTGTGCATTCAACTCACAGAGTGGAACGTCCCTTTAGACAGAGCAGATTTGAAACACTCTTTTTGCGGAATTTGCAAGTGGAGATTTCTAGCCATTTGATGCCAACAGTAGAAAGGGAAATATCTTCAAATAAAAACCAGACAGAATCATTCTCAGAAAATTCTTTGTGATGTGTGCGTTCAACTCACATAGTTTAACCTTTCTTTTCATAGAGCAGTTTGGAAACACTCTGTTTGTAAAGTCTGCAAGTGGATATATGGACCGCATTGAGGCCTTCGTTGGAAACGGGATTTCTTCATTTCATGCTAGACAGAAGAATTCTCAGTAACTTCTTTGTGCTGTGTGTATTCAACTCACAGAGTGGAACGTCCCTTTACACAGAGCAGATTTGAAACACTCTTTTTGTGGAGTTTGCAAGTGGAGATTTCAAGCGATTTGATGCCAACAGTAGAAAAGGAAATATCTTCAAATAAAAACTAGACAGAATCATTCTCAGAAACTACTTTGTGATGTGTGCCTTCAACTCACAGAGTTTAACCTTTCTTTTCTTAGAGCAGTTTAGAAACACTCTGCTTGTTATGTCTGCAAGTGGATATTTGGACCTCTTTGAGGCCTTCGTTGCAAACGGGGTTTCTTCCTTTAATGCTAGACTAAGAAGAGTTCTCAGTAACATTTTTGTGTTGTGTGTATTCAACTCACAGAGTTGAACCTTGCTTTAGAGAGAGCAGATTTGAAACACTCTTGCTGTGGCATTTTCAGGTGGAGATTTCAAGCGATTTGAGGACAATTGCAGAAAAGGAAATATCTTCGTATAACAACCAGACAGAATCATTCTCAGAAAGTGCTTTGTGATGTGTGCGTTCAACTCACAGAGTTTAACCTTTCTTTTCATAGAGGAGTTTGGAAACACACTGTTTGTAAAGTCTGCAATTGGATATATGGACCTGTTTGAGGCCTTCGTTGGAAACGGGATTTCTTCATTGAATGCTAGACGGAAGAATTCTCAGTAAATTCTTTGTGTTGTGTGCATTCAACTCACAGAGTGGAACGTCCCTTTAGACAGAGCAGATTTGAAACACTCTTTTTGCGGAATTTGCAAGTGGAGATTTCTAGCCATTTGATGCCAACAGTAGAAAGGGAAATATCTTCAAATAAAAACCAGACAGAATCATTCTCAGAAAATTCTTTGTGATGTGTGCGTTCAACTCACATAGTTTAACCTTTCTTTTCATAGAGCAGTTTGGAAACACTCTGTTTGTAAAGTCTGCAAGTGGATCTATGGACCGCATTGAGGCCTTCGTTGGAAACGGGATTTCTTCATTTCATGCTAGACAGAAGAATTCTCAGTAACTTCTTTGTGCTGTGTGTATTCAACTCACAGAGTGGAACGTCCCTTTGCACAGAGCAGATTTTAAACACTCTTTTTGTGGAGTTTGCAAGTGGAGATTTCAAGCGATTTGATGCCAACAGTAGAAAAGGAAATATCTTCAAATAAAAACTAGACAGAATCATTCTCAGAAACTACTTTGTGATGTGTGCCTTCAACTCACAGAGTTTAACCTTTCTTTTCTTAGAGCACTTTAGAAACACTCTGCTTGTTATGTCTGCAAGTGGATATTTGGACCTCTTTGAGGCCTTCGTTGCAAACGGGGTTTCTTCCTTTCATGCTAGACTAAGAAGAGTTCTCAGTAACTTTTTTGTGTTGTGTGTATTCAACTCACAGAGTTGAACCTTGCTTTAGAGAGAGCAGATTTGAAACACTCTTGCTGTGGCATTTTCAGGTGGAGATTTCAAGCGATTTGAGGACAATTGCAGAAAAGGAAATATCTTCGTATAATAACCAGACAGAATCATTCTCAGAAAGTGCTTTGTGATGTGTGCGTTCAACTCACAGAGTTTAACCTTTCTTTCCATAGAGGAGTTTGGAAACACACTGTTTGTAAAGTCTGCAAGTGGATATATGGACCTGTTTGAGGCCTTCGTTGGAAACGGGATTTCTTCATTGAATGCTAGACGGAAGAATTCTCAGTAAATTCTTTGTGTTGTGTGCATTCAACTCACAGAGTGGAACGTCCCTTTGGACAGAGCAGATTTGAAACACTCTTTTTGCGGAATTTGCAAGTGGAGATTTCTAGCAATTTGATGCCAACAGTAGAAAGGGAAATATCTTCAAATAAAAACCAGACAGAATCATTCTCAGAAAATTCTTTGTGATGTGTGCGTTCAACTCACATAGTTTAACCTTTCTTTTCATAGAGCAGTTTGGAAACACTCTGTTTGTAAAGTCTGCAAGTGGATATATGGACCGCATTGAGGCCTTCGTTGGAAACGGGATTTCTTCATTTCATGCTAGACAGAAGAATTCTCAGTAACTTCTTTGTGCTGTGTGTATTCAACTCACAGAGTGGAACGTCCCTTTACACAGAGCAGATTTGAAACACTCTTTTTGTGGAGTTTGCAAGTGGAGATTTCAAGCGATTTGATGCCAACAGTAGAAAAGGAAATATCTTCAAATAAAAACTAGACAGAATCATTCTCAGAAACTACTTTGTGATGTGTGCCTTCAACTCACAGACTTTAACCTTTCTTTTCTTAGAGCAGTTTAGAAACACTCTGCTTGTTATGTCTGCAAGTGGATATTTGGACCTCTTTGAGGCCTTCGTTGCAAACGGGGTTTCTTCCTTTCATGCTAGACTAAGAAGAGTTCTCAGTAACTTTTTTGTGTTGTGTGTATTCAACTCACAGAGTTGAACCTTGCTTTAGAGAGAGCAGATTTGAAACACTCTCGCTGTGGAATTTTCAGGTGGAGATTTCAAGCGATTTGAGGACAATTGCAGAAAAGGAAATATCTTCGTATAATAACCAGACAGAATCATTCTCAGAAAGTGCTTTGTGATGTGTGCGTTCCACTCACAGAGTTTAACCTTTCTTTTCATAGAGGAGTTTGGAAACACACTGTTTGTAAAGTCTGCAAGTGGATATATGGACCTGTTTGAGGCCTTCGTTGGAAACGGGATTTCTTCATTGAATGCTAGACGGAAGAATTCTCAGTAAATTCTTTGTGTTGTGTGCATTCAACTCACAGAGTGGAACGTCCCTTTAGACAGAGCAGATTTGAAACACTCTTTTTGCGGAATTTGCAAGTGGAGATTTCTAGCCATTTGATGCCAACAGTAGAAAGGGAAATATCTTCAAATAAAAACCAGACAGAATCATTCTCAGAAAATTCTTTGTGATGTGTGCGTTCAACTCACATAGTTTAACCTTTCTTTTCATAGAGCAGTTTGGAAACACTCTGTTTGTAAAGTCTGCAAGTGGATATATGGACCGCATTGAGGCCTTCGTTGGAAACGGGATTTCTTCATTTCATGCTAGACAGAAGAATTCTCAGTAACTTCTTTGTGCTGTGTGTATTCAACTCACAGAGTGGAACGTCCCTTTGCACAGAGCAGATTTTAAACACTCTTTTTGTGGAGTTTGCAAGTGGAGATTTCAAGCGATTTGATGCCAACAGTAGAAAAGGAAATATCTTCAAATAAAAACTAGACAGAATCATTCTCAGAAACTACTTTGTGATGTGTGCCTTCAACTCACAGAGTTTAACCTTTCTTTTCTTAGAGCACTTTAGAAACACTCTGCTTGTTATGTCTGCAAGTGGATATTTGGACCTCTTTGAGGCCTTCGTTGCAAACGGGGTTTCTTCCTTTCATGCTAGACTAAGAAGAGTTCTCAGTAACTTTTTTGTGTTGTGTGTATTCAACTCACAGAGTTGAACCTTGCTTTAGAGAGAGCAGATTTGAAACACTCTTGCTGTGGCATTTTCAGGTGGAGATTTCAAGCGATTTGAGGACAATTGCAGAAAAGGAAATATCTTCGTATAATAACCAGACAGAATCATTCTCAGAAAGTGCTTTGTGATGTGTGCGTTCCACTCACAGAGTTTAACCTTTCTTTCCATAGAGGAGTTTGGAAACACACTGTTTGTAAAGTCTGCAATTGGATATATGGACCTGTTTGAGGCCTTCGTTGGAAACGGGATTTCTTCATTGAATGCTAGACGGAAGAATTCTCAGTAAATTCTTTGTGTTGTGTGCATTCAACTCACAGAGTGGAACGTCCCTTTAGACAGAGCAGATTTGAAACACTCTTTTTGCGGAATTTGCAAGTGGAGATTTCTAGCCATTTGATGCCAACAGTAGAAAGGGAAATATCTTCAAATAAAAACCAGACAGAATCATTCTCAGAAAATTCTTTGTGATGTGTGCGTTCAACTCACATAGTTTAACCTTTCTTTTCATAGAGCAGTTTGGAAACACTCTGTTTGTAAAGTCTGCAAGTGGATATATGGACCGCATTGAGGCCTTCGTTGGAAACGGGATTTCTTCATTTCATGCTAGACAGAAGAATTCTCAGTAACTTCTTTGTGCTGTGTGTATTCAACTCACAGAGTGGAACGTCCCTTTACACAGAGCAGATTTGAAACACTCTTTTTGTGGAGTTTGCAAGTGGAGATTTCAAGCGATTTGATGCCAACAGTAGAAAAGGAAATATCTTCAAATAAAAACTAGACAGAATCATTCTCAGAAACTACTTTGTGATGTGTGCCTTCAACTCACAGAGTTTAACCTTTCTTTTCTTAGAGCAGTTTAGAAACACTCTGCTTGTTATGTCTGCAAGTGGATATTTGGACCTCTTTGAGGCCTTCGTTGCAAACGGGGTTTCTTCCTTTCATGCTAGACTAAGAAGAGTTCTCAGGAACTTTTTTGTGTTGTGTGTATTCAACTCACAGAGTTGAACCTTGCTTTAGAGAGAGCAGATTTGAAACACTCTTGCTGTGGCATTTTCAGGTGGAGATTTCAAGCGATTTGAGGACAATTGCAGAAAAGGAAATATCTTCGTATAATAACCAGACAGAATCATTCTCAGAAAGTGCTTTGTGATGTGTGCGTTCAACTCACAGAGTTTAACCTTTCTTTTCATAGAGGAGTTTGGAAACACACTGTTTGTAAAGTCTGCAAGTGGATATATGGACCTGTTTGAGGCCTTCGTTGGAAACGGGATTTCTTCATTGAATGCTAGACGGAAGAATTCTCAGTAAATTCTTTGTGTTGTGTGCATTCAACTCACAGAGTGGAACGTCCCTTTAGACAGAGCAGATTTGAAACACTCTTTTTGCGGAATTTGCAAGTGGAGATTTCTAGCCATTTGATGCCAACAGTAGAAAGGGAAATATCTTCAAATAAAAACCAGACAGAATCATTCTCAGAAAATTCTTTGTGATGTGTGCGTTCAACTCACATAGTTTAACCTTTCTTTTCACAGAGCAGTTTGGAAACACTCTGTTTGTAAAATCTGCAAGTAGATATATGGACCGATTTGAGGCCTTCGTTGGAAACGGGATTTCTTCATTTATTGCTAGACAGAAGAATTCTCAGTAACTTCTTTGTATTGTGTGTATTCAACTCACAGAGTGGAACGTCCCTTTAGACAGAGCAGATTTGAAACACTCTTTTTGTGGAATTTGCAAGTGGAGATTTCAAGCCATTTGATGCCAACAGTAGAAAAGGAAATATCTTCAAATAAAAGCTAGAGAGGATCATTCTCAGAAACTACTTTGTGAAGTATGCCTTCAACTCACAGAGTTTAACCTTTCTTTTCTTAGAGCAGTTTAGAAACACTCTGCTTGTTATGTCTGCAAGTGGATATTTGGACCTCTTTGAGGCCTTCGTTGCAAACGGGATTTCTTCATTTAATGCTAGACTAATTCGAGTTCTCAGTAACTTTTTTGAGTTGTGTGTATTCAACTCACAGGGTTGAACCTTGCTTTAGAGAGAGCAGATTTGAAACACTCTTGCTGTGGTATTTTCAGTTGGAGATTTCAAGCGATTTGAGGACAATTGCAGAAAAGGAAATGTCTTCGTATAAAAACCAGACAGAATCATTCTCAGAAAGTGCTTTGTGATGTGTGCGTTCCACTCACAGAGTTTAACCTTTCTTTTCATAGAGGAGTTTGGAAACACACTGTTTGTAAACTCTGCAAGTGGATATATGGACCTGTTTGAGGCCTTGGTTGGAAACGGGATTTCTTCATTGAATGCTAGACGGAAGAATTCTCAGTAAATTCTTTGTGTTGTGTGCATTCAACTCACAGAGTGGAACGTCCCTTTAGACAGAGCAGATTTGAAACACTCTTTTTGCGGAATTTGCAAGTGGAGATTTCTAGCCATTTGATGCCAACAGTAGAAAGGGAAATATCTTCAAATAAAAACCAGACAGAATCATCCTCAGAAAATTCTTTGTGATGTGTGCGTTCAACTCACATACTTTAACCTTTCTTTTCATAGAACAGTTTGGAAACACTCTGTTGTTAAAGTCTGCAAGTGGATATATGGACCGCATTGAGGCCTTCGTTGGAAACGGGATTTCTTCATTTCATGCTAGACAGAAGAATTCTCAGTAACTTCTTTGTGCTGTGTGTATTCAACTCACAGAGTGGAACGTCCCTTTGCACAGAGCAGATTTGAAACACTCTTTTTCTGGAATTTGCAAGTGGAGATTTCAAGCGATTTGATGCCAACAGTAGAAAAGGAAATATCTCCAAATAAAAACTAGACAGAATCATTATCAGAAACTACTTTGTGATGTGTGCCTTCAACTCACAGAGTTTAACCTTTCTTTTCTTAGAGCAGTTTAGAAACACTCTGCTTGTTATGTATGCAAGTGGATATTTGGACCTCTTTGAGGTCTTCGTTGCAAACGGGGTTTCTTCCTTTAATGCTAGACTAAGAAGAGTTCTCAGTAACTTTTTTGTGTTGTGTGTATTCAAATCACAGAGTTGAACCTTGCTTTAGAGAGAGCAGATTTGAAACACTCTTGCTATGGCATTTTCAGGTGGAGATTTCAAGCGATTTGAGAACAATTGCAGAAAAGGAAATATCTTCGTATAATAACCAGACAGAATCATTCTCAGAAAGTGCTTTGTGATGTGTGCGTTCAACTCACAGAGTTTAACCTTTCTTTTCATAGAGGAGTTTGGAAACACACTGTTTGTAAAGTCTGCAAGTGGATATATGGACCTGTTTGAGGCCTTCGTTGGAAACGGGATTTCTTCATTGAATGCTAGACGGAAGAATTCTCAGTAAATTCTTTGTGTTGTGTGCATTCACCTCACAGAGTGGAACGTCCCTTTAGACAGAGCAGATTTGAAACACTCTTTTTGCGGAATTTGCAAGTGGAGATTTCTAGCCATTTGATGCCAACAGTAGAAAGGGAAATATCTTCAAATAAAAACCAGACAGAATCATTCTCAGAAAATTCTTTGTGATGTGTGCGTTCAACTCACATAGTTTAACCTTTCTTTTCATAGAGCAGTTTGGAAACACTCTGTTTGTAAAGTCTGCAAGTGGATCTATGGACCGCATTGAGGCCTTCGTTGGAAACGGGATTTCTTCATTTCATGCTAGACAGAAGAATTCTCAGTAACTTCTTTGTGCTGTGTGTATTCAACTCACAGAGTGGAACGTCCCTTTGCACAGAGCAGATTTGAAACACTCTTTTTGTGGAGTTTGCAAGTGGAGATTTCAAGCGATTTGATGCCAACAGTAGAAAAGGAAATATCTTCAAATAAAAACTAGACAGAATCATTCTCAGAAACTACTTTGTGATGTGTGCCTTCAACTCACAGAGTTTAACCTTTCTTTTCTTAGAGCAGTTTAGAAACACTCTGCTTGTTATGTCTGCAAGTGGATATTTGGACCTCTTTGAGGCCTTCGTTGCAAACGGGGTTTCTTCCTTTCATGCTAGACTAAGAAGAGTTCTCAGTAACTTTTTTGTGTTGTGTGTATTCAACTCACAGAGTTGAACCTTGCTTTAGAGAGAGCAGATTTGAAACACTCTTGCTGTGGCATTTTCAGGTGGAGATTTCAAGCGTTTTGAGGACAATTGCAGAAAAGGAAATATCTTCGTATAATAACCAGACAGAATCATTCTCAGAAAGTGCTTTGTGATGTGTGCGTTCCACTCACAGAGTTTAACCTTTCTTTTCATAGAGGAGTTTGTAAACACACTGTTTGTAAACTCTGCAAGTGGATATATGGACCTGTTTGAGGCCTTCGTTGGAAACGGGATTTCTTCATTGAATGCTAGACGGAAGAATTCTCAGTAAATTCTTTGTGTTGTGTGCATTCAACTCACAGAGTGGAACGTCCCTTTAGACAGAGCAGATTTGAAACACTCTTTTTGCGGAATTTGCAAGTGGAGATTTCTAGCCATTTGATGCCAACAGTAGAAAGGGAAACATCTTCAAATAAAAACCAGATAGAATCATTCTCAGAAAATTCTTTGTGATGTGTGCGTTCAACTCACATAGTTTAACCTTTCTTTTCATAGAGCAGTTTGGAAACACTCTGTTTGTAAAGTCTGCAAGTGGATATATGGACCGCATTGAGGCCTTCGTTGGAAACGGGATTTCTTCATTTCATGCTAGACAGAAGAATTCTCAGTAACTTCTTTGTGCTGTGTGTATTCAACTCACAGAGTGGAACGTCCCTTTGCACAGAGCAGATTTGAAACACTCTTTTTGTGGAGTTTGCAAGTGGAGATTTCAAGCGATTTGATGCCAACAGTAGAAAAGGAAATATCTTCAAATAAAAACTAGACAGAATCATTCTCAGAAACTACTTTGTGATGTGTGCCTTCAACTCACAGAGTTTAACCTTTCTTTTCTTAGAGCAGTTTAGAAACACTCTGCTTGTTATGTCTGCAAGTGGATATTTGGACCTCTTTGAGGCCTTCGTTGCAAACGGGGTTTCTTCCTTTAATGCTAGACTAAGAAGAGTTCTCAGTAACTTTTTTGTGTTGTGTGTATTCAACTCACAGAGTTGAACCTTGCTTTAGAGAGAGCAGATTTGAAACACTCTTGCTGTGGCATTTTCAGGTGGAGATTTCAAGCGATTTGAGGACAATTGCAGAAAAGGAAATATCTTCGTACAATAACCAGACAGAATCATTCTCAGAAAGTGCTTTGTGATGTGTGCGTTCAACTCACAGAGTTTAACCTTTCTTTTCATAGAGGAGTGTGGAAACACACTGTTTGTAAAGTCTGCAATTGGATATATGGACCTGTTTGAGGCCTTCGTTGGAAACGGGATTTCTTCATTGAATGCTAGACGGAAGAATTCTCAGTAAATTCTTTGTGTTGTGTGCATTCAACTCACAGAGTGGAACGTCCCTTTAGACAGAGCAGATTTGAAACACTCTTTTTGCGGAATTTGCAAGTGGAGATTTCTAGCCATTTGATGCCAACAGTAGAAAGGGAAATATCTTCAAATAAAAACCAGACAGAATCATTCTCAGAAAATTCTTTGTGATGTGTGCGTTCAACTCACATAGTTTAACCTTTCTTTTCATAGAGCAGTTTGGAAACACTCTGTTTTTAAAGTCTGCAAGTGGATATATAGACCGCATTGAGGCCTTCGTTGGAAACGGGATTTCTTCATTTCGTGCTAGACAGAAGAATTCTCAGTAACTTCTTTGTGCTGTGTGTATTCAACTCACAGAGTGGAACGTCCCTTTACACAGAGCAGATTTGAAACACTCTTTTTGTGGAGTTTGCAAGTGGAGATTTCAAGCGATTTGATACCAGCAGTAGAAAAGGAAATATCTTCAAATAAAAACTAGACAGAATCATTCTCAGAAACTACTTTGTGATGTGTGCCTTCAACTCACAGAGTTTAACCTTTCTTTTCTTAGAGCAGTTTAGAAACACTCTGCTTGTTATGTCTGCAAGTGGATATTTGGACCTCTTTGAGGCCTTCGTTGCAAACGGGGTTTCTTCCTTTCATGCTAGACTAAGAAGAGTTCTCAGTAACTTTTTTGTGTTGTGTGTATTCAACTCACAGAGTTGAACCTTGCTTTAGAGAGAGCAGATTTGAAACACTCTTGCTGTGGCATTTTCAGGTGGAGATTTCAAGCGATTTGAGGACAATTGCAGAAAAGGAAATATCTTCGTATAATAACCAGACAGAATCATTCTCAGAAAGTGCTTTGTGTTGTGTGCGTTCAACTCACAGAGTTTAACCTTTCTTTTCATAGAGGAGTTTGGAAACACACTGTTTGTAAAGTCTGCAATTGGATATATGGACCTGTTTGAGGCCTTCGTTGGAAACGGGATTTCTTCATTGAATGCTAGACGGAAGAATTCTCAGTAAATTCTTTGTGTTATGTGCATTCAACTCACAGAGTGGAACGTCCCTTTAGACAGAGCAGATTTGAAACACTCTTTTTGCGGAATTTGCAAGTGGAGATTTCTAGCCATTTGATGCCAACAGTAGAAAGGGAAATATCTTCAAATAAAAACCAGACAGAATCATTCTCAGAAAATTCTTTGTGATGTGTGCGTTCAACTCACATAGTTTAACCTTTCTTTTCATAGAGCAGTTTGGAAACACTCTGTTTGTAAACTCTGCAAGTGGATATATGGACCGCATTGAGGCCTTCGTTGGAAACGGGATTTCTTCATTTCATGCTAGACAGAAGAATTCTCAGTAACTTCTTTGTGCTGTGTGTATTCAACTCACAGAGTGGAACGTCCCTTTGCACAGAGCGGATTTGAAACACTCTTTTTGTGGAGTTTGCAAGTGAAGATTTCAAGCGATTTGATGCCAACAGTAGAAAAGGAAATATCTTCAAATAAAAACTAGACAGAATCATTCTCAGAAACTACTTTGTGATGTGTGCCTTCAACTCACAGAGTTTAACCTTTCTTTTCTTAGAGCAGTTTAGAAACACTCTGCTTGTTATGTCTGCAAGTGGATATTTGGACCTCTTTGAGGCCTTCGTTGCAAACGGGGTTTCTTCCTTTCATGCTAGACTAAGAAGAGTTCTCAGTAACTTTTTTGTGTTGTGTGTATTCAACTCACAGAGTTGAACCTTGCTTTAGAGAGAGCAGATTTGAAACACTCTTGCTGTGGAATTTTCAGGTGGAGATTTCAAGCGATTTGAGGACAATGGCAGAAAAGGAAATATCTTCGTATAATAACCAGACAGAATCATTCTCAGAAAGTGCTTTGTGATGTGTGCGTTCAACTCACAGAATTTAACCTTTCTTTTCATAGAGGAGCTTGGAAACACACTGTAAAGTCTGCAATTGGATATATGGACCTGTTTGAGGCCTCCGTTGGAAACGGGATTTCTTCATTGAATGCTAGACGGAGGAATTCTCAGTAAATTCTTTGTGTTGTGTGCATTCAACTCACAGAGTGGAACGTCCCTTTAGACAGAGCAGATTTGAAACACTCTTTTTGCGGAATTTGCAAGTGGAGATTTCTAGCCATTTGATGCCAACAGTAGAAAGGGAAATATCTTCAAATAAAAACCAGACAGAATCATTCTCAGAAAATTCTTTGTGATGTGTGCGTTCAACTCACATAGTTTAACCTTTCTTTTCATAGAGCAGTTTGGAAACACTCTGTTTGTAAAGTCTGCAAGTGGATATATGGACCGCATTGAGGCCTTCGTTGGAAACGGGATTTCTTCATTTCATGCTAGACAGAAGAATTCTCAGTAACTTCTTTGTGCTGTGTGTATTCAACTCACAGAGTGGAACGTCCCTTTGCACAGAGCAGATTTGAAACACTCTTTTTGTGGAGTTTGCAAGTGGAGATTTCAAGCGATTTGATGCCAACAGTAGAAAAGGAAATATCTTCAAATAAAAACTAGACAGAATCATTCTCAGAAACTACTTCGTGATGTGTGCCTTCAACTCACAGAGTTTAACCTTTCTTTTCTTAGAGCAGTTTAGAAACACTCTGCTTGTTATGTCTGCAAGTGGATATTTGGACCTCTTTGAGGCCTTCGTTGCAAACGGGGTTTCTTCCTTTCATGCTAGACTAAGAAGAGTTCTCAGTAACTTTTTTGTGTTGTGTGTATTCAACTCACAGAGTTGAACCTTGCTTTAGAGAGAGCAGATTTGAAACACTCTTGCTGTGGCATTTTCAGGTGGAGATTTCAAGCGATTTGAGGACAATTGCAGAAAAGGAAATATCTTCGTATAATAACCAGACAGAATCATTCTCAGAAAGTGCTTTGTGATGTGTGCGTTCCACTCACAGAGTTTAACCTTTCTTTTCATAGAGGAGTTTGGAAACACACTGTTTGTAAAGTCTGCAAGTGGATATATGGACCTCTTTGAGGCCTTCGTTGGAAACGGGATTTCTTCATTGAATGCTAGACGGAAGAATTCTCAGTAAATTCTTTGTGTTGTGTGGATTCAACACACAGAGTGGAACGTCCCTTTAGACAGAGCAGATTTGAAACACTCTTTTTGCGGAATTTGCAAGTGGAGATTTCTAGCCATTTGATGCCAACAGTAGAAAGGGAAATATCTTCAAATAAAAACCAGACAGAATCATTCTCAGAAAATTCTTTGTGATGTGTGCGTTCAACTCACATAGTTTAACCTTTCTTTTCATAGAGCAGTTTGGAAACACTCTGTTTGTAAAGTCTGCAAGTGGATATATGGACCGCATTGAGGCCTTCGTTGGAAACGGGATTTCTTCATTTCATGCTAGACAGAAGAATTCTCAGTAACTTCTTTGTGCTGTGTGTATTCAACTCACAGAGTGGAACGTCCCTTTGCACAGAGCAGATTTGAAACACTCTTTTTGTGGAGTTTGCAAGTGGAGATTTCAAGCGATTTGATGCCAACAGTAGAAAAGGAAATATCTTCAAATAAAAACTAGACAGAATCATTCTCAGAAACTACTTTGTGATGTGTGCCTTCAACTCACAGAGTTTAACCTTTCTTTTCTTAGAGCACTTTAGAAACACTCTGCTTGTTATGTCTGCAAGTGGATATTTGGACCTCTTTGAGGCCTTCGTTGCAAACGGTGTTTCTTCCTTTCATGCTAGACTAAGAAGAGTTCTCAGTAACTTTTTTGTGCTGTGTGTATTCAACTCACAGAGTTGAACCTTGCTTTAGAGAGAGCAGATTTGAAACACTCTTGCTGTGGCATTTTCAGGTGGAGATTTCAAGCGATTTGAGGACAATTGCAGAAAAGGAAATATCTTCGTATAATAACCAGACAGAATCATTCTCAGGAAGTGCTTTGTGATGTGTGCGTTCAACTCACAGAGTTTAACCTTTCTTTTCATAGAGGAGTTTGGAAACACACTGTTTGTAAAGTCTGCAAGTGGATATATGGACCTGTTTGAGGCCTTCGTTGGAAACGGGATTTCTTCATTGAATGCTAGACGGAAGAATTCTCAGTAAATTCTTTGTGTTGTGTGCATTCAACTCACAGAGTGGAACGTCCCTTTAGACAGAGCAGATTTGAAACACTCTTTTTGCGGAATTTGCAAGTGGAGATTTCTAGCCATTTGATGCCAACAGTAGAAAGGGAAATATCTTCAAATAAAAACCAGACAGAATCATTCTCAGAAAATTCTTTGTGATGTGTGCGTTCAACTCACATAGTTTAACCTTTCTTTTCATAGAGCAGTTTGGAAACACTCTGTTTGTAAAGTCTGCAAGTGGATCTATGGACCGCATTGAGGCCTTCGTTGGAAACGGGATTTCTTCATTTCATGCTAGACAGAAGAATTCTCAGTAACTTCTTTGTGCTGTGTGTATTCAACTCACAGAGTGGAACGTCCGTTTACACAGAGCAGATTTGAAACACTCTTTTTGTGGAATTTGCAAGTGGAGATTTCAAGCGATTTGATGCCAACAGTAGAAAAGGAAATATCTTCAAATAAAAACTAGACAGAAATCATTCTCAGAAAATTCTTTGTGATGTGTGCGTTCAACTCACATAGTTTAACCTTTCTTTTCTTAGAGCAGTTTAGAAACACTCTGCTTGTTATGTCTGCAAGTGGATATTTGGACCTCTTTGAGGCCTTCGTTGCAAACGGGGTTTCTTCCTTTCATGCTAGACTAAGAAGAGTTCTCAGTAACTTTTTTGTGTTGTGTGTATTCAACTCACAGAGTTGAACCTTGCTTTAGAGAGAGCAGATTTGAAACACTCTTGCTGTGGCATTTTCAGGTGGAGATTTCAAGCGATTTGAGGACAATTGCAGAAAAGGAAATATCTTCGTATAATAACCAGACAGAATCATTCTCAGAAAGTGCTTTGTGATGTGTGCGTTCAACTCACAGAGTTTAACCTTTCTTTTCATAGAGGAGTTTGGAAACACACTGTTTGTAAAGTCTGCAATTGGATATATGGACCTGTTTGAGGCCTTCGTTGGAAACGGGATTTCTTCATTGCATGCTAGACGGAAGAATTCTCAGTAAATTCTTTGTGTTGTGTGCATTCAACTCACAAAGTGGAACGTCCCTTTAGACAGAGCAGAATTGAAACACTCTTTTTGCGGAATTTGCAAGTGGAGATTTCTAGCCATTTGATGCCAACAGTAGAAAGGGAAATATCTTCAAATAAAAACCAGACAGAATCATTCTCAGAAAATTCTTTGTGATGTGTGCGTTCAACTCACATAGTTTAACCTTTCTTTTCATAGAGCAGTTTGGAAACACTCTGTTTGTAAAGTCTGCAAGTGGATATATGGACCGCATTGAGGCCTTCGTTGGAAACGGGATTTCTTCATTTCATGCTAGACAGAAGAATTCTCAGTAACTTCTTTGTGCTGTGTGTATTCAACTCACAGAGTGGAACGTCCCTTTGCACAGAGCAGATTTGAAACACTCTTTTTGTGGAATTTGCAAGTGGAGATTTCAAGCGATTTGATGCCAACAGTAGAAAAGGAAATATCTTCAAATAAAAACTAGACAGAATCATTCTCAGAAACTACTTTGTGATGTGTGCCTTCAACTCACAGAGTTTAACCTTTCTTTTCTTAGAGCAGTTTAGAAACACTCTGCTTGTTATGTCTGCAAGTGGATATTTGGACCTCTTTGAGGCCTTCGTTGCAAACGGGGTTTCTTCCTTTCATGCTAGACTAAGAGAGTTCTCAGTAACTTTTTTGTGTTGTGTGTATTCAACTCACAGAGTTGAACCTTGCTTTAGAGAGAGCAGATTTGAAACACTCTTGCTGTGGCATTTTCAGGTGGAGATTTCAAGCGATTTGAGGACAATTGCAGAAAAGGAAATATCTTCGTATAATAACCAGACAGAATCATTCTCAGAAAGTGCTTTGTGATGTGTGCGTTCAACTCACAGAGTTTAACCTTTCTTTTCATAGAGGAGTTTGGAAACACACTGTTTGTAAAGTCTGCAATTGGATATATGGACCTGTTTGAGGCCTTCTTTGGAAACGGGATTTCTTCATTGAATGCTAGACGGAAGAATTCTCAGTAAATTCTTTGTGTTGTGTGCATTCAACTCACAGAGTGGAACGTCCCTTTAGACAGAGCAGATTTGAAACACTCTTTTTGCGGAATTTGCAAGTGGAGATTTCTAGCCATTTGATGCCAACAGTAGAAAGGGAAATATCTTCAAATAAAAACCAGACAGAATCATTCTCAGAAAATTCTTTGTGATGTGTGCGTTCAACTCACATAGTTTAACCTTTCTTTTCATAGAGCAGTTTGGAAACACTCTGTTTGTAAAGTCTGCAAGTGGATATATGGACCGCATTGAGGCCTTCGTTGGAAACGGGATTTCTTCATTTCATGCTAGACAGAAGAATTCTCAGTAACTTCTTTGTGCTGTGTGTATTCAACTCACAGAGTGGAACGTCCCTTTACACAGAGCAGATTTGAAACACTCTTTTTGTGGAGTTTGCAAGTGGAGATTTCAAGCGATTTGATGCCAACAGTAGAAAAGGAAATATCTTCAAATAAAAACTAGACAGAATCATTCTCAGAAACTACTTTGTGATGTGTGCCTTCAACTCACAGAGTTTAACCTTTCTTTTCTTAGAGCAGTTTAGAAACACTCTGCTTGTTATGTCTGCAAGTGGATATTTGGACCTCTTTGAGGCCTTCGTTGCAAACGGGGTTTCTTCCTTTAATGCTAGACTAAGAAGAGTTCTCAGTAACTTTTTTGTGTTGTGTGTATTCAACTCACAGAGTTGAACCTTGCTTTAGAGAGAGCAGATTTGAAACACTCTTGCTGTGGCATTTTCAGGTGGAGATTTCAAGCGATTTGAGGACAATTGCAGAAAAGGAAATATCTTCCGTATAATAACCAGACAGAATCATTCTCAGAAAGTGCTTTGTGATGTGTGCGTTCAACTCACAGGAGTTTAACCTTTCTTTTCATAGAGGAGTTTGGAAACACACTGTTTGTAATGTCTGCAATTGGATATATGGACCTGTTTGAGGCCTTCGTTGGAAACGGGATTTCTTCATTGAATGCTAGACGGAAGAATTCTCAGTAAATTCTTTGTGTGGTGTGCATTCAACTCACAGAGTGGAACGTCCCTTTAGACAGAGCAGATTTGAAACACTCTTTTTGCGGAATTTGCAAGTGGAGATTTCTAGCCATTTGATGCCAACAGTAGAAAGGGAAATATCTTCAAATAAAAACCAGACAGAATCATTCTCAGAAAATTCTTTGTGATGTGTGCGTTCAACTCACATAGTTTAACCTTTCTTTTCATAGAGCAGTTTGGAAACACTCTGTTTGTAAAGTCTGCAAGTGGATATATGGACCGCATTGAGGCCTTCGTTGGAAACGGGATTTCTTCATTTCATGCTAGACAGAAGAATTCTCAGTAACTTCTTTGTGCTGTGTGTATTCAACTCACAGAGTGGAACGTCCCTTTGCACAGAGCAGATTTGAAACACTCTTTTTGTGGAGTTTGCAAGTGGAGATTTCAAGCGATTTGATGCCAACAGTAGAAAAGGAAATATCTTCAAATAAAAACTAGACAGAATCATTCTCAGAAACTACTTTGTGATGTGTGCCTTCAACTCACAGAGTTTAACCTTTCTTTTCTTAGAGCAGTTTAGAAACACTCTGCTTGTTATGTCTGCAAGTGGATATTTGGACCTCTTTGAGGCCTTCGTTGCAAAAAGGGGTTTCTTCCTTTCATGCTAGACTAAGAAGAGTTCTCAGTAACTTTTTTGTGTTGTGTGTATTCAACTCACAGAGTTGAACCTTGCTTTAGAGAGAGCAGATTTGAAACACTCTTGCTGTGGCATTTTCAGGTGGAGATTTCAAGCGATTTGAGGACAATTGCAGAAAAGGAAATATCTTCGTATAATAACCAGACAGAATCATTCTCAGAAAGTGCTTTGTGATGTGTGCGTTCCACTCACAGAGTTTAACCTTTCTTTTCATAGAGGAGTTTGGAAACACACTGTTTGTAAAGTCTGCAAGTGGATATATGGACCTGTTTGAGGCCTTCGTTGGAAACGGGATTTCTTCATTGAATGCTAGACGGAAGAAATCTCAGTAAATTCTTTGTGTTGTGTGCATTCAACTCACAGAGTGGAACGTCCCTTTAGACAGAGCAGATTTGAAACACTCTTTTTGCGGAATTTGCAAGTGGAGATTTCTAGCCATTTGATGCCAACAGTAGAAAGGGAAATATCTTCAAATAAAAACCAGACAGAATCATTCTCAGAAAATTCTTTGTGATGTGTGCGTTCAACTCACATAGTTTAACCTTTCTTTTCATAGAGCAGTTTGGGAACACTCTGTTGGTAATGTCTGCAAGTGGATATATGGACCGCTTTGAGGCCTTCGTTGGAAACGGGATTTCTTCATTTCATGCTAGACAGAAGAATTCTCAGTAACTTCTTTGTGCTGTGTGTATTCAACTCACAGAGTGGAACGTCCCTTTACACAGAGCAGATTTGAAACACTCTTTTTGCGGAATTTGCAAGTGGAGATTTCTAGCCATTTGATGCCAACAGTAGAAAGGGAAATATCTTCAAATAAAAACCAGACAGAATCATTCTCAGAAAATTCTTTGTGATGTGTGCCTTCAACTCACAGAGTTTAACCTTTCTTTTCTTAGAGCAGTTTAGAAACACTCTGCTTGTTATGTCTGCAAGTGGATATTTGGACCTCTTTGAGGCCTTCGTTGCAAACGGGGTTTCTTCCTTTCATGCTAGACTAAGAAGAGTTCTCAGTAACTTTTTTGTGTTGTGTGTATTCAACTCACAGAGCTGAACCTTGCTTTAGAGAGAGCAGATTTGAAACACTCTTGCTGTGGCATTTTCAGGTGGAGATTTCAAGCGATTTGAGGACAATTGCAGAAAAGGAAATATCTTCGTATAACAACCAGACAGAATAATTCTCAGAAAGTGCTTTGTGATGTGTGCGTTCAACTCACAGAGTTTAACCTTTCTTTTCATAGAGGAGTTTGGAAACACACTGTTTGTAAAGTCTGCAATTGGATATATGGACCTGTTTGAGGCCTTCGTTGGAAACGGGATTTCTTCATTGAATGCTAGACGGAAGAATTCTCAGTAAATTCTTTGTGTTGTGTGCATTCAACTGACAGAGTGGAACGTCCCTTTAGACAGAGCAGATTTGAAACACCCTTTTTGCGGAATTTGCAAGTGGAGATTTCTAGCCATTTGATGCCAACAGTAGAAAGGGAAATATCTTCAAATAAAAACCAGACAGAATCATTCTCAGAAAATTCTTTGTGATGTGTGCGTTCAACTCACATAGTTTAACCTTTCTTTTCATAGAGCAGTTTGGAAACACTCTGTTTGTAAAGTCTGCAAGTGGATATATGGACCGCATTGAGGCCCTTCGTTGGAAACGGGATTTCTTCATTTCATGCTAGACAGAAGAATTCTCAGTAACTTCTTTGTGCTGTGTGTATTCAACTCACAGAGTGGAACGTCCCTTTGCACAGAGCAGATTTGAAACACTCTTTTTGTGGAATTTGCAAGTGGAGATTTCAAGCGATTTGATGCCAACAGTAGAAAAGGAAATATCTTCAAATAAAAACTAGACAGAATCATTCTCAGAAACTACTTTGTGATGTGTGCCTTCAACTCACAGAGTTTATCCTTTCTTTTCTTAGAGCAGTTTAGAAACACTCTGCTTGTTATGTCTGCAAGTGGATATATGGACCGCATTGAGGCCTTCGTTGCAAACGGGGTTTCTTCCTTTCATGCTAGACTAAGAAGAGTTCTCAGTAACTTTTTTGTGTTGTGTGTATTCAACTCACAGAGTTGAACCTTGCTTTAGAGAGAGCAGATTTGAAACACTCTTGCTGTGGCATTTTCAGGTGGAGATTTCAAGCGATTTGAGGACAATTGCAGAAAAGGAAATATCTTCGTATAATAACCAGACGGAATCATTCTCAGAAAGTGCTTTGTGATGTGTGCGTTCAACTCACAGAGTTTAACCTTTCTTTTCATAGAGGAGTTTGGAAACACACTGTTTGTAAAGTCTGCAATTGGATATATGGACCTGTTTGATGCCTTCGTTGGAAACGGGATTTCTTCATTGAATGCTAGACGGAAGAATTCTCAGTAAATTCTTTGTGTTGTGTGCATTCAACTCACAGAGTGGAACGTCCCTTTAGACAGAGCAGATTTGAAACACTCTTTTTGCGGAATTTGCAAGTGGAGATTTCTAGCCATTTGATGCCAACAGTAGAAAGGGAAATATCTTCAAATAAAAACCAGACAGAATCATTCTCAGAAAATTCTTTGTGATGTGTGCGTTCAACTCACATAGTTTAACCTTTCTTTTCATAGAGCAGTTTGGAAACACTCTGTTTGTAAAGTCTGCAAGTGGATATATGGACCGCATTGAGGCCTTCGTTGGAAACGGGATTTCTTCATTTCATGCTAGACAGAAGAATTCTCAGTAACTTCTTTGTGCTGTGTGTATTCAACTCACAGAGTGGAACGTCACTTTACACAGAGCAGATTTGAAACACTCTTTTTGTGGAGTTTGCAAGTGGAGATTTCAAGCGATTTGATGCCAACAGTAGAAAAGGAAATATCTTCAAATAAAAACTAGACAGAATCATTCTCAGAAACTACTTTGTGATGTGTGCCTTCAACTCACAGAGTTTAACCTTTCTTTTCTTAGAGCAGTTTAGAAACACTCTGCTTGTTATGTCTGCAAGTGGATATTTGGACCTCTTTGAGGCCTTCGTTGCAAACGGGGTTTCTTCCTTTCATGCTAGACTAAGAAGAGTTCTCAGTAACTTTTTTGTGTTGTGTGTATTCAACTCACAGAGTTGAACCTTGCTTTAGAGACAGCAGATTTGAAACACTCTTGCTGTGGCATTTTCAGGTGGAGATTTCAAGCGATTTGAGGACAATTGCAGAAAAGGAAATATCTTCGTATAATAACCAGACAGAATCATTCTCAGAAAGTGCTTTGTGATGTGTGCGTTCAACTCACAGAGTTTAACCTTTCTTTTCATAGAGGAGTTTGGAAACACACTGTTTGTAAAGTCTGCAATTGGATATATGGACCTGTTTGAGGCCTCCGTTGGAAACGGGATTTCTTCATTGAATGCTAGACGGAAGAATTCTCAGTAAATTCTTTGTGTTGTGTGCATTCAACTCACAGAGTGGAACGTCCCTTTAGACAGAGCAGATTTGAAACACTCTTTTTGCGGAATTTGCAAGTGGAGATTTCTAGCCATTTGATGCCAACAGTAGAAAGGGAAATATCTTCAAATAAAAACCAGACAGAATCATTCTCAGAAAATTCTTTGTGATGTGTGCGTTCAACTCACATAGTTTAACCTTTCTTTTCATAGAGCAGTTTGGAAACACTCTGTTTGTAAAGTCTGCAAGTGGATATATGGACCGCATTGAGGCCTTCGTTGGAAACGGGATTTCTTCATTTCATGCTAGACAGAAGAATTCTCAGTAACTTCTTTGTGCTGTGTGTATTCAACTCACAGAGTGGAACGTCCCTTTGCACAGAGCAGATTTGAAACACTCTTTTTGTGGAATTTGCAAGTGGAGATTTCAAGCGATATGATGCCAACAGTAGAAAAGGAAATATCTTCAAATAAAAACTAGACAGAATCATTCTCAGAAACTACTTTGTGATGTGTGCCTTCAACTCACAGAGTTTAACCTTTCTTTTCTTAGAGCAGTTTAGAAACACTCTGCTTGTTATGTCTGCAAGTGGATATTTGGACCTCTTTGAGGCCTTCGTTGCAAACGGGGTTTCTTCCTTTCATGCTAGACTAAGAAGAGTTCTCAGTAACTTTTTTGTGTTGTGTGTATTCAACTCACAGAGTTGAACCTTGCTTTAGAGAGAGCAGATTTGAAACACTCTTGCTGTGGCATTTTCAGGTGGAGATTTCAACCGATTTGAGGACAATTGCAGAAAAGGAAATATCTTCGTATAACAACCAGACAGAATCATTCTCAGAAAGTGCTTTGTGATGTGTGCGTTCAACTCACAGAGTTTAACCTTTCTTTTCATAGAGGAGTTTGGAAACACACTGTTTGTAAAGTCTGCAAGTGGATATATGGACCTGTTTGAGGCCTTCGTTGGAAACGGGATTTCTTCATTGAATGCTAGACGGAAGAATTCTCAGTAAATTCTTTGTGTTGTGTGCATTCAACTCACAGAGTGGAACGTCCCTTTAGACAGAGCAGATTTGAAACACTCTTTTTGCGGAATTTGCAAGTGGAGATTTCTAGCCATTTGATGCCAACAGTAGAAAGGGAAATATCTTCAAATAAAAACCAGACAGAATCATTCTCAGAAAATTCTTTGTGATGTGTGCGTTCAACTCACATAGTTTAACCTTTCTTTTCATAGAGCAGTTTGGAAACACTCTGTTTGTAAAGTCTGCAAGTGGATATATGGACCGCATTGAGGCCTTCGTTGGAAACGGGATTTCTTCATTTCATGCTAGACAGAAGAATTCTCAGTAACTTCTTTGTGCTGTGTGTATTCAACTCACAGAGTGGAACGTCCCTTTGCACAGAGCAGATTTGAAACACTCTTTTTGTGGAGTTTGCAAGTGGAGATTTCAAGCGATTTGATGCCAACAGTAGAAAAGGAAATATCTTCAAATAAAAACTAGACAGAATCATTCTCAGAAACTACTTTGTGATGTGTGCCTTCAACTCACAGAGTTTAACCTTTCTTTTCTTAGAGCAGTTTAGAAACACTCTGCTTGTTATGTCTGCAAGTGGATATTTGGACCTCTTTGAGGCCTTCGTTGCAAACGGGTTTTCTTCCTTTCATGCTAGACTAAGAAGAGTTCTCAGTAACTTTTTTGTGTTGTGTGTATTCAACTCACAGAGTTGAACCTTGCTTTAGAGAGAGCAGATTTGAAACACTCTTGCTGTGGCATTTTCAGGTGGAGATTTCAAGCGATTTGAGGACAATTGCAGAAAAGGAAATATCTTCGTATAATAACCAGACAGAATCATTCTCAGAAAGTGCTTTGTGATGTGTGCGTTCCACTCACAGAGTTTAACCTTTCTTTTCATAGAGGAGTTTGGAAACACACTGTTTGTAAAGTCTGCAAGTGGATATATGGACCTGTTTGAGGCCTTCGTTGGAAACGGGATTTCTTCATTGAATGCTAGACGGAAGAATTCTCAGTAAATTCTTTGTGTTGTGTGCATTCAACTCACAGAGTGGAACGTCCCTTTAGACAGAGCAGATTTGAAACACTCTTTTTGCGGAATTTGCAAGTGGAGATTTCTAGCCATTTGATGCCAACAGTAGAAAGGGAAATATCTTCAAATAAAAACCAGACAGAATCATTCTCAGAAAATTCTTTGTGATGTGTGCGTTCAACTCACATAGTTTAACCTTTCTTTTCATAGAGCAGTTTGGAAACACTCTGTTTGTAAAGTCTGCAAGTGGATATATGGACCGCATTGAGGCCTTCGTTGGAAACGGGATTTCTTCATTTCATGCTAGACAGAAGAATTCTCAGTAACTTCTTTGTGCTGTGTGTATTCAACTCACAGAGTGGAACGTCCCTTTGCACAGAGCAGATTTGAAACACTCTTTTTGTGGAATTTGCAAGTGGAGATTTCAAGCGATTTGATGCCAACAGTAGAAAAGGAAATATCTTCAAATAAAAACTAGACAGAATCATTCTCAGAAACTACTTTGTGATGTGTGCCTTCAACACACAGAGTTTAACCTTTCTTTTCTTAGAGCAGTTTAGAAACACTCTGCTTGTTATGTCTGCAAGTGGATATTTGGACCTCTTTGAGGCCTTCGTTGCAAACGGGGTTTCTTCCTTTAATGCTAGACTAAGAAGAGTTCTCAGTAACTTTTCTGTGTTGTGTGTATTCAACTCACAGAGTTGAACCTTGCTTTAGAGAGAGCAGATTTGAAACACTCTTGCTGTGGCATTTTCAGGTGGAGATTTCAAGCGTTTTGAGGACAATTGCAGAAAAGGAAATATCTTCGTATAATAACCAGACAGAATCATTCTCAGAAAGTGCTTTGTGATGTGTGGGTTCAACTCACAGAGTTTAACCTTTCTTTTCATAGAGGAGTTTGGAAACACACTGTTTGTAAAGTCTGCAAGTGGATATATGGACCTGTTTGAGGCCTTCGTTGGAAACGGGATTTCTTCATTGAATGCTAGGCGGAAGAATTCTCAGTAAATTCTTTGTGTGGTGTGCATTCAACTCACAGAGTGGAACGTCCCTTTAGACAGAGCAGATTTGAAACACTCTTTTTGCGGAATTTGCAAGTGGAGATTTCTAGCCATTTGATGCCAACAGTAGAAAGGGAAATATCTTCAAATAAAAACCAGACAGAATCATTCTCAGAAAATTCTTTGTGATGTGTGCGTTCAACTCACATAGTTTAACCTTTCTTTTCATAGAGCAGTTTGGAAACACTCTGTTTGTTAAGTCTGCAAGTGGATATATGGACCGCATTGAGGCCTTCGTTGGAAACGGGATTTCTTCATTTCATGCTAGACAGAAGAATTCTCAGTAACTTCTTTGTGCTGTGTGTATTCAACTCACAGAGTGGAACGTCCCTTTGCACAGAGCAGATTTGAAACACTCTTTTTGTGGAATTTGCAAGTGGAGATTTCAAGCGATTTGATGCCAACAGTAGAAAAGGAAATATCTTCAAATAAAAACTAGACAGAATCATTCTCAGAAACTACTTTGTGATGTGTGCCTTCAACTCACAGAGTTTAACCTTTCTTTTCTTAGAGCAGTTTAGAAACACTCTGCTTGTTATGTCTGCAAGTGGATATTTGGACCTCTTTGAGGCCTTCGTTGCAAACGGGGTTTCTTCCTTTCATGCTAGACTAAGAAGAGTTCTCAGTAACTTTTTTGTGTTGTGTGTATTCAACTCACAGAGTTGAACCTTGCTTTAGAGAGAGCAGATTTGAAACACTCTTGCTGTGGCATTTTCAGGTGGAGATTTCAAGCGATTTGAGGACAATTGCAGAAAAGGAAATATCTTCGTATAATAACCAGACAGAATCATTCTCAGAAAGTGCTTTGAGATGTGTGCGTTCAACTCACAGAGTTTAACATTTCTTTTCATAGAGGAGTTTGGAAACACACTGTTTGTAAAGTCTGCAATTGGATATATGGACCTGTTTGAGGCCTTCGTTGGAAACGGGATTTCTTCATTGAATGCTAGACGGAAGAATTCTCAGTAAATTCTTTGTGTTGTGTGCATTCAACTCACAGAGTGGAACGTCCCTTTAGACAGAGCAGATTTGAAACACTCTTTTTGCGGAATTTGCAAGTGGAGATTTCTAGCCATTTGATGCCAACAGTAGAAAGGGAAATATCTTCAAATAAAAACCAGACAGAATCATTCTCAGAAAATTCTTTGTGATGTGTGCGTTCAACTCACATAGTTTAACCTTTCTTTTCATAGAGCAGTTTGGAAACACTCTGTTTGTAAAGTCTGCAAGTGGATATATGGACCGCATTGAGGCCTTCGTTGGAAACGGGATTTCTTCATTTCATGCTAGACAGAAGAATTCTCAGTAACTTCTTTGTGCTGTGTGTATTCAACTCACAGAGTGGAACGTCCCTTTACACAGAGCAGATTTGAAACACTCTTTTTGTGGAGTTTGCAAGTGGAGATTTCAAGCGATTTGATGCCAACAGTAGAAAAGGAAATATCTTCAAATAAAAACTAGACAGAATCATTCTCAGAAACTACTTTGTGATGTGTGCCTTCAACTCACAGAGTTTAACCTTTCTTTTCTTAGAGCACTTTAGAAACACTCTGCTTGTTATGTCTGCAAGTGGATATTTGGACCTCTTTGAGGCCTTCGTTGCAAACGGGGTTTCTTCCTTTCATGCTAGACTAAGAAGAGTTCTCAGTAACTTTTTTGTGTTGTGTGTATTCAACTCACAGAGTTGAACCTTACTTTAGAGAGAGCAGATTTGAAACACTCTTGCTGTGGCATTTTCAGGTGGAGATTTCAAGCGATTTGAGGACAATTGCAGAAAAGGAAATATCTTCGTATAATAACCAGACAGAATCATTCTCAGAAAGTGCTTTGTGATGTGTGCGTTCCACTCACAGAGTTTAAACTTTCTTTTCATAGAGGAGTTTGGAAACACACTGTTTGTAAAGTCTGCAAGTGGATATATGGACCTGTTTGAGGCCTTCGTTGGAAACGGGATTTCTTCATTGAATGCTAGACGGAAGAATTCTCAGTAAATTCTTTGTGTTGTGTGCATTCAACTGACAGAGTGGAACGTCCCTTTAGACAGAGCAGATTTGAAACACTCTTTTTGCGGAATTTGCAAGTGGAGATTTCTAGCCATTTGATGCCAACAGTAGAAAGGGAAATATCTTCAAATAAAAACCAGACAGAATCATTCTCAGAAAATTCTTTGTGATGTGTGCGTTCAACTCACATAGTTTAACCTTTCTTTTCATAGAGCAGTTTGGAAACACTCTGTTTGTAAAGTCTGCAAGTGGATATATGGACCGCATTGAGGCCTTCGTTGGAAACGGGATTTCTTCATTTCATGCTAGACAGAAGAATTCTCAGTAACTTCTTTGTGCTGTGTGTATTCAACTCACAGAGTGGAACGTCCCTTTACACAGAGCAGATTTGAAACACTCTTTTTGTGGAGTTTGCAAGTGGAGATTTCAAGCGATTTGATGCCAACAGTAGAAAAGGAAATATCTTCAAATAAAAACTAGACAGAATCATTCTCAGAAACTACTTTGTGATGTGTGCCTTCAACTCACAGAGTTTAACCTTTCTTTTCTTAGAGCAGCTTAGAAACACTCTGCTTGTTATGTCTGCAAGTGGATATTTGGACCTCTTTGAGGCCTTCGTTGCAAACGGGGTTTCTTCCTTTAATGCTAGACTAAGAAGAGTTCTCAGTAACTTTTTTGTGTTGTGTGTATTCAACTCACAGAGTTGAACCTTGCTTTAGAGAGAGCAGATTTGAAACACTCTTGCTGTGGCATTTTCAGGTGGAGATTTCAAGCGATTTGAGGACAATTGCAGAAAAGGAAATATCTTCGTATAACAACCAGACAGAATCATTCTCAGAAAGTGCTTTGTGATGTGTGCAGTTCCACTCACAGAGTTTAACCTTTCTTTTCATAGAGGAGTTTGGAAACACACTGTTTGTAAAGTCTGCAATTGGATATATGGACCTCTTTGAGGCCTTCGTTGGAAACGGGATTTCTTCATTGACTGCTAGACGGAAGAATTCTCAGTAAATTCTTTGTGTTGTGTGTATTCAACTGACAGAGTGGAACGTCCCTTTAGACAGAGCAGATTTGAAACACTCTTTTTGCGGAATTTGCAAGTGGAGATTTCTAGCCATTTGATGCCAACAGTAGAAAGGGAAATATCTTCAAATAAAAACCAGACAGAATCATTCTCAGAAAATTCTTTGTGATGCGTGCGTTCAACTCACATAGTTTAACCTTTCTTTTCATAGAGCAGTTTGGAAACACTCTGTTGGTAATATCTGCAAGTGGATATATGGACCGCTTTGAGGCCTTCGTTGGAAACGGGATTTCTTCATTTCATGCTAGACAGAAGAATTCTCAGTAACTTCTTTGTGTTGTGTGTATTCAACTCACAGATTGGAACGTCCCTTTACACAGAGCAGATTTGAAACACTCTTTTTGTGGAATTTGCAAGTGGAGATTTCAAGCGATTTGATGCCAACAGTAGAAAAGGAAATATCTTCAAATAAAAACTAGACAGAATCATTCTCAGAAAATTCTTTGTGATGTGTGCGTTCAGCTCACATAGTTTAACCTTTCTTTTCATAGAGCAGTTTCGAAACACACTGTTTGTAAAATCTTCAAGTGGATATATTGACCGCTTTGAGGCATTCGTTGGAAACGGGATTTCTTCAGTTCATGCTAGACAGAAGAATTCTCAGTAAATTCTTTGTGTTGTGTGCATTCAACTCACAGAGTGGAACGTCCCTTTAGACAGAGCAGATTTGAAACACTCTTTTTGCGGAATTTGCAAGTGGAGATTTCTAGCCATTTGATGCGAACAGTAGAAAGGGAAATATCTTCAAATAAAAACCAGACAGAATCATTCTCAGAAAATTCTTTGTGATGTGTGCGTTCAACTCACATAGTTTAACCTTTCTTTTCATAGAGCAGTTTGGAAACACTCTGTTTGTAAAGTCTGCAAGTGGATATATGGACCGCATTGAGGCCTTCGTTGGAAACGGGATTTCTTCATTTCATGCTAGACAGAAGAATTCTCAGTAACTTCTTTGTGCTGTGTGTATTCAACTCACAGAGTGGAACGTTCCTTTACACAGAGCAGATTTGAAACACTCTTTTTGTGGAATTTCCAAGTGGAGATTTCAAGCGATTTGATGCCAACAGTAGAAAAGGAAATATCTTCAAATAAAAACTAGACAGAATCATTCTCAGAAACTACTTTGTGATGTGTGCCTTCAACTCACAGAGTTTAACCTTTCTTTTCTTAGAGCAGTTTAGAAACACTCTGCTTGTTATGTCTGCAAGTGGATATTTGGACCTCTTTGAGGCCTTCGTTGCAAACGGGGTTTCTTCCTTTCATGCTAGACTAAGAAGAGTTCTCAGTAACTTTTTTGTGTTGTGTGTATTCAACTAACAGAGTTGAACCTTGCTTTAGAGAGAGCAGATATGAAACACTCTTGCTGTGGCATTTTCAGGTGGAGATTTCAAGCGATTTGAGGACAATTGCAGAAAAGGAAATATCTTCGTATAATAACCAGACAGAATCATTCTCAGAAAGTGCTTTGTGATGTGTGCGTTCAACTCACAGAGTTTAACCTTTCTTTTCATAGAGGAGTTTGGAAACACACTGTTTGTAAAGTCTGCAATTGGATATATAGACCTGTTTGAGGCCTCCGTTGGAAACGGGATTTCTTCATTGAATGCTAGACGGAAGAATTCTCAGTAAATTCTTTGTGTTGTGTGCATTCAACTCACAGAGTGGAACGTCCCTTTAGACAGAGCAGATTTGAAACACTCTTTTTGCGGAATTTGCAAGTGGAGATTTCTAGCCATTTGATGCCAACAGTAGAAAGGGAAATATCTTCAAATAAAAACCAGACAGAATCATTCTCAGAAAATTCTTTGTGATGTGTGCGTTCAACTCACATAGTTTAACCTTTCTTTTCATAGAGCAGTTTGGAAACACTCTGTTTGTAAAGTCTGCAAGTGGATATATGGACCGCATTGAGGCCTTCGTTGGAAACGGGATTTCTTCATTTCATGCTAGACAGAAGAATTCTCAGTAACTTCTTTGTGCTGTGTGTATTCAACTCACAGAGTGGAACGTCCCTTTGCACAGAGCAGATTTGAAACACTCTTTTTGTGGAGTTTGCAAGTGGAGATTTCAAGCGATTTGATGCCAACAGTAGAAAAGGAAATATCTTCAAATAAAAACTAGACAGAATCATTCTCAGAAACTACTTTGTGATGTGTGCCTTCAACTCACAGAGTTTAACCTTTCTTTTCTTAGAGCAGTTTAGAAACACTCTGCTTGTTATATCTGCAAGTGGATATTTGGACCTCTTTGAGGCCTTCGTTGCAAACGGGGTTTCTTCCTTTCATGCTAGACTAAGAAGAGTTCTCAGTAACTTTTTTGTGTTGTGTGTATTCAACTCACAGAGTTGAACCTTGCTTTAGAGAGAGCAGATTTGAAACACTCTTGCTGTGGCATTTTCAGGTGGAGATTTCAAGCGATTTGAGGACAATTGCAGAAAAAGAAATATCTTCGTATAATAACCAGACAGAATCGTTCTCAGAAAGTGCTTTGTGATGTGTGCGTTCCACTCACAGAGTTTAACCTTTCTTTTCATAGAGGAGTTTGGAAACACACTGTTTGTAAAGTCTGCAAGTGGATATATGGACCTGTTTGAGGCCTTCGTTGGAAACGGGATTTCTTCATTGAATGCTAGACGGAAGAATTCTCAGTAAATTCTTTGTGTTGTGTGCATTCAACTCACAGAGTGGAACGTCCCTTTAGACAGAGCAGATTTGAAACACTCTTTTTGCGGAATTTGCAAGTGGAGATTTCTAGCCATTTGATGCCAACAGTAGAAAGGGAAATATCTTCAAATAAAAACCAGACAGAATCATTCTCAGAAAATTCTTTGTGATGTGTGCGTTCAACTCACATAGTTTAACCTTTCTTTTCATAGAGCAGTTTGGAAACACTCTGTTTGTAAAGTCTGCAAGTGGATATATGGACCGCATTGAGGCCTTCGTTGGAAACGGGATTTCTTCATTTCATGCTAGACAGAAGAATTCTCAGTAACTTCTTTGTGCTGTGTGTATTCAACTCACAGAGTGGAACGTCCCTTTGCACAGAGCAGATTTGAAACACTCTTTTTGTGGAGTTTGCAAGTGGAGATTTCAAGCGATTTGATGCCAACAGTAGAAAAGGAAGTATCTTCAAATAAAAACTAGACAGAATCATTCTCAGAAACTACTTTGTGATGTGTGCCTTCAACTCACAGAGTTTAACCTTTCTTTTCTTAGAGCAGTTTAGAAACACTCTGCTTGTTATGTCTGCAAGTGGATATTTGGACCTCTTTGAGGCCTTCGTTGCAAACGGGGTTTCTTCCTTTCATGCTAGACTAAGAAGAGTTCTCAGTAACTTTTTTGTGTTGTGTGTATTCAACTCACAGAGTTGAACCTTGCTTTAGAGAGAGCAGATTTGAAACACTCTTGCTGTGACATTTTCAGGTGGAGATTTCAAGCGATTTGAGGACAATTGCAGAAAAGGAAATATCTTCGTATAATAACCAGACAGAATCATTCTCAGAAAGTGCTTTGTGATGTGTGCGTTCCACTCACAGAGTTTAACCTTTCTTTTCATAGAGGAGTTTGGAAACACACTGTTTGTAAAGTCTGCAAGTGGATATATGGACCTGTTTGAGGCCTTCGTTGGAAACGGGATTTCTTCATTGACTGCTAGACGGAAGAATTCTCAGTAAATTCTTTGTGTTGTGTGCATTCAACTCACAGAGTGGAACGTCCCTTTAGACAGAGCAGATTTGAAACACTCTTTTTGCGGAATTTGCAAGTGGAGATTTCTAGCCATTTGATGCCAACAGTAGAAAGGGAAATATCTTCAAATAAAAACCAGACAGAATCATTCTCAGAAAATTCTTTGTGATGTGTGCGTTCAACTCACATAGTTTAACCTTTCTTTTCATAGAGCAGTTTGGAAACACTCTGTTTGTAAAGTCTGCAAGTGGATATATGGACCGCATTGAGGCCTTCGTTGGAAACGGGATTTCTTCATTTCATGCTAGACAGAAGAATTCTCAGTAACTTCTTTGTGCTGTGTGTATTCAACTCACAGAGTGGAACATCCCTTTGCACAGAGCAGATTTGAAACACTCTTTTTGTGGAGTTTGCAAGTGGAGATTTCAAGCGATTTGATGCCAACAGTAGAAAAGGAAATATCTTCAAATAAAAACTAGACAGAATCATTCTCAGAAACTACTTTGTGATGTGTGCCTTCAACTCACAGAGTTTAACCTTTCTTTTCTTAGAGCAGTTTAGAAACACTCTGCTTGTTATGTCTGCAAGTGGATATTTGGACCTCTTTGAGGCCTTCGTTGCAAACGGGGTTTCTTCCTTTCATGCTAGACTAAGAAGAGTTCTCAGTAACTTTTTTGTGTTGTGTGTATTCAACTCACAGAGTTGAACCTTGCTTTAGAGAGAGCAGATTAGAAACACTCTTGCTGTGGCATTTTCAGGTGGAGATTTCAAGCGATTTGAGGACAATTGCAGAAAAGGAAATATCTTCGGTATAACAACCAGACAGAATCATTCTCAGAAAGTGCTTTTTGATGTGTGCGTTCAACTCACAGAGTTTAACCTTTCTTTTCATAGAGGAGTTTGGAAACACACTGTTTGTAAAGTCTGCAATTGGATATATGGACCTGTTTGAGGCCTTCGTTTGAAACGGGATTTCTTCATTGAATGCTAGACGGAAGAATTCTCAGTAAATTCTTTGTGTTGTGTGCATTCAACTCACAGAGTGGAACGTCCCTTTAGACAGAGCAGATTTGAAACACTCTTTTTGCGGAATTTGCAAGTGGAGATTTCTAGCCATTTGATGCCAACAGTAGAAAGGGAAATATCTTCAAATAAAAACCAGACAGAATCATTCTCAGAAAATTCTTTGTGATGTGTGCGTTCAACTCACATAGTTTAACCTTTCTTTTCATAGAGCAGTTTGGAAACACTCTGTTTGTAAAGTCTGCAAGTGGATATATGGACCGCATTGAGGCCTTCGTTGGAAACGGGATTTCTTCATTTCATGCTAGACAGAAGAATTCTCAGTAACTTCTTTGTGCTGTGTGTATTCAACTCACAGAGTGGAATGTCCCTTTACACAGAGCAGATTTGAAACACTCTTTTTGTGGAGTTTGCAAGTGGAGATTTCAAGCGATTTGATGCCAACAGTAGAAAAGGAAATATCTTCAAATAAAAACTAGACAGAATCATTCTCAGAAACTACTTTGTGATGTGTGCCTTCAACTCACAGAGTTTAACCTTTCTTTTCTTAGAGCAGTTTAGAAACACTCTGCTTGTTATGTCTGCAAGTGGATATTTGGACCTCTTTGAGGCCTTCGTTGCAAACGGGGTTTCTTCCTTTCATGCTAGACTAAGAAGAGTCCTCAGTAACTTTTTTGTGTTGTGTGTATTCAACTCACAGAGTTGAACCTTGCTTTAGAGAGAGCAGATTTGAAACACTCTTGCTGTGGCATTTTCAGGTGGAGATTTCAAGCGATTTGAGGACAACTGCAGAAAAGGAAATATCTTCGTATAATAACCAGACAAAATCATTCTCAGAAAGTGCTTTGTGATGTGTGCGTTCAACTCACAGAGTTTAACCTTTCTTTTCATAGAGGAGTTTGGAAACACACTGTTTGTAAAGTCTGCAAGTGGATATATGGACCTGTTTGAGGCCTTCGTTGGAAACGGGATTTCTTCATTGAATGCTAGACGGAAGAATTCTCAGTAAATTCTTTGTGTGGTGTGCATTCAACTCACAGAGTGGAACGTCCCTTTAGACAGAGCAGATTTGAAACACTATTTTTGCGGAATTTGCAAGTGGAGATTTCTAGCCATTTGATGCCAACAGTAGAAAGGGAAATATCTTCAAATAAAAACCAGACAGAATCATTCTCAGAAAATTCTTTGTGATGTGTGCGTTCAACTCACATAGTTTAACCTTTCTTTTCATAGAGCAGTTTGGAAACACTCTGTTTGTAAAGTCTGCAAGTGGATATATGGACCGCATTGAGGCCTTCGTTGGAAACGGGATTTCTTCATTTCATACTAGACAGAAGAATTCTCAGTAACTTCTTTGTGCTGTGTGTATTCAACTCACAGAGTGGAACGTCCCTTTGCACAGAGCAGATTTGAAACACTCTTTTTGTGGAATTTGCAAGTGGAGATTTCAAGCGATTTGATGCCAACAGTAGAAAAGGAAATATCTTCAAATAAAAACTAGACAGAATCATTCTCAGAAACTACTTTGTGATGTGTGCCTTCAACTCACAGAGTTTAACCTTTCTTTTCTTAGAGCAGTTTAGAAACACTCTGCTTGTTATGTCTGCAAGTGGATATTTGGACCTCTTTGAGGCCTTCGTTGCAAACGGGGTTTCTTCCTTTAATGCTAGACTAAGAAGAGTTCTCAGTAACTTTTTTGTGTTGTGTGTATTCAACTCACAGAGTTGAACCTTGCTTTAGAGAGAGCAGATTTGAAACACTCTTGCTGTGGCATTTTCAGGTGGAGATTTCAAGCGATTTGAGGACAATTGCAGAAAAGGAAATATCTTCGTATAACAACCAGACAGAATCATTCTCAGAAAGTGCTTTGTGATGTGTGCGTTCAACTCACAGAGTTTAACCTTTCTTTTCATAGAGGAGTTTGGAAACACACTGTTTGTAAAGTCTGCAATTGGATATATGGACCTGTTTGAGGCCTTCGTTTGAAACGGGATTTCTTCATTGAATGCTAGACGGAAGAATTCTCAGTAAATTCTTTGTGTTGTGTGCATTCAACTCACAGAGTGGAACGTCCCTTTAGACAGAGCAGATTTGAAACACTCTTTTTGCGGAATTTGCAAGTGGAGATTTCTAGCCATTTGATGCCAACAGTAGAAAGGGAAATATCTTCAAATAAAAACCAGACAGAATCATTCTCAGAAAATTCTTTGTGATGTGTGCGTTCAACTCACATAGTTTAACCTTTCTTTTCATAGAGCAGTTTGGAAACACTCTGTTTGTAAAGTCTGCAAGTGGATATATGGACCGCATTGAGGCCTTCGTTGGAAACGGGATTTCTTCATTTCATGCTAGACAGAAGAATTCTCAGTAACTTCTTTGTGCTGTGTGTATTCAACTCACAGAGTGGAACGTCCCTTTGCACAGAGCAGATTTGAAACACTCTTTTTGTGGAGTTTGCAAGTGGAGATTTCAAGCGATTTGATGCCAACAGTAGAAAAGGAAATATCTTCAAATAAAAACTAGACAGAATCATTCTCAGAAACTACTTTGTGATGTGTGCCTTCAACTCACAGAGTTTAACCTTTCTTTTCTTAGAGCAGTTTAGAAACACTCTGCTTGTTATGTCTGCAAGTGGATATTTGGACCTCTTTGAGGCCTTCGTTGCAAACGGGGTTTCTTCCTTTCATGCTAAACTAAGAAGAGTTCTCAGTAACTTTTTTGTGTTGTGTGTATTCAACTCACAGAGTTGAACCTTGCTTTAGAGAGAACAGATTTGAAACACTCTTGCTGTGGCATTTTCAGGTGGAGATTTCAAGCGATTTGAGGACAATTGCAGAAAAGGAAATATCTTCGTATAACAACCAGACAGAATCATTCTCAGAAAGTGCTTTGTGATGTGTGCGTTCCACTCACAGAGTTTAACCTTTCTTTTCATAGAGGAGTTTGGAAACACACTGTTTGTAAAGTCTGCAAGTGGATATATGGACCTGTTTGAGGCCTTCGTTGGAAACGGGATTTCTTCATTGAATGCTAGACGGAAGAATTCTCAGTAAATTCTTTGTGTTGTGTGCATTCAACTCACAGAGTGGAACGTCCCTTTAGACAGAGCAGATTTGAAACACTCTTTTTGCGGAATTTGCAAGTGGAGATTTCTAGCCATTTGATGCCAACAGTAGAAAGGGAAATATCTTCAAATAAAAACCAGACAGAATCATTCTCAGAAAATTCTTTGTGATGTGTGCGTTCAACTCACATAGTTTAACCTTTCTTTTCATAGAGCAGTTTGGAAACACTCTGTTTGTAAAGTCTGCAAGTGGATATATGGACCGCATTGAGGCCTTCGTTGGAAACGGGATTTCTTCATTTCATGCTAGACAGAAGAATTCTCAGTAACTTCTTTGTGCTGTGTGTATTCAACTCACAGAGTGGAACGTCCCTTTACACAGAGCAGATTTGAAACACTCTTTTTGTGGAGTTTGCAAGTGGAGATTTCAAGCGATTTGATGCCAACAGTAGAAAAGGAAATATCTTCAAATAAAAACTAGACAGAATCATTCTCAGAAACTACTTTGTGATGTGTGCCTTCAACTCACAGAGTTTAACCTTTCTTTTCTTAGAGCAGTTTAGAAACACTCTGCTTGTTATGTCTGCAAGTGGATATTTGGACCTCTTTGAGGCCTTCGTTGCAAACGGGGTTTCTTCCTTTCATGCTAGACTAAGAAGAGTTCTCAGTAACTTTTTTGTGTTGTGTGTATTCAACTCACAGAGTTGAACCTTGCTTTAGAGAGAGCAGATTTGAAACACTCTTGCTGTGGCATTTTCAGGTGGAGATTTCAAGCGATTTGAGGACAATTGCAGAAAAGGAAATATCTTCGTATAATAACCAGACAGAATCATTCTCAGAAAGTGCTTTGTGATGTGTGCGTTCAACTCACAGAGTTTAACCTTTCTTTTCATAGAGGAGTTTGGAAACACACTGTTTGTAACGTCTGCAAGTGGATATATGGACCTGTTTGAGGCCTTCGTTGGAAACGGGATTTCTTCATTGAATGCTAGACGGAAGAATTCTCAGTAAATACTTTGTGTTGTGCGCATTCAACTGACAGAGTGGAACGTCCCTTTAGACAGAGCAGATTTGAAACACTCTTTTTGCGGAATTTGCAAGTGGAGATTTCTAGCCATTTGATGCCAACAGTAGAAAGGGAAATATCTTCAAATAAAAACCAGACAGAATCATTCTCAGAAAATTCTTTGTGATGTGTGCGTTCAACTCACATAGTTTAACCTTTCTTTTCATAGAGCAGTTTGGAAACACTCTGTTTGTAAAGTCTGCAAGTGGATCTATGGACCGCATTGAGGCCTTCGTTGGAAACGGGATTTCTTCATTTCATGCTAGACAGAAGAATTCTCAGTAACTTCTTTGTGCTGTGTGTATTCAACTCACAGAGTGGAACGTCCCTTTACACAGAGCAGATTTGAAACACTCTTTTTGTGGAATTTGCAAGTGGAGATTTCAAGCGATTTGATGCCAACAGTAGAAAAGGAAATATCTTCAAATAAAAACTAGACAGAATCATTCTCAGAAACTACTTTGTGATGTGTGCCTTCAACTCACAGAGTTTAACCTTTCTTTTCTTAGAGCAGTTTAGAAACACTCTGCTTGTTATGTCTGCAAGTGGATATTTGGACCTCTTTGAGGCCTTCGTTGCAAACGGGGTTTCTTCCTTTCATGCTAGACTAAGAAAGAGTTCTCAGTAACTTTTTTGTGTTGTGTGTATTCAACTCACAGAGTTGAACCTTGCTTTAGAGAGAGCAGATTTGAAACACTCTTGCTGTGGCATTTTCAGGTGGAGATTTCAAGCGATTTGAGGACAATTGCAGAAAAGGAAATATCTTCGTATAATAACCAGACAGAATCATTATCAGAAAGTGCTTTGTGATGTGTGCATTCAACTCACAGAGTTAACCTTTCTTTTCATAAAGGAGTTTGGAAACACACTGTTTGTAAAGTCTGCAATTGGATATATGGACCTGTTTGAGGCCTTCGTTGGAAACGGGATTTCTTCATTGAATGCTAGACGGAAGAATTCTCAGTAAATTCTTTGTGTTGTGTGCATTCAACTCACAGAGTGGAACGTCCCTTTAGACAGAGCAGATTTGAAACACTCTTTTTGCGGAATTTGCAAGTGGAGATTTCTAGCCATTTGATGCCAACAGTAGAAAGGGAAATATCTTCAAATAAAAACCAGACAGAATCATTCTCAGAAAATTCTTTGTGATGTGTGCGTTCAACTCACATAGTTTAACCTTTCTTTTCATAGAGCAGTTTGGAAACACTCTGTTTGTAAAGTCTGCAAGTGGATATATGGACCGCATTGAGGCCTTCGTTGGAAACGGGATTTCTTCATTTCATGCTAGACAGAAGAATTCTCAGTAACTTCTTTGTGCTGTGTGTATTCAACTCACAGAGTGGAACGTCCCTTTGCACAGAGCAGATTTGAAACACTCTTTTTGTGGAGTTTGCAAGTGGAGATTTCAAGCGATTTGATGCCAACAGTAGAAAAGGAAATATCTTCAAATAAAAACTAGACAGAATCATTCTCAGAAACTAGTTTGTGATGTGTGCCTTCAACTCACAGAGTTTAACCTTTCTTTTCTTAGAGCAGTTTAGAAACACTCTGCTTGTTATGTCTGCAAGTGGATATTTGGACCTCTTTGAGGCCTTCGTTGCAAACGGGGTTTCTTCCTTTCATGCTAGACTAAGAAGAGTTCTCAGTAACTTTTCCGTGTTGTGTGTATTCAACTCACAGAGTTGAACCTTGCTTTAGAGAGAGCAGATTTGAAACACTCTTGCTGTGGCATTTTCA
The DNA here is from genome assembly GCF_000001405.40 of Homo sapiens. Lineage (NCBI taxonomy): Eukaryota > Metazoa > Chordata > Mammalia > Primates > Hominidae > Homo > Homo sapiens. The sequence continues at coordinate 60,453,561 of NC_000007.14, forward strand.
GGTGGAGATTTCAAGCGTTTTGAGGACAATTGCAGAAAAGGAAATATGCTTCGTATAATAACCAGACAGAATCATTCTCAGAAAGTGCTTTGTGATGTGTGCGTTCCACTCACAGAGTTTAACCTTTCTTTTCATAGAGGAGTTTGGAAACACACTGTTTGTAAAGTCTGCAAGTGGATATATGGACCTCTTTGAGGCCTTCGTTGGAAACGGTATTTCTTCATTGAATGCTAGACGGAAGAATTCTCAGTAAATACTTTGTGTTGTGTGCATTCAACTGACAGAGTGGAACGTCCCTTTAGACAGAGCAGATTTGAAACACTCTTTTTGCGGAATTTGCAAGTGGAGATTTCTAGCCATTTGATGCCAACAGTAGAAAGGGAAATATCTTCCAATAAAAACCAGACAGAATCATTCTCAGAAAATTCTTTGTGATGTGTGCGTTCAACTCACATAGTTTAACCTTTCTTTTCATAGAGCAGTTTGGAAACACTCTGTTTGTAAAGTCTGCAAGTGGATATATGGACCTGTTTGAGGCCTTCGTTGGAAACGGGATTTCTTCATTGAATGCTAGACGGAAGAATTCTCAGTAACTTCTTTGTGCTGTGTGTATTCAACTCACAGAGTGGAACGTCCCTTTACACAGAGCAGATTTGAAACACTCTTTTTGTGGAGTTTGCAAGTGGAGATTTCAAGCGATTTGATGCCAACAGTAGAAAAGGAAATATCTTCAAATAAAAACTAGACAGAATCATTCTCAGAAACTACTTTGTGATGTGTGCCTTTTACTCACAGAGTTTAACCTTTCTTTTCTTAGAGCAGTTTAGAAACACTCTGCTTGTTATGTCTGCAAGTGGATATTTGGACCTCTTTGAGGCCTTCGTTGCAAACGGGATTTCTTCCTTTCATGCTAGACTAAGAAGACTTCTCAGTAACTTTTTTGTGTTGTGTGTATTCAACTCACAGAGTTGAACCTTGCTTTAGAGAGAGCAGATTTAAAACACTCTTGCTGTGGCATTTTCAGGTGGAGATTTCAAGCGATTTGAGGACAATTGCAGAAAAGGAAATATCTTCGTATAATAACCAGACAGAATCATTCTCAGAAAGTGCTTTGTGATGTGTGCGTTCCACTCACAGAGTTTAACCTTTCTTTTCATAGAGGAGTTTGGAAACACACTGTTTGTAAACTCTGCAAGTGGATATATGGACCTGTTTGAGGCCTTCGTTGGAAACGGGATTTCTTCATTGAATGCTAGACGGAAGAATTCTCAGTAAATTCTTTGTGTTGTGTGCATTCAACTCACAGAGTGGAACGTCCCTTTAGACAGAGCAGATTTGAAACACTCTTTTTGCGGAATTTGCAAGTGGAGATTTCTAGCCATTTGATGCCAACAGTAGAAAGGGAAATATCTTCAAATAAAAACCAGACAGAATCATTCTCAGAAAATTCTTTGTGATGTGTGCGTTCAACTCACATAGTTTAACCTTTCTTTTCATAGAGCAGTTTGGAAACACTCTGTTTGTAAAGTCTGCAAGTGGATATATGGACCGCATTGAGGCCTTCGTTGGAAACGGGATTTCTTCATTTCATGCTAGACAGAAGAATTCTCAGTAACTCCTTTGTGTTGTGTGTATTCAACTCACAGTGTGGAACGTCCCTTTACACAGAGCAGATTTGAAACACTCTTTTTGTGGAATTTGCAAGTGGAGATTTCAAGCGATTTGATGCCAGCAGTAGAAAAGGAAATATCTTCAAATAAAAACTAGACAGAATCATTCTCCGAAAATTCTTTGTGATGTGTGCGTTCAACTCACATAGTTTAAACTTTCTTTTCATAGAGCAGTTTGGAAACACTCTGTTGGTAATGTCTGCAAGTGGATATATGGACCACTTTGAGGCCTTCGTTGGAAACGGGATTTCTTCATTTCATGCTAGACCGAAGAATTCTCAGTAACTTCTTTGTGTTGTGTGTATTCAACTCACAGATTGGAACGTCCCTTTACACAGAGCAGATTTGAAACACTCTTTTTGTGGAATTTGGAAGTGGAGATTTCAAGCGATTTGATGCCAACAGTTGAAAAGGAAATATCTTCAAATAAAAACTAGACAGAATCATTCTCAGAAAATTCTTTGTGATGTGTGCGTTCAGCTCACATAGTTTAACCTTTCTTTTCAGAGAGCTGTTTCGAAACACACTGTTTGTAAAATCTGAAAGTGGATATATTGACCGCTTTGAGGCATTCGTTGGAAACGGGATTTCTTCATTTCATGCTAGACAGAAGAATTCTCAGTAAATTCTTTGTGTTGTGTGCATTCAACTCACCGAGTGGAACGTCCCTTTAGACAGAGCAGGTTTGAAACACTCTTTTTGCGAAATTTGGAAGTGGAGATTTCAAGCCATTTGATGCCAACAGTAGAAAGGGAAATATCTTCAAATAAAAACTAGACAGAATCATTCTCAGAAAATTCTTTGTGATGCGTGCGTTCAACTCACATAGTTTAACCTTTCTTTTCATAGAGCAGTTTGGAAACACTCTGTTTGTAAAGTCTGCAAGTGGATATATGGACCGCATTGAGGCCTTCGTTGGAAACGGGATTTCTTCATTTCATGCTAGACAGAAGAATTCTCAGTAACTTCTTTGTGCTGTGTGTATTCAACTCACAGAGTGGAACGTCCCTTTGCACAGAGCAGATTTGAAACACTCTTTTTGTGGAATTTGCAAGTGGAGATTTCAAGCGATTTGATGCCAACAGTAGAAAAGGAAATATCTTCAAATAAAAACTAGACAGAATCATTCTCAGAAACTACTTTGTGATGTGTGCCTTCAACTCACAGAGTTTAACCTTTCTTTTCTTAGAGCAGTTTAGAAACACTCTGCTTGTTATGTCTGCAAGTGGATATTTGGACCTCTTTGAGGCCTTCGTTGCAAACGGGGTTTCTTCCTTTAATGCTAGACTAAGAAGAGTTCTCAGTAACTTTTTTGTGTTGTGTGTATTCAACTCACAGAGTTGAACCTTGCTTTAGAGAGAGCAGATTTGAAACACTCTTGCTGTGGCATTTTCAGGTGGAGATTTCAAGCGTTTTGAGGACAATTGCAGAAAAGGAAATATCTTCGTATAATAACCAGACAGAATCATTCTCAGAAAGTGCTTTGTGATGTGTGCGTTCAACTCACAGAGTTTAACCTTTCTTTTCATAGAGGAGTTTGGAAACACACTGTTTGTAAAGTCTGCAATTGGATATATGGACCTGTTTGAGGCCTTCTTTGGAAACGGGATTTCTTCATTGAATGCTAGACGGAAGAATTCTCAGTAAATTCTTTGTGTTGTGTGCATTCAACTCACAGAGTGGAACGTCCCTTTAGACAGAGCAGATTTGAAACACTCTTTTTGCGGAATTTGCAAGTGGAGATTTCTAGCCATTTGATGCCAACAGTAGAAAGGGAAATATCTTCAAATAAAAACCAGACAGAATCATTCTCAGAAAATTCTTTGTGATGTGTGCGTTCAACTCACATAGTTTAACCTTTCTTTTCATAGAGCAGTTTGGAAACACTCTGTTTGTAAAGTCTGCAAGTGGATCTATGGACCGCATTGAGGCCTTCGTTGGAAACGGGATTTCTTCATTTCATGCTAGACAGAAGAATTCTCAGTAACTTCTTTGTGCTGTGTGTATTCAACTCACAGAGTGGAACGTCCCTTTACACAGAGCAGATTTGAAACACTCTTTTTCTGGAGTTTGCAAGTGGAGATTTCAAGCGATTTGATGCCAACAGTAGAAAATGAAATATCTTCAAATAAAAACTAGACAGAATCATTCTCAGAAACTACTTTGTGATGTGTGCCTTCAACTCACAGAGTTTAACCTTTCTTTTCTTAGAGCAGTTTAGAAACACTCTGCTTGTTATGTCTGCAAGTGGATATTTGGACCTCTTTGAGGCCTTCGTTGCAAAAGGGGTTTCTTCCTTTAATGCTAGACTAAGAAGAGTTCTCAGTAACTTTTTTGTGTTGTGTGTATTCAACTCACAGAGTTGAACCTTGCTTTAGAGAGAGCAGATTTGAAACACTCTTGCTGTGGCATTTTCAGGTGGAGATTTCAAGCGATTTGAGGACAATTGCAGAAAAGGAAATATCTTCGTATAATAACCAGACAGAATCATTCTCAGAAAGTGCTTTGTGATGTGTGCGTTCCACTCACAGAGTTTAACCTTTCTTTTCATAGAGGAGTTTGGAAACACACTGTTTGTAAAGTCTGCAAGTGGATATATGGACCTGTTTGAGGCCTTCGTTGGAAACGGGATTTCTTCATTGAATGCTAGACGGAAGGATTCTCAGTAAATTCTTTGTGTTGAGTGCATTCAACTCACAGAGTGGAACGTCCCTTTAGACAGAGCAGATTTGAAACACTCTTTTTGCGGAATTTGCAAGTGGAGATTTCTAGCCATTTGATGCCAACAGTAGAAAGGGAAATATCTTCAAATAAAAACCAGACAGAATCATTCTCAGAAAATTCTTTGTGATGTGTGCGTTCAACTCACATAGTTTAACCTTTCTTTTCATAGAGCAGTTTGGAAACACTCTGTTTGTAAAGTCTGCAAGTGGATATATGGACCGCATTGAGGCCTTCGTTGGAAACGGGATTTCTTCATTTCATGCTAGACAGAAGAATTCTCAGTATCTTCTTTGTGCTGTGTGTATTCAACTCACAGAGTGGAACGTCCCTTTGCACAGAGCAGATTTGAAACACTCTTTTTGTGGAGTTTGCAAGTGGAGATTTCAAGCGATTTGATGCCAACAGTAGAAAAGGAAATATCTTCAAATAAAAACTAGACAGAATCATTCTCAGAAACTACTTTGTGATGTGTGCCTTTAACTCACAGAGTTTAACCTTTCTTTTCTTAGAGCAGTTTAGAAACACTCTGCTTGTTATGTCTGCAAGTGGATATTTGGACCTCTTTGAGGCCTTCGTTGCAAACGGGGTTTCTTCCTTTAATGCTAGACTAAGAAGAGTTCTCAGTAACTTTTTTGTGTTGTGTGTATTCAACTCACAGAGTTGAACCTTGCTTTAGAGAGAGCAGATTTGAAACACTCTTGCTGTGGCATTTTCAGGTGGAGATTTCAAGCGATTTGAGGACAATTGCAGAAAAGGAAATATCTTCGTATAATAACCAGACAGAATCATTCTCAGAAAGTGCTTTGTGATGTGTGCGTTCCACTCACAGAGTTTAACCTTTCTTTTCATAGAGGAGTTTGGAAACACACTGTTTGTAAAGTCTGCAAGTGGATATATGGACCTGTTTGAGGCCTTCGTTGGAAACGGGATTTCTTCATTGAATGCTAGACGGAAGAATTCTCAGTAAATTCTTTGTGTTGTGTGCATTCAACTCACAGAGTGGAACGTCCCTTTAGACAGAGCAGATTTGAAACACTCTTTTTGCGGAATTTGCAAGTGGAGATTTCTAGCCATTTGATGCCAACAGTAGAAAGGGAAATATCTTCAAATAAAAACCAGACAGAATCATTCTCAGAAAATTCTTTGTGATGTGTGCGTTCAACTCACATAGTTTAACCTTTCTTTTCATGGAGCAGTTTGGAAACACTCTGTTTGTAAAGTCTGCAAGTGGATATATGGACCGCATTGAGGCCTTCGTTGGAAACGGGATTTCTTCATTTCATACTAGACAGAAGAATTCTCAGTAACTTCTTTGTGCTGTGTGTATTCAACTCACAGAGTGGAACGTCCCTTTGCACAGAGCAGATTTGAAACACTCTTTTTGTGGAGTTTGCAAGTGGAGATTTCAAGCGATTTGATGCCAACAGTAGAAAAGGAAATATCTTCAAATAAAAACTAGACAGAATCATTCTCAGAAACTACTTTGTGATGTGTGCCTTCAACTCACAGAGTTTAACCTTTCTTTTCATAGAGCAGTTTAGAAACACTCTGCTTGTTATGTCTGCAAGTGGATATTTGGACCTCTTTGAGGCCTTCGTTGCAAACGGGATTTCTTCATTTCATGCTAGACTAAGAAGAGTTCTCAGTAACTTTTTTGTGTTGTGTGTATTCAACTCACAGAGTTGAACCTTGCTTTAGAGAGAGCAGATTTGAAACACTCTTGCTGTGGCATTTTCAGGTGGAGATTTCAAGCGTTTTGAGGACAATTGCAGAAAAGGAAATATCTTCGTATAATAACCAGACAGAATCATTCTCAGAAAGTGCTTTGTGATGTGTGCGTTCAACTCACAGAGTTTAACCTTTCTTTTCATAGAGGAGTTTGGAAACACACTGTTTGTAAAGTCTGCAATTGGATATATGGACCTGTTTGAGGCCTTCGTTGGAAACGGGATTTCTTCATTGAATGCTAGACGGAAGAATTCTCAGTAAATTCTTTGTGTTGTGTGCATTCAACTCACAGAGTGGAACGTCCCTTTAGACAGAGCAGATTTGAAACACTCTTTTTGCGGAATTTGCAAGTGGAGATTTCTAGCCATTTGATGCCAACAGTAGAAAGGGAAATATCTTCAAATAAAAACCAGACAGAATCATTCTCAGAAAATTCTTTGTGATGTGTGCGTTCAACTCACATAGTTTAACCTTTCTTTTCATAGAGCAGTTTGGAAACACTCTGTTTGTAAAGTCTGCAAGTGGATATATAGACCGCATTGAGGCCTTCGTTGGAAACGGGATTTCTTCATTTCATGCTAGACAGAAGAATTCTCAGTAACTTCTTTGTGCTGTGTGTATTCAACTCACAGAGTGGAACGTCCCTTTACACAGAGCAGATTTGAAACACTCTTTTTGTGGAGTTTGCAAGTGGAGATTTCAAGCGATTTGATGCCAACAGTAGAAAAGGAAATATCTTCAAATAAAAACTAGACAGAATCATTCTCAGAAACTACTTTGTGATGTGTGCCTTCAACTCACAGAGTTTAACCTTTCTTTTCTTAGAGCAGTTTAGAAACACTCTGCTTGTTATGTCTGCAAGTGGATATTTGGACCTCTTTGAGGCCTTCGTTGCAAACGGGGTTTCTTCCTTTAATGCTAGACTAAGAAGAGTTCTCAGTAACTTTTTTTGCGTTGTGTGCATTCAACTCACAGAGTGGAACGTCCCTTTAGACAGAGCAGATTTGAAACACTCTTTTTGCGGAAGTTGCAAGTGGAGATTTCTAGCCATTTGATGCCAACAGTACAAAGGGAAATATCTTCAAATAAAAACTAGACAGAATCATTCTCAGAAAGTGCTTTGTGATGTGTGCGTTCAACTCACAGAGTTTAACCTTTCTTTTCATAGAGGAGTTTGGAAACACACTGTTTGTAAAGTCTGCAATTGGATATATGGACCTGCTTGAGGCCTTCATTGGAAACGGGATTTCTTCATTGAATGCTAGACGGAAGAATTCTCAGTAAATTCTTTGTGTTGTGTGCATTCAAATGACAGAGTGGAACGTCCCTTTAGACAGAGCAGATTTGAAACACTCTTTTTGCGGAATTTGCAAGTGGAGATTTCTAGCCATTTGATGCCAACAGTAGAAAGGGAAATATCTTCAAATAAAAACCAGACAGAATCATTCTCAGAAAATTCTTTGTGATGTGTGCGTTCAACTCACATAGTTTAACCTTTCTTTTCATAGAGCAGTTTGGAAACACTCTGTTTGTAAAGTCTGCAAGTGGATATATGGACCGCATTGAGGCCTTCGTTGGAAACGGGATTTCTTCATTTCATGCTAGACAGAAGAATTCTCAGTAACTTCTCTGTGCTGTGTGTATTCAACTCACAGACTGGAACGTCCGTTTGCACAGAGCAGATTTGAAACACTCTTTTTGTGGAATTTGCAAGTGGAGATTTCAAGCGATTTGATGCCAACAGTAGAAAAGGAAATATCTTCAAATAAAAACTAGACAGAATCATTCTCAGAAACTACTTTGTGATGTGTGCCTTCAACTCACAGAGTTTAACCTTTCTTTTCTTAGAGCAGTTTAGAAACACTCTGCTTGTTATGTCTGCAAGTGGATATTTGGACCTCTTTGAGGCCTTCGTTGCAAACGGGGTTTCTTCCTTTCATGCTAGACTAAGAAGAGTTCTCAGTAACTTTTTTGTGTTGTGTGTATTCAACTCACAGAGTTGAACCTTGCTTTAGAGAGAGCAGATTTGAAACACTCTTGCTGTGGCATTTTCAGGTGGAGATTTCAAGCGATTTGAGGACAATTGCAGAAAAGGAAATTTCTTCGTATAATAACCAGACAGAATCATTCTCAGAAAGTGCTTTGTGATGTGTGCGTTCCACTCACAGAGTTTAACCTTTCTTTTCATAGAGGAGTTTGGAAACACACTGTTTGTAAAGTCTGCAAGTGGATATATGGACCTGTTTGAGGCCTTCGTTGGAAACGGGATTTCTTCATTGAATGCTAGACGGAAGAATTCTCAGTAAATTCTTTGTGTTGTGTGCATTCAACTCACAGAGTGGAACGTCCCTTTAGACAGAGCAGATTTGAAACACTCTTTTTGCGGAATTTGCAAGTGGAGATTTCTAGCCATTTGATGCCAACAGTAGAAAGGGAAATATCTTCAAATAAAAACCAGACAGAATCATTCTCAGAAAATTCTTTGTGATGTGTGCGTTCAACTCACATAGTTTAACCTTTCTTTTCATAGAGCAGTTTGGAAACACTCTGTTTGTAAAGTCTGCAAGTGGATATATGGACCGCATTGAGGCCTTCGTTGGAAACGGGATTTCTTCATTTCATGCTAGACAGAAGAATTCTCAGTAACTTCTTTGTGCTGTGTGTATTCAACTCACAGAGTGGAACGTCCCTTTACACAGAGCAGATTTGAAACACTCTTTTTGTGGAGTTTGCAAGTGGAGATTTCAAGCGATTTGATGCCAACAGTAGAAAAGGAAATATCTTCAAATAAAAACTAGACAGAATCATTCTCAGAAACTACTTTGTGATGTGTGCCTTTTACTCACAGAGTTTAACCTTTCTTTTCTTAGAGCAGTTTAGAAACACTCTGCTTGTTATGTCTGCAAGTGGATATTTGGACCTCTTTGAGGCCTTCGTTGCAAACGGGGTTTCTTCCTTTCATGCTAGACTAAGAAGAGTTCTCAGTAACTTTTTTGTGTTGTGTGTATTCAACTCACAGAGTTGAACCTTGCTTTAGAGAGAGCAGATTTGAAACACTCTTGCTGTGGCATTTTCAGGTGGAGATTTCAAGCGATTTGAGGACAATTGCAGAAAAGGAAATATCTTCGTATAATAACCAGACAGAATCATTCTCAGAAAGTGCTTTGTGATGTGTGCGTTCAACTCACAGAGTTTAACCTTTCTTTTCATAGAGGAGTTTGGAAACACACTGTTTGTAAAGTCTGCAAGTGGATATATGGACCTGTTTGAGGCCTTCGTTGGAAACGGGATTTCTTCATTGAATGCTAGACGGAAGAATTCTCAGTAAATTCTTTGTGTTGTGTGCATTCAACTCACAGAGTGGAACGTCCCTTTAGACAGAGCAGATTTGAAACACTCTTTTTGCGGAATTTGCAAGTGGAGATTTCTAGCCATTTGATGCCAACAGTAGAAAGGGAAATATCTTCAAATAAAAACCAGACAGAATCATTCTCAGAAAATTCTTTGTGATGTGTGCGTTCAACTCACATAGTTTAACCTTTCTTTTCATAGAGCAGTTTGGAAACACTCTGTTTGTAAAGTCTGCAAGTGGATATATGGACCGCATTGAGGCCTTCGTTGGAAACGGGATTTCTTCATTTCATGCTAGACAGAAGAATTCTCAGTAACTTCTTTGTGCTGTGTGTATTCAACTCACAGAGTGGAACGTCCCTTTGCACAGAGCAGATTAGAAACACTCTTTTTGTGGAATTTGCAAGTGGAGATTTCAAGCGATTTGATGCCAACAGTAGAAAAGGAAATATCTTCAAATAAAAACTAGACAGAATCATTCTCAGAAACTACTTTGTGATGTGTGCCTTCAACTCACAGAGTTTAACCTTTCTTTTCTTAGAGCAGTTTAGAAACACTCTGCTTGTTATGTCTGCAAGTGGATATTTGGACCTCTTTGAGGCCTTCGTTGCAAACGGGGTTTCTTCCTTTAATGCTAGACTAAGAAGAGTTCTCAGTAACTTTTTTGTGTTGTGTGTATTCAACTCACAGAGTTGAACCTTGCTTTAGAGAGAGCAGATTTGAAACACTCTTGCTGTGGCATTTTCAGGTGGAGATTTCAAGCGATTTGAGGACAATTGCAGAAAAGGAAATATCTTCGTATAATAACCAGACAGAATCATTCTCAGAAAGTGCTTTGTGATGTGTGCGTTCCACTCACAGAGTTTAACCTTTCTTTTCATAGAGGAGTTTGGAAACACACTGTTTGTAAAGTCTGCAATTGGATATATGGACCTGTTTGAGGCCTTCGTTGGAAACGGGATTTCTTCATTGAATGCTAGACGGAAGAATTCTCAGTAAATTCTTTGTGTTGTGTGCATTCAACTCACAGAGTGGAACGTCCCTTTAGACAGAGCAGATTTGAAACACTCTTTTTGCGGAATTTGCAAGTGGAGATTTCTAGCCATTTGATGCCAACAGTAGAAAGGGAAATATCTTCAAATAAAAACCAGACAGAATCATTCTCAGAAAATTCTTTGTGATGTGTGCGTTCAACTCACATAGTTTAACCTTTCTTTTCATAGAGCAGTTTGGAAACACTCTGTTTGTAAAGTCTGCAAGTGGATATATGGACCGCATTGAGGCCTTCGTTGGAAACGGGATTTCTTCATTTCATGCTAGACAGAAGAATTCTCAGTAACTTCTTTGTGCTGTGTGTATTCAACTCACAGAGTGGAACGTCCCTTTGCACAGAGCAGATTTGAAACACTCTTTTTGTGGAGTTTGCAAGTGGAGATTTCAAGCGATTTGATGCCAACAGTAGAAAAGGAAATATCTTCAAATAAAAACTAGACAGAATCATTCTCAGGAACTACTTTGTGATGTGTGCCTTCAACTCACAGAGTTTAACCTTTCTTTTCTTAGAGCAGTTTAGAAACACTCTGCTTGTTATGTCTGCAAGTGGATATTTGGACCTCTTTGAGGCCTTCGTTGCAAACGGGGTTTCTTCCTTTAATGCTAGACTAAGAAGAGTTCTCAGTAACTTTTTTGTGTTGTGTGTATTCAACTCACAGAGTTGAACCTTGCTTTAGAGAGAGCAGATTTGAAACACTCTTGCTGTGGCATTTTCAGGTGGAGATTTCAAGCGATTTGAGGACAATTACAGAAAAGGAAATATCTTCGTATAACAACCAGACAGAATCATTCTCCGAAAGTGCTTTGTGATATGTGCGTTCAGCTCACAGAGTTTAACCTTTCTTTTCATAGAGGAGTTTGGAAACACACTGTTTGTAAAGTCTGCAAGTGGATATATGGACCTGTTTGAGGCCTTCGTTGGAAACGGGATTTCTTCATTGAATGCTAGACGGAAGAATTCTCAGTAAATTCTTTGTGTTGTGTGCATTCAACTCACAGAGTGGAACGTCCCTTTAGACAGAGCAGATTTGAAACACTCTTTTTGCGGAATTTGCAAGTGGAGATTTCTAGCCATTTGACGCCAACAGTAGAAAGGGAAATACCTTCAAATAAAAACTAGACAGAATCATTCTCAGAAAATTCTTTGTGATGTGTGCGTTCAACTCACATAGTTTAACCTTTCTTTTCATAGAGCAGTTTGGAAACACTCTGTTTGTAAAGTCTGCAAGTGGATATATGGACCGCATTGAGGCCTTCGTTGGAAACGGGATTTCTTCATTTCATGCTAGACAGAAGAATTCTCGGTAACTTCTTTGTGCTGTGTGTATTCAACTCACAGAGTGGAACGTCCCTTTACACAGAGCAGATTTGAAACACTCTTTTTGTGGAATTTGCAAGTGGAGATTTCAAGCGATTTGATGCCAACAGTAGAAAAGGAAATATCTTCAAATAAAAACTAGACAGAATCATTCTCAGAAACTACTTTGTGATGTGTGCCTTCAACTCACAGAGTTTAACCTTTCTTTTCTTAGAGCAGTTTAGAAACACTCTGCTTGTTATGTCTGCAAGTGGATATTTGGACCTCTTTTAGGCCTTCGTTGCAAACGGGGTTTCTTCCTTTAATGCTAGACTAAGAAGAGTTCTCAGTAACTTTTTTGTGTTGTGTGTATTCAACTCACAGAGTTGAACCTTGCTTTAGAGAGAGCAGATTTGAAACACTCTTGCTGTGGCATTTTCAGGTGGAGATTTCAAGCGTTTTGAGGACAATTGCAGAAAAGGAAATATCTTCGTATAATAACCAGACAGAATCATTCTCAGAAAGTGCTTTGTGATGCGTGCGTTCAACTCACAGAGCTTAACCTTTCTTTTCATAGGGGAGTTTGGAAACACACTATTTGCAAAGTCTGCAAGTGGATATATGGACCTGTTTGAGGCCTTCGTTGGAAACGGGATTTTATCATATAATGCTAGACGGAAGAATTCTCAGTAAATTCTTTTTGTTGTGTGCATTCAACTCACAGAGTGGAACGTCCCTTTAGACAGAGCAGATTTGAAACACTCTTTTTGCGGAATTTGCAAGTGGAGATTTCTAGCCATTTGATGGCAACTCTAGAAAGGGAAATATCTTCAAATAAAAACTAGACAGAATCATTCTCAGAAAATTCTTTGTGATGTGTGCGTTCAACTCACATAGTTTAACCTTTCTTTTCATAGAGCAGTTTGGAAACACTCTGTTGGTAATGTCTGCAAGTGGATATATGGACCGCTTTGAGGCCTTCGTTGGAAACGGGATTTCTTCATTTCATGCTAGACAGAAGAATTCTCAGTAACTTCTTTGTGCTGTGTGTATTCAACTCACAGAGTGGAACGTCCCTTTGCACAGAGCAGATTTGAAACACTCTTTTTGTGGAATTTGCAAGTGGAGATTTCAAGCGATTTGATGCCAACAGTAGAAAAGGAAATATCTTCAAATAAAAACTAGACAGAATCATTCTCAGAAACTACTTTGTGATGTGTGCCTTCAACTCACAGAGTTTAACCTTTCTTTTCTTAGAGCAGTTTAGAAACACTCTGCTTGTTATGTCTGCAAGTGGATATTTGGACCTACTTTGAGGCCTTCGTTGCAAACGGGGTTTCTTCCTTTCATGCTAGACTAAGAAGAGTTCTCAGTAACTTTTTTGTGTTGTGTGTATTCAACTCACAGAGCTGAACCTTGCTTTAGAGAGAGCAGATTTGAAACACTCTTGCTGTGGCATTTTCAGGTGGAGATTTCAAGCGATTTGAGGACAATTGCAGAAAAGGAAATATCTTCGTATAACAACCAGACAGAATCATTCTCAGAAAGTGCTTTGTGATGTGTGCGTTCCACTCACAGAGTTTAACCTTTCTTTTCATAGAGGAGTTTGGAAACACACTGTTTGTAAAGTCTGCAATTGGATATATGGACCTGTTTGAGGCCTTCGTTGGAAACGGGATTTCTTCATTGAATGCTAGACGGAAGAATTCTCAGTAAATACTTTGTGTTGTGTGCATTCAACTGACAGAGTGGAACGTCCCTTTAGACAGAGCAGATTTGAAACACTCTTTTTGCGGAATTTGCAAGTGGAGATTTCTAGCCATTTGATGCCAACAGTAGAAAGGGAAATATCTTCAAATAAAAACCAGACAGAATCATTCTCAGAAAATTCTTTGTGATGTGTGCGTTCAACTCACATAGTTTAACCTTTCTTTTCATAGAGCAGTTTGGAAACACTCTGTTTGTAAAGTCTGCAAGTGGATATATGGACCGCATTGAGGCTTTCGTTGGAAACGGGATTTCTTCATTTCATGCTAGACAGAAGAATTCTCAGTAACTTCTTTGTGCTGTGTGTATTCAACTCACAGAGTGGAACGTCCCTTTACACAGAGCAGATTTGAAACACTCTTTTTGTGGAGTTTGCAAGTGGAGATTTCAAGCGATTTGATGCCAACAGTAGAAAAGGAAATATCTTCAAATAAAAACTAGACAGAATCATTCTCAGAAACTACTTTGTGATGTGTGCCTTCAACTCACAGAGTTTAACCTTTCTTTTCTTAGAGCAGGTTAGAAACACTCTGCTTGTTATGTCTGCAAGTGGATATTTGGACCTCTTTGAGGCCTTCGTTGCAAACGGGGTTTCTTCCTTTCATGCTAGACTAAGAAGAGTTCTCAGTAACTTTTTTGTGTTGTGTGTATTCAACTCACAGAGTTGAACCTTGCTTTAGAGAGAGCAGATTTGAAACACTCTTGCTGTGGCATTTTCAGGTGGAGATTTCAAGCGATTTGAGGACAATTGCAGAAAAGGAAATATCTTCGTATAATAACCAGACAGAATCATTCTCAGAAAGTGCTTTGTGATGTGTGCGTTCAACTCACAGAGTTTAACCTTTCTTTTCATAGAGGAGTTTGGAAACACACTGTTTGTAAAGTCTGCAATTGGATATATGGACCTGTTTGAGGCCTTCGTTGGAAACGGGATTTCTTCATTGAATGCTAGACGGAAGAATTCTCAGTAAATTCTTTGTGTGGTGTGCATTCAACTCACAGAGTGGAACGTCCCTTTAGACAGAGCAGATTTGAAACACTCTTTTTGCGGAATTTGCAAGTGGAGATTTCTAGCCATTTGATGCCAACAGTAGAAAGGGAAATATCTTCAAATAAAAACCAGACAGAATCATTCTCAGAAAATTCTTTGTGATGTGTGCGTTCAACTCACATAGTTTAACCTTTCTTTTCATAGAGCAGTTTGGAAACACTCTGTTTGTAAAGTCTGCAAGTGGATATATGGATCGCATTGAGGCCTTCGTTGGAAACGGGATTTCTTCATTTCATGCTAGACAGAAGAATTCTCAGTAACTTCTTTGTGCTGTGTGTATTCAACTCACAGAGTGGAACGTCCCTTTGCACAGAGCAGATTTGAAACACTCTTTTTGTGGAGTTTGCAAGTGGAGATTTCAAGCGATTTGATGCCAACAGTAGAAAAGGAAATATCTTCAAATAAAAACTAGACAGAATCATTCTCAGAAACTACTTTGTGATGTGTGCCTTCAACTCACAGAGTTTAACCTTTCTTTTCTTAGAGCAGTTTAGAAACACTCTGCTTGTTATGTCTGCAAGTGGATATTTGGACCTACTTTGAGGCCTTCGTTGCAAACGGGGTTTCTTCCTTTCATGCTAGACTAAGAAGAGTTCTCAGTAACTTTTTTGTGTTGTGTGTATTCAACTAACAGAGTTGAACCTTGCTTTAGAGAGAGCAGATTTGAAACACTCTTGCTGTGGCATTTTCAGGTGGAGATTTCAAGCGATTTGAGGACAATTGCAGAAAAGGAAATATCTTCGTATAATAACCAGACAGAATCATTCTCAGAAAGTGCTTTGTGATGTGTGCGTTCAACTCACAGAGTTTAACCTTTCTTTTCATAGAGGAGTTTGGAAACACACTGTTTGTAAAGTCTGCAAGTGGATATATGGACCTGTTTGAGGCCTTCGTTGGAAACGGGATTTCTTCATTGAATGCTAGACGGAAGAATTCTCAGTAAATTCTTTGTGTTGTGTGCATTCAACTCACAGAGTGGAACGTCCCTTTAGACAGAGCAGATTTGAAACACTCTTTTTGCGGAATTTGCAAGTGGAGATTTCTAGCCATTTGATGCCAACAGTAGAAAGGGAAATATCTTCAAATAAAAACCAGACAGAATCATTCTCAGAAAATTCTTTGTGATGTGTGCGTTCAACTCACATAGTTTAACCTTTCTTTTCATAGAGCAGTTTGGAAACACTCTGTTTGTAAAGTCTGCAAGTGGATATATGGACCGCATTGAGGCCTTCGTTGGAAACGGGATTTCTTCATTTCATGCTAGACAGAAGAATTCTCAGTAACTTCTTTGTGCTGTGTGTATTCAACTCACAGAGTGGAACGTCCCTTTGCACAGAGCAGATTTGAAACACTCTTTTTGTGGAGTTTGCAAGTGGAGATTTCAAGCGATTTGATGCCAACAGTAGAAAAGGAAATATCTTCAAATAAAAACTAGACAGAATCATTCTCAGAAACTACTTTGTGATGTGTGCCTTCAACTCACAGAGTTTAACCTTTCTTTTCTTAGAGCACTTTAGAAACACTCTGCTTGTTATGTCTGCAAGTGGATATTTGGACCTCTTTGAGGCCTTCGTTGCAAACGGGGTTTCTTCCTTTCATGCTAGACTAAGAAGAGTTCTCAGTAACTTTTTTGTGTTGTGTGTATTCAACTCACAGAGTTGAACCTTGCTTTAGAGAGAGCAGATTTGAAACACTCTTGCTGTGGCATTTTCAGGTGGAGATTTCAAGCGTTTTGAGGACAATTGCAGAAAAGGAAATATCTTCGTATAATAACCAGACAGAATCATTCTCAGAAAGTGCTTTGTGATGTGTGCGTTCAACTCACAGAGTTTAACCTTTCTTTCCATAGAGGAGTTTGGAAACACACTGTTTGTAAAGTCTGCAATTGGATATATAGACCTGTTTGAGGCCTTCGTTGGAAACGGGATTTCTTCATTGAATGCTAGACGGAAGAATTCTCACTAAATTCTTTGTGTTGTGTGCATTCAACTGACAGAGTGGAACGTCCCTTTAGACAGAGCAGATTTGAAACACTCTTTTTGCGGAATTTGCAAGTGGAGATTTCTAACCATTTGATGCCAACAGTAGAAAGGGAAACATCTTCAAATAAAAACCAGACAGAATCATTCTCAGAAAATTCTTTGTGATGTGTGCGTTCAACTCACATAGTTTAACCTTTCTTTTCATAGAGCAGTTTGGAAACACTCTGTTTGTAAAGTCTGCAAGTGGATATATGGACCGCATTGAGGCCTTCGTTGGAAACGGGATTTCTTCATTTCATGCTAGACAGAAGAATTCTCAGTAACTTCTTTGTGCTGTGTGTATTCAACTCACAGAGTGGAACGTCCCTTTACACAGAGCAGATTTGAAACACTCTTTTTGTGGAGTTTGCAATTGGAGATTTCAAGCGATTTGATGCCAACAGTAGAAAAGGAAATATCTTCAAATAAAAACTAGACAGAATCATTCTCAAAAACTACTTTGTGATGTGTGCCTTCAACTCACAGAGTTTAACCTTTCTTTTCTTAGAGCAGTTTAGAAACACTCTGCTTGTTATGTCTGCAAGTGGATATTTGGACCTCTTTGAGGCCTTCGTTGCAAACGGGGTTTCTTCCTTTCATGCTAGACTAAGAAGAGTTCTCAGTAACTTTTTTGTGTTGTGTGTATTCAACTCACAGAGTTGAACCTTGCTTTAGAGAGAGCAGATTTGAAACACTCTTGATGTGGCATTTTCAGGTGGAGATTTCAAGCGATTTGAGGACAATTGCAAAAAGGAAATATCTTCGTATAATAACCAGACAGAATCATTCTCAGAAAGTGCTTTGTGATGTGTGCGTTCAACTCACAGAGTTTAACCTTTCTTTTCATAGAGGAGTTTGGAAACACACTGTTTGTAAAGTCTGCAATTGGATATATGGACCTGTTTGAGGCCTTCTTTGGAAACGGGATTTCCTCATTGAATGCTAGACGGAAGAATTCTCAGTAAATTCTTTGTGTTGTGTGCATTCAACTCACAGAGTGGAACGTCCCTTTAGACAGAGCAGATTTGAAACACTCTTTTTGCGGAATTTGCAAGTGGAGATTTCTAGCCATTTGATGCCAACAGTAGAAAGGGAAATATCTTCAAATAAAAACCAGACAGAATCATTCTCAGAAAATTATTTGTGATGTGTGCGTTCAACTCACATAGTTTAACCTTTCTTTTCATAGAGCAGTTTGGAAACACTCTGTTTGTAAAGTCTGCAAGTGGATATATGGACCGCATTGAGGCCTTCGTTGGAAACGGGATTTCTTCATTTCATGCTAGACAGAAGAATTCTCAGTAACTTCTTTGTGCTGTGTGTATTCAACTCACAGAGTGGAACGTCCCTTTGCACAGAGCAGATTTGAAACACTCTTTTTGTGGAATTTGCAAGTGGAGATTTCAAGCGATTTGATGCCAACAGTAGAAAAGGAAATATCTTCAAATAAAAACTAGACAGAATCATTCTCAGAAACTACTTTGTGATGTGTGCCTTCAACTCACAGAGTTTAACCTTTCTTTTCTTAGAGCAGTTTAGAAACACTCTGCTTGTTATGTCTGCAAGTGGATATTTGGACCTCTTTGAGGCCTTCGTTGCAAACGGGGTTTCTTCCTTTCATGCTAGACTAAGAAGAGTTCTCAGTAACTTTTTTGTGTTGTGTGTATTCAACTCACAGAGTTGAACCTTGCTTTAGAGAGAGCAGATTTGAAACACTCTTGCTGTGGCATTTTCAGGTGGAGATTTCAAGCGATTTGAGGACAATTGCAGAAAAGGAAATATCTTCGTATAATAACCAGACAGAATCATTCTCAGAAAGTGCTTTGTGATGTGTGCGTTCAACTCACAGAGTTTAACCTTTCTTTTCATAGAGGAGTTTGGAAACACACTGTTTGTAAAGTCTGCAAGTGGATATATGGACCTGTTTGAGGCCTTCGTTGGAAACGGGATTTCTTCATTGAATGCTAGACGGAAGAATTCTCAGTAAATTCTTTGTGTTGTGTGCATTCAACTCACAGAGTGGAACGTCCCTTTAGACAGAGCAGATTTGAAACACTCTTTTTGCGGAATTTGCAAGTGGAGATTTCTAGCCATTTGATGCCAACAGTAGAAAGGGAAATATCTTCAAATAAAAACCAGACAGAATCATTCTCAGAAAATTCTTTGTGATGTGTGCGTTCAACTCACATAGTTTAACCTTTCTTTTCATAGAGCAGTTTGGAAACACTCTGTTTGTAAAGTCTGCAAGTGGATATATGGACCGCATTGAGGCCTTCGTTGGAAACGGGATTTCTTCATTTCATGCTAGACAGAAGAATTCTCAGTAACTTCTTTGTGCTGTGTGTATTCAACTCACAGAGTGGAACGTCCCTTTACACAGAGCAGATTTGAAACACTCTTTTTGTGGAGTTTGCAAGTGGAGATTTCAAGCGATTTGATGCCAACAGTAGAAAAGGAAATATCTTCAAATAAAAACTAGACAGAATCATTCTCAGAAACTACTTTGTGATGTGTGCCTTCAACTCACAGAGTTTAACCTTTCTTTTCTTAGAGCAGTTTAGAAACACTCTGCTTGTTATGTCTGCAAGTGGATATTTGGACCTCTTTGAGGCCTTCGTTGCAAACGGGGTTTCTTCCTTTAATGCTAGACTAAGAAGAGTTCTCAGTAACTTTTTTGTGTTGTGTGTATTCAACTCACAGAGTTGAACCTTGCTTTAGAGAGAGCAGATTTGAAACACTCTTGCTGTGGCATTTTCAGGTGGAGATTTCAAGCGATTTGAGGACAATTACAGAAAAGGAAATATCTTCGTATAACAACCAGACAGAATCATTCTCCGAAAGTGCTTTGTGATGTGTGCGTTCAACTCACAGAGTTTAACCTTTCTTTTCATAGAGGAGTTTGGAAACACACTGTTTGTAAAGTCTGCAATTGGATATATGGACCTGTTTGAGGCCTTCGTTGGAAACGGGATTTCTTCATTGAATGCTAGACGGAAGAATTCTCAGTAAATTCTTTGTGTTGTGTGCATTCAACTCAGAGAGTGGAACGTCCCTTAAGACAGAGCAGATTTGAAACACTCTTTTTGCGGAATTTGCAAGTGGAGATTTCTAGCCATTTGATGCCAACAGTAGAAAGGGAAATATCTTCAAATAAAAACCAGACAGAATCATTCTCAGAAAATTCTTTGTGATGTGTGCGTTCAACTCACATAGTTTAACCTTTCTTTTCATAGAGCAGTTTGGAAACACTCTGTTTGTAAAGTCTGCAAGTGGATATATGGACCGCATTGAGGCCTTCGTTGGAAACGGGATTTCTTCATTTCATGCTAGACAGAAGAATTCTCAGTAACTTCTTTGTGCTGTGTGTATTCAACTCACAGAGTGGAACGTCCCTTTACACAGAGCAGATTTGAAACACTCTTTTTGTGGAGTTTGCAAGTGGAGATTTCAAGCGATTTGATGCCAACAGTAGAAAAGGAAATATCTTCAAATAAAAACTGGACAGAATCATTCTCAGAAACTACTTTGTGATGTGTGCCTTCAACTCACAGAGTTTAACCTTTCTTTTCTTAGAGCAGTTTAGAAACACTCTGCTTGTTATGTCTGCAAGTGGATATTTGGACCTCTTTGAGGCCTTCGTTGCAAACGGGGTTTCTTCCTTTCATGCTAGACTAAGAAGAGTTCTCAGTAACTTTTCTGTGTTGTGTGTATTCAACTCACAGAGTTGAACCTTGCTTTAGAGAGAGCAGATTTGAAACACTCTTGCTGTGACATTTTCAGGTGGAGATTTCAAGCGATTTGAGGACAATTGCAGAAAAGGAAATATCTTCGTATAACAACCAGACAGAATCATTCTCAGAAAGTGCTTTGTGATGTGTGCGTTCAACTCACAGAGTTTAACCTTTCTTTTCATAGAGGAGTTTGGAAACACACTGTTTGTAAAGTCTGCAATTGGATATATGGACCTGTTTGAGGCCTTCGTTGGAAACGGGATTTCTTCATTGAATGCTAGACGGAGGAATTCTCAGTAAATTCTTTGTGTTGTGTGCATTCAACTCACAGAGTGGAACGTCCCTTTAGACAGAGCAGATTTGAAACACTCTTTTTGCGGAATTTGCAAGTGGAGATTTCTAGCCATTTGATGCCAACAGTAGAAAGGGAAATATCTTCAAATAAAAACCAGACAGAATCATTCTCAGAAAATTCTTTGTGATGTGTGCGTTCAACTCACATAGTTTAACCTTTCTTTTCATAGAGCAGTTTGGAAACACTCTGTTTGTAAAGTCTGCAAGTGGATATATGGACCGCATTGAGGCCTTCGTTGGAAACGGGATTTCTTCATTTCATGCTAGACAGAAGAATTCTCAGTAACTTCTTTGTGCTGTGTGTATTCAACTCACAGAGTGGAACGTCCCTTTGCACAGAGCAGATTTGAAACACTCTTTTTGTGGAGTTTGCAAGTGGAGATTTCAAGCGATTTGATGCCAACAGTAGAAAAGGAAATATCTTCAAATAAAAACTAGACAGAATCATTCTCAAAAACTACTTTGTGATGTGTGCCTTCAACTCACAGAGTTTAACCTTTCTTTTCTTAGAGCAGTTTAGAAACACTCTGCTTGTTATGTCTGCAAGTGGATATTTGGACCTCTTTGAGGCCTTCGTTGCAAACGGGGTTTCTTCCTTTCATGCTAGACTAAGAAGAGTTCTCAGTAACTTTTTTGTGTTGTGTGTATTCAACTCACAGAGTTGAACCTTGCTTTAGAGAGAGCAGATTTGAAACACTCTTGCTGTGGCCTTTTCAGGTGGAGATTTCAAGCGATTTGAGGACAATTGCAGAAAAGGAAATATCTTCGTATAATAACCAGACAGAATCATTCTCAGAGAGTGCTTTGTGATGTGTCCGTTCAACTCACAGAGTTTAACCTTTCTTTTCATAGAGGAGTTTGGAAACACACTGTTTGTAAAGTCTGCAATTGGATATATGGACCTGTTTGAGGCCTTCGTTGGAAACGGGATTTCTTCATTGAATGCTAGACGGAAGAATTCTCAGTAAATTCTTTGTGTTGTGTGCATTCAACTCACAGAGTGGAACGTCCCTTTAGACAGAGCAGATTTGAAACACTCTTTTTGCGGAATTTGCAAGTGGAGATTTCTAGCCATTTGATGCCAACAGTAGAAAGGGAAATATCTTCAAATAAAAACCAGACAGAATCATTCTCAGAAAATTCTTTGTGATGTGTGCGTTCAACTCACATAGTTTAACCTTTCTTTTCATGGAGCAGTTTGGAAACACTCTGTTTGTAAAGTCTGCAAGTGGATATATGGACCGCATTGAGGCCTTCGTTGGAAACGGGATTTCTTCATTTCATGCTAGACAAAAGAATTCTCAGTAACTTCTTTGTGCTGTGTGTACTCAACTCACAAAGTGGAACGTCCCTTTGCACAGAGCAGATTTGAAACACTCTTTTTGTGGAGTTTGCAAGTGGAGATTTCAAGCGATTTGATGCCAACAGTAGAAAAGGAAATATCTTCAAATAAAAACTAGACAGAATCATTCTCAGAAACTACTTTGTGATGTGTGCCTTCAACTCACAGAGTTTAACCTTTCTTTTCTTAGAGCAGTTTAGAAACACTCTGCTTGTTATGTCTGCAAGTGGATATTTGGACCTCTTTGAGGCCTTCGTTGCAAACGGGGTTTCTTCCTTTCATGCTAGACTAAGAAGAGTTCTCAGTAACTTTTTTGTGTTGTGTTTATTCAACTCACAGAGTTGAACCTTGCTTTAGAGAGAGCAGATTTGAAACACTCTCGCTGTGGCATTTTCAGGTGGAGATTTCAAACGATTTGAGGACAATTGCAGAAAAGGAAATATCTTCGTATAATAACCAGACAGAATCATTCTCAGAAAGTGCTTTGTGATGTGTGCGTTCAACTCACAGAGTTTAACCTTTCTTTTCATAGAGGAGTTTGGAAACACACTGTTTGTAAAGTCTGCAATTGGATATATGGACCTGTTTGAGGCCTTCGTTGGAAACGGGATTTTATCATATAATGATAGACGGAAGAATTCTCAGTAAATTCTTTGTGTTGTGTGCATTCAACTCACAGAGTGGAACGTCCCTTTAGACAGAGCAGATTTGAAACACTCTTTTTGCGGAATTTGCAAGTGGAGATTTCTAGCCATTTGATGCCAACAGTAGAAAGGGAAATATCTTCAAATAAAAACCAGACAGAATCATTCTCAGAAAATTCTTTGTGATGTGTGCGTTCAACTCACATAGTTTAACCTTTCTTTTCATAGAGCAGTTTGGAAACACTCTGTTTGTAAAGTCTGCAAGTGGATATATGGACCGCATTGAGGCCTTCGTTGGAAACGGGATTTCTTCATTTCATGCTAGACAGAAGAATTCTCAGTAACTTCTTTGTGCTGTGTGTATTCAACTCACAGATTGGAACGTCCCTTTACACAGAGCAGATTTGAAACACTCTTTTTGTGGAGTTTGCAAGTGGAGATTTCAAGCGATTTGATGCCAACAGTAGAAAAGGAAATATCTTCAAATAAAAACTAGACAGAATCATTCTCAGAAACTACTTTGTGATGTGTGCCTTCAACTCAGAGTTTAACCTTTCTTTTCTTAGAGCAGTTTAGAAACACTCTGCTTGTTATGTCTGCAAGTGGATATTTGGACCTCTTTGAGGCCTTCGTTGCAAACGGTGTTTCTTCCTTTTATGCTAGACTAAGAAGAGTTCTCAGTAACTTTTTTGTGTTGTGTGTATTCAACTCACAGAGTTGAACCTTGCTTTAGAGAGAGCAGATTTGAAACACTCTTGCTGTGGCATTTTCAGGTGGAGATTTCAAGCGTTTTGAGGACAATTGCAGAAAAGGAAATATCTTCGTATAATAACCAGACAGAATCATTCTCAGAAAGTGCTTTGTGATGTGTGCGTTCAACTCACAGAGTTTAACCTTTCTTTTCATAGAGGAGTTTGGAAACACACAGTTTGTAAAGTCTGCAATTGGATATATGGACCTGTTTGAGGCCTTCGTTGGAAACGGGATTTCTTCATTGAATGCTAGACGGAAGAATTCTCAGTAAATTCTTTGTGTTGTGTGCATTCAACTCACAGAGTGGAACGTCCCTTTAGACAGAGCAGATTTGAAACACTCTTTTTGCGGAATTTGCAAGTGGAGATTTCTAGCCATTTGATGCCAACAGTAGAAAGGGAAATATCTTCAAATAAAAACCAGACAGAATCATTCTCAGAAAATTCTTTGTGATGTGTGCATTCAACTCACATAGTTTAACCTTTCTTTTCATAGAGCAGTTTGGAAACACTCTGTTTGTAAAGTCTGCAAGTGGATATATGGACCGCATTGAGGCCTTCGTTGGAAACGGGATTTCTTCATTTCATGCTAGACAGAAGAATTCTCAGTAACTTCTTTGTGCTGTGTGTATTCAACTCACAGAGTGGAACGTCCCTTTACACAGAGAAGATTTGAAACACTCTTTTTGTGGAGTTTGCAAGTGGAGATTTCAAGCGATTTGATGCCAACAGTAGAAAAGGAAATATCTTCAAATAAAAACTAGACAGAATCATTCTCAGAAACTACTTTGTGATGTGTGCCTTCAACTCACAGAGTTTAACCTTTCTTTTCTTAGAGCAGTTTAGAAACACTCTGCTTGTTATGTCTGCAAGTGGATATTTGGACCTCTTTGAGGCCTTCGTTGCAAACGGGGTTTCTTCCTTTCATGCTAGACTAAGAAGAGTTCTCAGTAACTTTTTTGTGTTGTGTGTATTCAACTCACAGAGTTGAACCTTGCTTTAGAGAGAGCAGATTTGAAACACTCTTGCTGTGGCATTTTCAGGTGGAGATTTCAAGCGATTTGAGGACAATTGCAGAAAAGGAAATATCTTCGTATAATAACCAGACAGAATCATTCTCAGAAAGTGCTTTGTGATGTGTGCGTTCCACTCACAGAGTTTAACCTTTCTTTTCATAGAGGAGTTTGGAAACACACTGTTTGTAAAGTCTGCAAGTGGATATATGGACCTCTTTGAGGCCTTCGTTGGAAACGGGATTTCTTCATTGAATGCTAGACGGAAGAATTCTCAGTAAATTCTTTCGTGTTGTGTGCATTCAACTCACAGAGTGGAACGTCCCTTTAGACAGAGCAGATTTGAAACACTCTTTTTGCGGAATTTGCAAGTGGAGATTTCTAGCCATTTGATGCCAACAGTAGAAAGGGAAATATCTTCAAATAAAAACCAGACAGAATCATTCTCAGAAAATTCTTTGTGATGTGTGCGTTCAACTCACATAATTTAACCTTTCTTTTCATAGAGCAGTTTGGAAACACTCTGTTTGTAAAGTCTGCAAGTGGATATATGGACCGCATTGAGGCCTTCGTTGGAAACGGGATTTCTTCATTTCATGCTAGACAGAAGAATTCTCAGTAACTTCTTTGTGCTGTGTGTATTCAACTCACAGAGTGGAACGTCCCTTTACACAGAGCAGATTTGAAACACTCTTTTTGTGGAGTTTGCAAGTGGAGATTTCAAGCGATTTGATGCCAGCAGTAGAAAAGGAAATATCTTCAAATAAAAACTAGACAGAATCATTTAGAAACTACTTTGTGATGTGTGCCTTCAACTCACAGAGTTTAACCTTTCTTTTCTTAGAGCAGTTTAGAAACACTCTGCTTGTTATGTCTGCAAGTGGATATTTGGACCTCTTTGAGGCCTTCGTTGCAAACGGGGTTTCTTCCTTTCATGCTAGACTAAGAAGAGTTCTCAGTAACTTTTCTGTGTTGTGTGTATTCAACTAACAGAGTTGAACCTTGCTTTAGAGAGAGCAGATTTGAAACACTCTTGCTGTGACATTTTCAGGTGGAGATTTCAAGCGATTTGAGGACAATTGCAGAAAAGGAAATATCTTCGTATAACAACCAGACAGAATCATTCTCAGAAAGTGCTTTGTGATGTGTGCGTTCAACTCACAGAGTTTAACCTTTCTTTTCATAGAGGAGTTTGGAAACACACTGTTTGTAAAGTCTGCAATTGGATATATGGACCTGTTTGAGGCCTTCGTTGGAAACGGGATTTCTTCATTGCATGCTAGACGGAAGAATTCTCAGTAAATACTTTGTGTTGTGCGCATTCAACTGACAGAGTGGAACGTCCCTTTAGACAGAGCAGATTTGAAACACTCTTTTTGCGGAATTTGCAAGTGGAGATTTCTAGCCATTTGATGCC
Organism: Homo sapiens; assembly: GCF_000001405.40. Classification (NCBI taxonomy): domain Eukaryota; kingdom Metazoa; phylum Chordata; class Mammalia; order Primates; family Hominidae; genus Homo; species Homo sapiens. Next base: position 60,479,476 of record NC_000007.14, read on the forward strand.
AACAGTAGAAAGGGAAATATCTTCAAATAAAAACCAGACAGAATCATTCTCAGAAAATTCTTTGTGATGTGTGCGTTCAACTCACATAGTTTAACCTTTCTTTTCATAGAGCAGTTTGGAAACACTCTTTTTGTAAAGTCTGCAAGTGGATATATGGACCTGTTTGAGGCCTTCGTTGGAAACGGGATTTCTTCATTGAATGCTAGAGGGAAGAATTCTCAAGTAACTTCTTTGTGCTGTGTGTATTCAACTCACAGAGTGGAACGTCCCTTTACACAGAGCAGATTTGAAACACTCTTTTTGTGGAATTTGCAAGTGGAGATTTCAAGCGATTTGATGCCAACAGTAGAAAAGGAAATATCTTCAAATAAAAACTAGACAGAATCATTCTCAGAAACTACTTTGTGATGTGTGCCTTCAACTCACAGAGTTTAAACTTTCTTTTCTTAGAGCAGTTTAGAAACACTCTGCTTGTTATGTCTGTAAGTGGATAATTGGACCTCTTTGAGGCCTTCGTTGCAAACGGGATTTCTTCCTTTAATGTTAGACTAAGAAGAGTTCTCAGTAACTTTTTTGTGTTGTGTGTATTCAACTCACAGAGTTGAACCTTGCTTTAGAGAGAGCAGATTTGAAACACTCTTGCTGTGGCATTTTCAGGTGGAGATTTCAAGCGATTTGAGGACAATTGCAGAAAAGGAAATATCTTCGTATAATAACCAGACAGAATCATTCTCAGAAAGTGCTTTGTGATGTGTGCGTTCCACTCACAGAGTTTAACCTTTCTTTTCATAGAGGAGTTTGGAAACACACTGTTTGTAAAGTCTGCAAGTGGATATATGGACCTGTTTGAGGCCTTCGTTGGAAACGGGATTTCTTCATTGAATGCTAGACGGAAGAATTCTCAGTAAATTCTTTGTGTTGTGTGCATTCAACTGACAGAGTGGAACGTCCCTTTAGACAGAGCAGATTTGAAACACTCTTTTTGCGGAATTTGCAAGTGGAGATTTCTAGCCATTTGATGCCAACAGTAGAAAGGGAAACATCTTCAAATAAAAACCAGACAGAATCATTCTCAGAAAATTCTTTGTGATGTGTGCGTTCAACTCACATAGTTTTACCTTTCTTTTCATAGAGCAGTTTGGAAACACTCTGTTTGTAAAGTCTGCAAGTGGATATATGGACCGCATTGAGGCCTTCGTTGGAAACGGGATTTCTTCATTTCATGCTAGACAGAAGAATTCTCAGTAAATTCTTTGTGTTGTGTGCATTCAACTCACCGAGTGGAACGTCCCTTTAGACAGAGCAGATTTGAAACACTCTTTTTGCGAAATTTGGAAATGGAGATTTCAAGCCATTTGATGCCAACAATAGAAAGGGAAATATCTTCAAATAAAAATTAGACAGAATCATTCTCAGAAAATTCTTTGTGATGTGTGCGTTCAACTCACATAGTTTAACCTTTCTTTTCATAGAGCAGTTTGGAAAAACTCTGTTTGTAAAGTCTGCAAGTGGATATATGGACCGCTTTGAGACCTTCGTTGGCAACGGGATTTCTTCGTTTAATGCTAGACAGAAGAATTCTCAGTAACTTCTTTGAGTTTTGTGTATTCAACTCACAGAGTTGAACCTTGCTTTAGAGAGAGCAGATTTGATATACTCTTGCTGTGGAATTTTCAGGTGGAAATTTCAAGCGATTTGAGGACAATTGCAGAAAAGCAAATATCTTCGTATAAAAACCAGACAGAATCATTCTCAGAAAGTGCTTTGTGATGTGTGCGTTCCACTCACAGAGTTTAACCTTTCTTTTCATAGAGGAGTTTGGAAACACACTGTTTGTAAAGTCTGCAAGTGGATATATGGACCTGTTTGAGGCCTTCGTTGGAAACGGGATTTCTTCATTGAATGCTAGGCGGAAGAATTCTCAGTAAATTCTTTGTGTTGTGTGCATTCAACTCACAGAGTGGAACGTCCCTTTAGACAGAGCAGATTTGAAACACTCTTTTTGCGGAATTTGCAAGTGGAGATTTCTAGCCATTTGATGCCAACAGTAGAAAGGGAAATATCTTCAAATAAAAACCAGACAGAATCATTCTCAGAAAATTCTTTGTGATGTGTGCGTTCAACTCACATAGTTTAACCTTTCTTTTCATAGAGCAGTTTGGAAACACTCTGTTTGTAAAGTCTGCAAGTGGATATATGGACCGCATTGAGGCCTTCGTTGGAAACGGGATTTCTTCATTTCATGCTAGACAGAAGAATTCTCAGTAACTTCTTTGTGCTGTGTGTATTCAACTCACAGAGTGGAACGTCCCTTTACACAGAGCAGATTTGAAACACTCTTTTTGTGGAGTTTGCAAGTGGAGATTTCAAGCGATTTGATGCCAACAGTAGAAAAGGAAATATCTTCAAATAAAAACTAGACAGAATCATTCTCAGAAACTACTTTGTGATGTGTGCCTTCAACTCACAGAGTTCAACCTTTCTTTTCTTAGAGCAGTTTAGAAACACTCTGCTTGTTATGTCTGCAAGTGGATATTTGGACCTCTTTGAGGCCTTCGTTGCAAACGGGGTTTCTTCCTTTCATGCTAGACTAAGAAGAGTTCTCAGTAACTTTTTTGTGTTGTGTGTATTCAACTCACAGAGTTGAACCTTGCTTTAGAGAGAGCAGATTTGAAACACTCTTGCTGTGGCATTTTCAGGTGGAGATTTCAAGCGATTTGAGGACAATTGCAGAAAAGGAAATATCTTCGTATAATAACCAGACAGAATCATTCTCAGAAAGTGCTTTGTGATGTGTGCGTTCAACTCACAGAGTTTAATCTTTCTTTTCATAGAGGAGTTTGGAAACACACTGTTTGTAAAGTCTGCAATTGGATATATGGACCTGTTTGAGGCCTTCGTTGGAAACGGGATTTCTTCATTGAATGCTAGACGGAAGAATTCTCAGTAAATTCTTTGTGTTGTGTGCATTCAACTGACAGAGTGGAACGTCCCTTTAGACAGAGCAGATTTGAAACACTCTTTTTGCGGAATTTGCAAGTGGAGATTTCTAGCCATTTGATGCCAACAGTAGAAAGGGAAATATCTTCAAATAAAAACCAGACAGAATCATTCTCAGAAAATTCTTTGTGATGTGTGCGTTCAACTCACATAGTTTAACCTTTCTTTTCATAGAGCAGTTTGGAAACACTCTGTTTGTAAAGTCTGCAAGTGGATATATGGACCGCATTGAGGCCTTCGTTGGAAACGGGATTTCTTCATTTCATGCTAGACAGAAAGAATTCTCAGTAACTTCTTTGTGCTGTGTGTATTCAACTCACAGAGTGGAACGTCCCTTTACACAGAGCAGATTTGAAACACTCTTTTTGTGGAATTTGCAAGTGGAGATTTCAAGCGATTTGATGCCAACAGTAGAAAAGGAAATATCTTCAAATAAAAACTAGACAGAATCATTCTCAGAAACTACTTTGTGATGTGTGCCTTCAACTCACAGAGTTTAACCTTTCTTTTCTTAGAGCAGTTTAGAAACACTCTGCTTGTTATGTCTGCAAGTGGATATTTGGACCTCTTTGAGGCCTTCGTTGCAAACGGGGTTTCTTCTTTCATGCTAGACTAAGAAGAGTTCTCAGTAACTTTTTTGTGTTGTGTGTATTCAACTCACAGAGTTGAACCTTGCTTTAGAGAGAGCAGATTTGAAACACTCTTGCTGTGACATTTTCAGGTGGAGATTTCAAGCGATTTGAGGACAATTGCAGAAAAGGAAATATCTTCGTATAATAACCAGAAAGAATCATTCTCAGAAAGTGCTTTGTGATGTGTGCGTTCAACTCACAGAGTTTAACCTTTCTTTTCATAGAGGAGTTTGGAAACACACTGTTTGTAAAGTCTGCAATTGGATATATGGACCTGTTTGAGGCCTTCGTTGGAAACGGGATTTCTTCATTGAATGCTAGACGGAAGAATTCTCAGTAAATTCTTTGTGTTGTGTGCATTCAACTCACAGAGTGGAACGTCCCTTTAGACAGAGCAGATTTGAAACACTCTTTTTGCGGAATTTGCAAGTGGAGATTTCTAGCCATTTGATGCCAACAGTAGAAAGGGAAATATCTTCAAATAAAAACCAGACAGAATCATTCTCAGAAAATTCTTTGTGATGTGTGCGTTCAACTCACATAGTTTAACCTTTCTTTTCATAGAGCAGTTTGGAAACACTCTGTTTGTAAAGTCTGAAAGTGGATATATGGACCGCATTGAGGCCTTCGTTGGAAACGGGATTTCTTCATTTCATGCTAGACAGAAGAATTCTCAGTAACTTCTTTGTGCTGTGTGTATTCAACTCACAGAGTGGAACGTCCCTTTACACAGAGCAGATTTGAAACACTCTTTTTGTGGAGTTTGCAAGTGGAGATTTCAAGCGATTTGATGCCAACAGTAGAAAAGGAAATATCTTCAAATAAAAACTAGACAGAATCATTCTCAGAAACTACTTTGTGATGTGTGCCTTCAACTCACAGAGTTTAACCTTTCTTTTCTTAGAGCAGTTTAGAAACACTCTGCTTGTTATGTCTGCAAGTGGATATTTGGACCTCTTTGAGGCCTTCGTTGCAAACGGGGTTTCTTCCTTTCATGCTAGACTAAGAAGAGTTCTCAGTAACTTTTTTGTGTTGTGTGTATTCAACTCACAGAGTTGAACCTTGCTTTAGAGAGAGCAGATTTGAAACACTCTTGCTGTGGCATTTTCAGGTGGAGATTTCAAGCGATTTGAGGACAATTGCAGAAAAGGAAATATCTTCGTATAATAACCAGACAGAATCATTCTCAGAAAGTGCTTTGTGATGTGTGCGTTCCACTCACAGAGTTTAACCTTTCTTTTCATAGAGGAGTTTGGAAACACACTGTTTGTAAAGTCTGCAATTGGATATATGGACCTGTTTGAGGCCTTCGTTGGAAACGGGATTTCTTCATTGACTGCTAGACGGAAGAATTCTCAGTAAATTCTTTGTGTTGTGTGCATTCAACTCCCAGAGTGGAACGTCCCTTTAGACAGAGCAGATTTGAAACACTCTTTTTGCGGAATTTGCAAGTGGAGATTTCTAGCCATTTGATGCCAACAGTAGAAAGGGAAATATCTTCAAATAAAAACCAGACAGAATCATTCTCAGAAAATTCTTTGTGATGTGTGCGTTCAACTCACATAGTTTAACCTTTCTTTTCATAGAGCAGTTTGGAAACACTCTGTTTGTAAAGTCTGCAAGTGGATATATGGACCGCATTGAGGCCTTCGTTGGAAACGGGATTTCTTCATTTCATGCTAGACAGAAGAATTCTCAGTAACTTCTTTGTGCTGTGTGTATTCAACTCACAGAGTGGAACGTCCCTTTGCACAGAGCAGATTTGAAACACTCTTTTTGTGGAGTTTGCAAGTGGAGATTTCAAGCGATTTGATGCCAACAGTAGAAAAGGAAATATCTTCAAATAAAAACTAGACAGAATCATTCTCAGAAACTACTTTGTGATGTGTGCCTTCAACTCACAGAATTTAACCTTTCTTTTCTTAGAGCAGTTTAGAAACACTCTGCTTGTTATGTCTGCAAGTGGATATTTGGACCTCTTTGAGGCCTTCGTTGCAAACGGGGTTTCTTCCTTTAATGCTAGACTAAGAAGAGTTCTCAGTAACTTTTTTGTGTTGTGTGTATTCAACTCACAGAGTTGAACCTTGCTTTAGAGAGAGCAGATTTGAAACACTCTTGCTGTGGCATTTTCAGGTGGAGATTTCAAGCGATTTGAGGACAATTGCAGAAAAGGAAATATCTTCGTATAATAACCAGACAGAATCATTCTCAGAAAGTGCTTTGTGATGTGTGCGTTCCACTCACAGAGTTTAACCTTTCTTTTCATAGAGGAGTTTGGAAACACACTGTTTGTAAACTCTGCAAGTGGATATATGGACCTGTTTGAGGCCTTCGTTGGAAACGGGATTTCTTCATTGAATGCTAGACGGAAGAATTCTCAGTAAATTCTTTGTGTTGTGTGCATTCAACTCACAGAGTGGAACGTCCCTTTAGACAGAGCAGATTTGAAACACTCTTTTTGCGGAATTTGCAAGTGGAGATTTCTAGCCATTTGATGCCAACAGTAGAAAGGGAAATATCTTCAAATAAAAACCAGACAGAATCATTCTCAGAAAATTCTTTGTGATGTGTGCGTTCAACTCACATAGTTTAACCTTTCTTTTCATAGAGCAGTTTGGAAACACTCTGCTTGTAAAGTCTGCAAGTAGATATATGGACCGCTTTGAGGCCTTCGTTGGAAACGGGATTTCTTCATTTCATGCTAGACAGAAGAATTCTCAGTAACTTCTTTGTGTTGTGTGTATTCAACTCACAGAGTGGAACGTCCCTTTAGACAGAGCAGATTTGAAACACTCTTTTTGTGGAATTTGCAAGTGGAGATTTCAAGCGATTTGATGCCAGCAGTAGAAAAGGAAATATCTTCTAATAAAAACTAGACAGAATCATTCTCAGAAACTACTTTGTGATGTGTGCCTTCAACTCACAGAGTTTAACCTTTCTTTTCTTAGAGCAGTTTAGAAACACTCTGCTGCTTATGTCTGCAAGTGGATATTTGGACCTCTTTGAGGCCTTCGTTGCAAACGGGATTTCTTCCTGTAATGCTAGACTAAGAAGAGTTCTCAGTAACTTTTTTGTGTTGTGTGTATTCAACTCACAGAGTTGAACCTTGCTTTAGAGAGAGCAGATTTGAAACACTCTTGCTGTGGCATTTTCAGGTGGAGATTTCAAGCGATTTGAGGACAATTGCAGAAAAGGAAATATCTTCGTATAATAACCAGACAGAATCATTCTCAGAAAGTGCTTTGTGATGTGTGCGTTCAACTCACAGAGTTTAACCTTTCTTTTCATAGAGGAGTTTGGAAACACACTGTTTGTAAAGTCTGCAAGTGGATATATGGACCTGTTTGAGGCCTTCGTTGGAAACGGGATTTCTTCATTGAATGCTAGACGGAAGAATTCTCAGTAAATTCTTTGTGTTGTGTGCATTCAACTCACAGAGTGGAACGTCCCTTTAGACAGAGCAGATTTGAAACACTCTTTTTGCGGAATTTGCAAGTGGAGATTTCTAGCCATTTGATGCCAACAGTAGAAAGGGAAATATCTTCAAATAAAAACCAGACAGAATCATTCTCAGAAAATTCTTTGTGATGTGTGCGTTCAACTCACATAGTTTAACCTTTCTTTTCATAGAGCAGTTTGGAAACACTCTGTTTGTAAAGTCTGCAAGTGGATATATGGACCGCATTGAGGCCTTCGTTGGAAACGGGATTTCTTCATTTCATGCTAGACAGAAGAATTCTCAGTAACTTCTTTGTGCTGTGTGTATTCAACTCACAGAGTGGAACGTCCCTTTACACAGAGCAGATTTGAAACACTCTTTTTGTGGAATTTGCAAGTGGAGATTTCAAGCGATTTGATGCCAACAGTAGAAAAGGAAATATCTTCAAATAAAAACTAGACAGAATCATTCTCAGAAAGTGCTTTGTGATGTGTGCGTTCAACTCACAGAGTTTAACCTTTCTTTTCATAGAGCAGTTTGGAAACACTCTGTTTGTAAAGTCTGCAAGTGGATATATGGACCGTATTGAGGCCTTCGTTGGAAACGGGATTTCTTCATTTCATGCTAGACAGAAGAATTCTCAGTAACTTCTTTGTGCTGTGTGTATTCAACTCACAGAGTGGAACGTCCCTTTACACAGAGCAGTTTTGAAACACTCTTTTTGTGGAATTTGCAAGTGGAGATTTCAAGCGATTTGATGCCAACAGTAGAAAAGGAAATATCTTCAAATAAAAACTAGACAGAATCATTCTCAGAAACTACTTTGTGATGTGTGCCTTCAACTCACAGAGTTTAACCTTTCTTTTCTTAGAGCAGTTTAGAAACACTCTGCTTGTTATGTCTGCAAGTGGATATTTGGACATCTTTGAGGCCTTCGTTGCAAACGGGTTTTCTTCCTTTAATGCTAGACTAAGAAGAGTTCTCAGTAACATTTTTGTGTTGTGTGTATTCAACTCACAGAGTTGAACCTTGCTTTAGAGAGAGCAGATTTGAAACACTCTTGCTGTGGCATTTTCAGGTGGAGATTTCAAGCGATTTGAGGACAATTGCAGAAAAGGAAATATCTTCGTATAACAACCAGACAGAATCATTCTCAGAAGTGCTTTGTGATGTGTGCGTTCCACTCACAGAGTTTAACCTTTCTTTTCATAGAGGAGTTTGGAAACACACTGTTTGTAAAGTCTGCAAGTGGATATATGGACCTGTTTGAGGCCTTCGTTGGAAACGGGATTTCTTCATTGAATGCTAGACGGAAGAATTCTCAGTAAATTCTTTGTGTTGTGTGCATTCAACTCACAGAGTGGAACGTCCCTTTAGACAGAGCAGATTTGAAACACTCTTTTTGCGGAATTTGCAAGTGGAGATTTCTAGCCATTTGATGCCAACAGTAGAAAGGGAAATATCTTCAAATAAAAACCAGACAGAATCATTCTCAGAAAATTCTTTGTGATGTGTGCGTTCAACTCACATAGTTTAACCTTTCTTTTCATAGAGCAGTTTGGAAACACTCTGTTTGTAAAGTCTGCAAGTGGATATATGGACCGCATTGAGGCCTTCGTTGGAAACGGGATTTCTTCATTTCATGCTAGACAGAAGAATTCTCAGCAACTTCTTTGTGCTGTGTGTATTCAACTCACAGAGTGGAACGTCCCTTTACACAGAGCAGATTTGAAACACTCTTTTTGTGGAGTTTGCAAGTGAAGATTTCAAGCGATTTGATGCCAACAGTAGAAAAGGAAATATCTTCAAATAAAAACTAGACAGAATCATTCTCAGAAACTACTTTGTGATGTGTGCCTTCAACTCACAGAGTTTAACCTTTCTTTTCTTAGAGCAGTTTAGAAACACTCTGCTTGTTATGTCTGCAAGTGGATATTTGGACCTCTTTGAGGCCTTCGTTGCAAACGGGGTTTCTTCCTTTCATGCTAGACTAAGAAGAGTTCTCAGTAACTTTTTTGTGTTGTGTGTATTCAACTCACAGAGTTGAACCTTGCTTTAGAGAGAGCAGATTTGAAACACTCTTGCTGTGGCATTTTCAGGTGGAGATTTCAAGCGATTTGAGGACAATTACAGAAAAGGAAATATCTTCGTATAACAACCAGACAGAATCATTCTCAGAAAGTGCTTTGTGATGTGTGCGTTCCACTCACAGAGTTTAACCTTTCTTTTCATAGAGGAGTTTGGAAACACACTGTTTGTAAAGTCTGCAAGTGGATATATGGACCTGTTTGAGGCCTTCGTTGGAAACGGGATTTCTTCATTGAATGCTAGACGGAAGAATTCTCAGTAAATTCTTTGTGTTGTGTGCATTCAACTCACAGAGTGGAACGTCCCTTTAGACAGAGCAGATTTGAAACACTCTTTTTGCGGAATTTGCAAGTGGAGATTTCTAGCCATTTGATGCCAACAGTAGAAAGGGAAATATCTTCAAATAAAAACCAGACAGAATCATTCTCAGAAAATTCTTTGTGATGTGTGCGTTCAACTCACATAGTTTAACCTTTCTTTTCATAGAGCAGTTTGGAAACACTCTGTTTGTAAAGTCTGCAAGTGGATATATGGACCGCATTGAGGCCTTCGTTGGAAACGGGATTTCTTCATTTCATGCTAGACAGAAGAATTCTCAGTAACTTCTTTGTGCTGTGTGTATTCAACTCACAGAGTGGAACGTCCCTTTGCACAGAGCAGATTTGAAACACTCTTTTTGTGGAATTTGCAAGTGGAGATTTCAAGCGATTTGATGCCAACAGTAGAAAAGGAAATATCTTCAAATAAAAACTAGACAGAATCATTCTCAGAAACTACTTTGTGATGTGTGCCTTCAACTCACAGAGTTTAACCTTTCTTTTCTTAGAGCAGTTTAGAAACACTCTGCTTCTTATGTCTGCAACTGGATATTTGGACCTCTTTGAGGCCTTCGTTGCAAACGGGATTTCTTCCTTTAATGCTAGACTAAGAAGAGTTCTCAGTAACTTTTTTGTGTTGTGTGTATTCAACTCACAGAGTTGAACCTTGCTTTAGAGAGAGCAGATTTGAAACACTCTTGCTGTGGCATTTTCAGGTGGAGATTTCAAGCGATTTGAGGACAATTGCACAAAAGGAAATATCTTCGTATAATAACCAGACAGAATCATTCTCAGAAAGTGCTTTGTGATGTGTGCGTTCAACTCACAGAGTTTAACCTTTCTTTTCATAGAGGAGTTTGGAAACACACTGTTTGTAAAGTCTGCAAGTGGATATATGGACCTGTTTGAGGCCTTCGTTGGAAACGGGATTTCTTCATTGAATGCTAGACGGAAGAATTCTCAGTAAATTCTTTGTGTTGTGTGCATTCAACTCACAGAGTGGAACGTCCCTTTAGACAGAGAAGATTTTAAACACTCTTTTTGCGGAATTTGCAAGTGGAGTTTTCTAGCCATTTGATGCCAACAGTAGAAAGGGAAATATCTTCAAATAAAAACCAGACAGAATCATTCTCAGAAAATTCTTTGTGATGTGTGCGTTCAACTCACATAGTTTAACCTTTCTTTTCATAGAGCAGTTTGGAAACACTCTGTTTGTAAAGTCTGCAAGTGGATATATGGACCGCATTGAGGCCTTCGTTGGAAACGGGATTTCTTCATTTCATGCTAGACAGAAGAATTCTCAGTAACTTCTTTGTGCTGTGTGTATTCAACTCACAGAGTGGAACGTCCCTTTGCACAGAGCAGATTTGAAACACTCTTTTTGTGGAATTTGCAAGTGGAGATTTCAAGCGATTTGATGCCAACAGTAGAAAAGGAAATATCTTCAAATAAAAACTAGACAGAATCATTCTCAGAAACTACTTTGTGATGTGTGCCTTCAACTCACAGAGTTTAACCTTTCTTTTCTTAGAGCAGTTTAGAAACACTCTGCTTGTTATGTCTGCAAGTGGATATTTGGACCTCTTTGAGGCCTTCGTTGCAAACGGGGTTTCTTCCTTTCATGCTACACTAAGAAGAGTTCTCAGTAACTTTTTTGTGTTGTGTGTATTCAACTCACAGAGTTGAACCTTGCTTTAGAGAGAGCAGATTTGAAACACTCCTGCTGTGGCATTTTCAGGTGGAGATTTCAAGCGATTTGAGGACAATTGCAGAAAAGGAAATATCTTCGTATAATAACCAGACAGAATCATTCTCAGAAAGTGCTTTTTGATGTGTGCGTTCAACTCACAGAAGTTTAACCTTTCTTTTCATAGAGGAGTTTGGAAACACACTGTTTGTAAAGTCTGCAATTGGATATATGGACCTGTTTGAGGCCTTCGTTTGAAACGGGATTTCTTCATTGAATGCTAGACGGAAGATTCTCAGTAAATTCTTTGTGTTGTGTGCATTCAACTCACAGAGTGGAACGTCCCTTTAGACAGAGCAGATTTGAAACACTCTTTTTGCGGAATTTGCAAGTGGAGATTTCTAGCCATTTGATGCCAACAGTAGAAAGGGAAATATTTTCAAATAAAAACCAGACAGAATCATTCTCAGAAAATTCTTTGTGATGTGTGCGTTCAACTCACATAGTTTAACCTTTCTTTTCATAGAGCAGTTTGGAAACACTCTGTTTGTAAAGTCTGCAAGTGGATATATGGACCGCATTGAGGCCTTCGTTGGAAACGGGATTTCTTCATTTCATGCTAGACAGAAGAATTCTCAGTAAATTCTTTGTGTTGTGTGCATTCAACTCACAGAGTGGAACGTCCCTTTAGACAGAGCAGATTTGAAACACTCTTTTTGTGGAGTTTGCAAGTGGAGATTTCAAGCGATTTGATGCCAACAGTAGAAAAGGAAATATCTTCAAATAAAAACTAGACAGAATCATTCTCAGAAACTACTTTGTGATGTGTGCCTTCAACTCACAGAGTTTAACCTTTCTTTTCTTAGAGCAGTTTAGAAACACTCTGCTTGTTATGTCTGCAAGTGGATATTTGGACCTCTTTGAGGCCTTCGTTGCAAACGGGGTTTCTTCCTTTCATGCTAGACTAAGAAGAGTTCTCAGTAACTTTTTTGTGTTGTGTGTATTCAACTCACAGAGTTGAACCTTGCTTTAGAGAGAGCAGATTTGAAACACTCTTGCTGTGGCATTTTCAGGTGGAGATTTCAAGCGATTTGAGGACAATTGCAGAAAAGGAAATATCTTCGTATAACAACCAGACAGAATCATTCTCAGAAAGTGCTTTGTGATGTGTGCGTTCAACTCACAGAGTTTAACCTTTCTTTTCATAGAGGAGTTTGGAAACACACTGTTTGTAAAGTCTGCAATTGGATATATGGACCTGTTTGAGGCCTTCGTTGGAAACGGGATTTCTTCATTGAATGCTAGACGGAAGAATTCTCAGTAAATTCTTTGTGTTGTGTGCATTCAACTCACAGAGTGGAACGTCCCTTTAGACAGAGCAGATTTGAAACACTCTTTTTGTGGAATTTGCAAGTGGAGATTTCTAGCCATTTGATGCCAACAGTAGAAAGGGAAATATCTTCAAATAAAAACCAGACAGAATCATTCTCAGAAAATTCTTTGTGATGTGTGCGTTCAACTCACATAGTTTAACCTTTCTTTTCATAGAGCAGTTTGGAAACACTCTGTTTGTAAAGTCTGCAAGTGGATATATGGACCGCATTGAGGCCTTCGTTGGAAACGGGATTTCTTCATTTCATGCTAGACAGAAGAATTCTCAGTAACTTCTTTGTGCTGTGTGTATTCAACTCACAGAGTGGAACGTCCCTTTACACAGAGCAGATTTGAAACACTCTTTTTGTGGACTTTGCAAGTGGAGATTTCAAGCGATTTGTTGCCAACAGTAGAAAAGGAAATATCTTCAAATAAAAACTAGACAGAATCATTCTCAGAAACTACTTTGTGATGTGTGCCTTCAACTCACAGAGTTTAACCTTTCTTTTCTTAGAGCAGTTTAGAAACACTCTGCTTGTTATGTCTGCAAGTGGATATTTGGACCTCTTTGAGGCCTTCGTTGCAAACGGGGTTTCTTCCTTTCATGCTAGACTAAGAAGAGTTCTCAGTAACTTTTTTGTGTTGTGTGTATTCAACTCACAGAGTTGAACCTTGCTTTAGAGAGAGCAGATTTGAAACACTCTTGCTGTGGCATTTTCAGGTGGAGATTTCAAGCGATTTGAGGACAATTGCAGAAAAGGAAATATCTTCGTATAATAACCAGACAGAATCATTCTCAGAAAGTGCTTTGTGATGTGTGCGTTCAACTCACAGAGTTTAACCTTTCTTTTCATAGAGGAGTTTGGAAACACACTGTTTGTAAAGTCTGCAATTGGATATATGGACCTGTTTGAGGCCTTCGTTGGAAACGGGATTTCTTCATTGAATGCTAGACGGAAAGTAATTCTCAGTAAATTCTTTGTGTTGTGTGCATTCAACTCACAGAGTGGAACGTCCCTTTAGACAGAGCAGATTTGAAACACCCTTTTTGCGGAATTTGCAAGTGGAGATTTCTAGCCATTTGATGCCAACAGTAGAAAGGGAAATATCTTCAAATAAAAACCAGACAGAATCATTCTCAGAAAATTCTTTGTGATGTGTGCGTTCAACTCACATAGTTTAACCTTTCTTTTCATAGAGCAGTTTGGAAACACTCTGTTTGTAAAGTCTGCAAGTGGATATATGGACCGCATTGAGGCCTTCGTTGGAAACGGGATTTCTTCATTTCATGCTAGACAGAAGAATTCTCAGTAACTTCTTTGTGCTGTGTGTATTCAACTCACAGAGTGGAACGTCCCTTTACACAGAGCAGATTTGAAACACTCTTTTTGTGGAGTTTGCAAGTGGAGATTTCAAGCGATTTGATGCCAACAGTAGAAAAGGAAATATCTTCAAATAAAAACTAGACAGAATCATTCTCAGAAACTACTTTGTGATGTGTGCCTTCAACTCACAGAGTTTAACCTTTCTTTTCTTAGAGCAGTTTAGAAACACTCTGCTTGTTATGTCTGCAAGTGGATATTTGGACCTCTTTGAGGCCTTCGTTGCAAACGGGGTTTCTTCCTTTCATGCTAGACTAAGAAGAGTTCTCAGTAACTTTTTTGTGTTGTGTGTATTCAACTCACAGAGTTGAACCTTGCTTTAGAGAGAGCAGATTTGAAACACTCTTGCTGTGGCATTTTCAGGTGGAGATTTCAAGGGATTTGAGGACAATTGCAGAAAAGGAAATATCTTCGTATAACAACCAGACAGAATCATTCTCAGAAAGTGCTTTGTGATGTGTGCGTTCAACTCACAGAGTTTAACCTTTCTTTTCATAGAGGAGTTTGGAAACACACTGTTTGTAAAGTCTGCAATTGGATATATGGACCTGTTTGAGGCCTTCGTTGGAAACGGGATTTCTTCATTGAATGCTAGACGGAAGAATTCTCAGTAAATTCTTTGTGTTGTGTGCATTCAACTCACAGAGTGGAACGTCCCTTTAGACAGAGCAGATTTGAAACACTCTTTTTGCGGAATTTGCAAGTGGAGATTTCTAGCCATTTGATGCCAACAGTAGAAAGGGAAATATCTTCAAATAAAAACCAGACAGAATCATTCTCAGAAAATTCTTTGTGATGTGTGCGTTCAACTCACATAGTTTAACCTTTCTTTTCATAGAGCAGTTTGGAAACACTCTGTTTGTAAAGTCTGCAAGTGGATATATGGACCGCATTGAGGCCTTCGTTGGAAACGGGATTTCTTCATTTCATGCTAGACAGAAGAATTCTCAGTAACTTCTTTGTGCTGTGTGTATTCAACTCACAGAGTGGAACGTCCCTTTGCACAGAGCAGATTTGAAACACTCTTTTTGTGGAATTTGCAAGTGGAGATTTCAAGCGATTTGATGCCAACAGTAGAAAAGGAAATATCTTCAAATAAAAACTAGACAGAATCATTCTCAGAAACTACTTTGTGAAGTGTGCCTTCAACTCACAGAGTTTAACCTTTCTTTTCATAGAGGAGTTTGGAAACACAGTGTTTGTAATGTCTGCAATTTTATATATGGACCTGTTTGAGGCCTTCGTTGGAAACGGGATTTCTTCATTGAATGCTAGACGGAAGAATTCTCAGTAAATTCTTTGTGTTGTGTGCATTCAACTCGAGCAGAGTGGAACGTCCCTTTAGACAGAGCAGATTTGAAACACTCTTTTTTCGGAATTTGCAAGTGGAGATTTCTAGCCATTTGATGCCAACAGTAGAAAGGGAAATATCTTCAAATAAAAACCAGACAGAATCATTCTCAGAAAATTCTTTGTGATGTGTGCGTTCAACTCACATAGTTTAACCTTTCTTTTCATAGAGCAGTTTGGAAACACTCTGTTTGTAAAGTCTGCAAGTGGATATATGGACCGCATTGAGGCCTTCGTTGGAAACGGGATTTCTTCATTTCATGCTAGACAGAAGAATTCTCAGTAACTTCTTTGTGCTGTGTGTATTCAACTCACAGAGTGGAACGTCCCTTTACACAGAGCAGATCTGAAACACTCTTTTTGTGGAGTTTGCAAGTGGAGATTTCAAGCGATTTGATGCCAACAGTAGAAAAGGAAATATCTTCAAATAAAAACTAGACAGAATCATTCTCAGAAACTACTTTGTGATGTGTGCCTTCAACTCACAGAGTTTAACCTTTCTTTTCTTAGAGCAGTTTTGAAACACTCTGCTTGTTATGTCAGCAAGTGGATATTTGGACCTCTTTGAGGCCTTCGTTGCAAACGGGGTTTCTTCCTTTAATGCTAGACTAAGAAGAGTTCTCAGTAACTTTTTTGTGTTGTGTGTATTCAACTCACAGAGTTGAACCTTGGTTTAGAGAGAGCAGATTTGAAACACTCTTGCTGTGGCATTTTCAGGTGGAGATTTCAAGCGATTTGAGGACAATTGCAGAAAAGGAAATATCTTCGTATAATAACCAGACAGAATCATTCTCAGAAAGTGCTTTGTGATGTGTGCGTTCAACTCACAGAGTTTAACCTTTCTTTTCATAGAGGAGTTTGGAAACACACTGTTTGTAAAGTCTGCAATTGGATATATGGACCTGTTTGAGGCCTTCGTTGGAAACGGGATTTCTTCATTGAATGCTAGACGGAAAGTAATTCTCAGTAAATTCTTTGTGTTGTGTGCATTCAACTCACAGAGTGGAACGTCCCTTTAGACAGAGCAGATTTGAAACACCCTTTTTGCGGAATTTGCAAGTGGAGATTTCTAGCCATTTGATGCCAACAGTAGAAAGGGAAATATCTTCAAATAAAAACCAGACAGAATCATTCTCAGAAAATTCTTTGTGATGTGTGCGTTCAACTCACATAGTTTAACCTTTCTTTTCATAGAGCAGTTTGGAAACACTCTGTTTGTAAAGTCTGCAAGTGGATATATGGACCGCATTGAGGCCTTCGTTGGAAACGGGATTTCTTCATTTCATGCTAGACAGAAGAATTCTCAGTAACTTCTTTGTGCTGTGTGTATTCAACTCACAGAGTGGAACGTCCCTTTGCACAGAGCAGATTTGAAACACTCTTTTTGTGGAGTTTGCAAGTGGAGATTTCAAGCGATTTGATGCCAACAGTAGAAAAGGAAATATCTTCAAATAAAAACTAGACAGAATCATTCTCAGAAACTACTTTGTGATGTGTGCCTTCAACTCAGAGAGTTTAACCTTTCTTTTCTTAGAGCAGTTTAGAAACACTCTGGTTGTTATGTCTGCAAGTGGATATTTGGACCTCTTTGAGGCCTTCGTTGCAAACGGCGTTTCTTCCTTTAATGCTAGACTAAGAAGAGTTCTCAGTAACTTTTTTGTGTTGTGTGTATTCAACTCACAGAGTTGAACCTTGCTTTAGAGAGAGCAGATTTGAAACACTCTTGCTGTGGCATTTTCAGGTGGAGATTTCAAGCGTTTTGAGGACAATTGCAGAAAAGGAAATATCTTCGTATAATAACCAGACAGAATCATTCTCAGAAAGTGCTTTGTGTTGTGTGCGTTCAACTCACAGAGTTTAACCTTTCTTTTCATAGAGGAGTTTGGAAACACACTGTTTGTAAAGTCTGCAATTGGATATATGGACCTGTTTGAGGCCTTCGTTGGAAACGGGATTTCTTCATTGAATGCTAGACGGAAGAACTCTCAGTAAATTCTTTGTGTTGTGTGCATTCAACTGACAGAGTGGAACGTCTCTTTAGACAGAGCAGATTTGAAACACTCTTTTTGCGGAATTTGCAAGTGGAGATTTCTAGCCATTTGATGCCAACAGTAGAAAGGGAAACATCTTCAAATAAAAACCAGACAGAATCATTCTCAGAAAATTCTTTGTGATGTGTGCGTTCAACTCACATAGTTTAACCTTTCTTTTCATAGAGCAGTTTGGAAACACTCTGTTTGTAATGTCTGCAAGTGGATATATGGACCGCATTGAGGCCTTCGTTGGAAACGGGATTTCTGCATTTCATGCTAGACAGAAGAATTCTCAGTAACTTCTTTGTGCTGTGTGTATTCAACTCACAGAGTGGAACGTCCCTTTGCACAGAGCAGATTTGAAACACTCTTTTTGTGGAGTTTGCAAGTGGAGATTTCAAGCGATTTGATGCCAACAGTAGAAAAGGAAATATCTTCAAATAAAAACTAGACAGAATCATTCTCAGAAACTACTTTGTGATGTGTGCCTTCAACTCACAGAGTTTAACCTTTCTTTTCTTAGAGCAGTTTTGAAACACTCTGCTTGTTATGTCAGCAAGTGGATATTTGGACCTCTTTGAGGCCTTCGTTGCAAACGGGGTTTCTTCCTTTAATGCTAGACTAAGAAGAGTTCTCAGTAACTTTTTTGTGTTGTGTGTATTCAACTCACAGAGTTGAACCTTGCTTTAGAGAGAGCAGATTTGAAACACTCTTGCTGTGGCATTTTCAGGTGGAGATTTCAAGCGATTTGAGGACAATTGCAGAAAAGGAAATATCTTCGTATAATAACCAGACAGAATCATTCTCAGAAAGTACTTTGTGATGTGTGCGTTCAACTCACAGAGTTTAACCTTTCTTTTCATAGAGGAGTTTGGAAACACACTGTTTGTAAAATCTGCAATTGGATATATGGACCTGTTTGAGGCCTTCGTTGGAAACGGGATTTCTTCATTGAATGCTAGACGGAAGAATTCTCAGTAAATTCTTTGTGTTGTGTGCATTCAACTCACAGAGTGGAACGTCCCTTTAGACAGAGCAGATTTGAAACACTCTTTTTGCGGAATTTGCAAGTGGAGATTTCTAGCCATTTGATGCCAACAGTAGAAAGGGAAATATCTTCAAATAAAAACCAGACAGAATCATTCTCAGAAAATTCTTTGTGATGTGTGCGTTCAACTCACATAGTTTAACCTTTCTTTTCATAGAGCAGTTTGGAAACACTCTGTTTGTAAAGTCTGCAAGTGGATCTATGGACCGCATTGAGGCCTTCGTTGGAAACGGGATTTCTTCATTTCATGCTAGACAGAAGAATTCTCAGTAACTTCTTTGTGCTGTGTGTATTCAACTCACAGAGTGGAACGTCCCTTTACACAGAGCAGATTTGAAACACTCTTTTTGTGGAGTTTGCAAGTGGAGATTTCAAGCGATTTGATGCCAACAGTAGAAAAGGAAATATCTTCAAATAAAAACTAGACAGAATCATTCTCAGAAACTACTTTGTGATGTGTGCCTTCAACTCACAGAGTTTAACCTTTCTTTTCTTAGAGCAGTTTAGAAACACTCTGCTTGTTATGTCTGCAAGTGGATATTTGGACCTCTTTGAGGCCTTCGTTGCAAACGGGGTTTCTTCCTTTAATGCTAGACTAAGAAGAGTTCTCAGTAACTTTTTTGTGTTGTGTGTATTCAACTCACAGAGTTGAACCTTGCTTTAGAGAGAGCAGATTTGAAACACTCTTGCTGTGGCATTTTCAGGTGGAGATTTCAAGCGTTTTGAGGACAATTGCAGAAAAGGAAATATCTTCGTATAATAACCAGACAGAATCATTCTCAGAAAGTGCTTTGTGATGTGTGCGTTCAACTCACAGAGTTTAACCTTTCTTTTCATAGAGGAGTTTGGAAACACACTGTTTGTAAAGTCTGCATTTGGATATATGGACCTGTTTGAGGCCTTCGTTGGAAACGGGATTTCTTCATTGAATGCTAGACGGAAGAATTCTCAGTAAATTCTTTGTGTTGTGTGCATTCAACTGACAGAGTGGAACGTCCCTTTAGACAGAGCAGATTTGAAACACTCTTTTTGCGGAATTTGCAAGTGGAGATTTCTAGCCATTTGATGCCAACAGTAGAAAGGGAAATATCTTCAAATAAAAACCAGACAGAATCATTCTCAGAAAATTCTTTGTGATGTGTGCGTTCAACTCACATAGTTTAACCTTTCTTTTCATAGAGCAGTTTGGAAACACTCTGTTTGTAAAGTCTGCAAGTGGATATATGGACCGCATTGAGGCCTTCGTTGGAAACGGGATTTCTTCATTTCATGCTAGACAGAAGAATTCTCAGTAACTTCTTTGTGCTGTGTGTATTCAACTCACAGAGTGGAACCGTCCCTTTACACAGAGCAGATTTGAAACACTCTTTTTGTGGAGTTTGCAAGTGGAGATTTCAAGCGATTTGATGCCAGCAGTAGAAAAGGAAATATCTTCAAATAAAAATTAGACAGAATCATTCTCAGAAACTACTTTGTGATGTGTGCCTTCAACTCACAGAGTTTAACCTTTCTTTTCTTAGAGCAGTTTAGAAACACTCTGCTTGTTATGTCTGCAAGTGGATATTTGGACCTCTTTGAGGCCTTCGTTGCAAACGGGGTTTCTTCCTTTCATGCTAGACTAAGAAGAGTTCTCAGTAACTTTTTTGTGTTGTGTGTATTCAACTCACAGAGTTGAACCTTGCTTTAGAGAGAGCAGATTTGAAACACTCTTGCTGTGGCATTTTCAGGTGGAGATTTCAAGCGATTTGAGGACAATTGCAGAAAAGGAAATATCTTCGTATAATAACCAGACAGAATCATTCTCAGAAAGTGCTTTGTGATGTGTGCGTTCAACTCACAGAGTTTAACCTTTCTTTTCATAGAGGAGTTTGGAAACACACTGTTTGTAAAGTCTGCAAGTGGATATATGGACCTGTTTGAGGCCTTCGTTGGAAACGGGATTTCTTCATTGAATGCTAGACGGAAGAATTCTCAGTAAATTCTTTGTGTTGTGTGCATTCAACTGACAGAGTGGAACGTCCCTTTAGACAGAGCAGATTTGAAACACTCTTTTTGCGGAATTTGCAAGTGGAGATTTCTAGCCATTTGATGCCAACAGTAGAAAGGGAAATATCTTCAAATAAAAACCAGACAGAATCATTCTCAGAAAATTCTTTGTGATGTGTGCGTTCAACTCACATAGTTTAACCTTTCTTTTCATAGAGCAGTTTGGAAACACTCTGTTTGTAAAGTCTGCAAGTGGATATATGGACCGCATTGAGGCCTTCGTTGGAAACGGGATTTCTTCATTTCATGCTAGACAGAAGAATTCTCAGTAACTTCTTTGTGCTGTGTGTATTCAACTCACAGAGTGGAACGTCCCTTTACACAGAGCAGATTTGAAACACTCTTTTTGTGGAGTTTGCAAGTGGAGATTTCAAGCGATTTGATGCCAACAGTAGAAAAGGAAATATCTTCAAATAAAAACTAGACAGAATCATTCTCAGAAACTACTTTGTGATGTGTGCCTTCAACTCACAGAGTTTAACCTTTCTTTTCTTAGAGCAGTTTAGAAACACTCTGCTTGTTATGTCTGCAAGTGGATATTTGGACCTCTTTGAGGCCTTCGTTGCAAACGGGGTTTCTTCCTTTCATGCTAGACTAAGAAGAGTTCTCAGTAACTTTTTTGTGTTGTGTGTATTCAACTCACAGAGTTGAACCTTGCTTTAGAGAGAGCAGATTTGAAACACTCTTGCTGTGGCATTTTCAGGTGGAGATTTCAAGCGATTTGAGGACAATTGCAGAAAAGGAAATATCTTCGTATAATAACCAGACAGAATCATTCTCAGAAAGTGCTTTGTGATGTGTGCGTTCCACTCACAGAGTTTAACCTTTCTTTTCATAGAGGAGTTTGGAAACACACTGTTTGTAAAGTCTGCAAGTGGATATATGGACCTGTTTGAGGCCTTCGTTGGAAACGGGATTTCTTCATTGAATGCTAGACGGAAGAATTCTCAGTAAATTCTTTGTGTTGTGTGCATTCAACTCACAGAGTGGAACGTCCCTTTAGACAGAGCAGATTTGAAACACTCTTTTTGCGGAATTTGCAAGTGGAGATTTCTAGCCATTTGATGCCAACAGTAGAAAGGGAAATATCTTCAAATAAAAACCAGACAGAATCATTCTCAGAAAATTCTTTGTGATGTGTGCGTTCAACTCACATAGTTTAACCTTTCTTTTCATAGAGCAGTTTGGAAACACTCTGTTTGTAAAGTCTGCAAGTGGATATATGGACCGCATTGAGGCCTTCGTTGGAAACGGGATTTCTTCATTTCATGCTAGACAGAAGAATTCTCAGTAACTTCTTTGTGCTGTGTGTATTCAACTCACAGAGTGGAACGTCCCTTTGCACAGAGCAGATTTGAAACACTCTTTTTGTGGAGTTTGCAAGTGGAGATTTCAAGCGATTTGATGCCAACAGTAGAAAAGGAAATATCTTCAAATAAAAACTAGACAGAATCATTCTCAGAAACTACTTTGTGATGTGTGCCTTCAACTCACAGAGTTTAACCTTTCTTTTCTTAGAGCAGTTTAGAAACACTCTGCTTGTTATGTCTGCAAGTGGATATTTGGACCTCTTTGAGGCCTTCGTTGCAAACGGGGTTTCTTCCTTTAATGCTAGACTAAGAAGAGTTCTCAGTAACTTTTTTGTGTTGTGTGTATTCAACTCACAGAGTTGAACCTTGCTTTAGAGAGAGCAGATTTGAAACACTCTTGCTGTGGCATTTTCAGGTGGAGATTTCAAGCGATTTGAGGACAATTGCAGAAAAGGAAATATCTTCGTATAATAACCAGACAGAATCATTCTCAGAAAGTGCTTTGTGATGTGTGCGTTCAACTCACAGAGTTTAACCTTTCTTTTCATAGAGGAGTTTGGAAACACACTGTTTGTAAAGTCTGCAAGTGGATATATGGACCTGTTTGAGCCCTTCGTTGGAAACGGGATTTCTTCATTGAATGCTAGACGGAAGAATTCTCAGTAAATTCTTTGTGTTGTGTGCATTCAACTCACAGAGTGGAACGTCCCTTTAGACAGAGCAGATTTGAAACACTCTTTTTGCGGAATTTGCAAGTGGAGATTTCTAGCCATTTGATGCCAACAGTAGAAAGGGAAATATCTTCAAATAAAAACCAGACAGAATCATTCTCAGAAAATTCTTTGTGATGTGTGCGTTCAACTCACATAGTTTAACCTTTCTTTTCATAGAGCAGTTTGGAAACACTCTGTTTGTAAAGTCTGCAAGTGGATATATGGACCGCATTGAGGCCCTTCGTTGGAAACGGGATTTCTTCATTTCATGCTAGACAGAAGAATTCTCAGTAACTTCTTTGTGCTGTGTGTATTCAACTCACAGAGTGGAACGTCCCTTTGCACAGAGCAGATTTGAAACACTCTTTTTGTGGAATTTGCAAGTGGAGATTTCAAGCGATTTGATGCCAACAGTAGAAAAGGAAATATCTTCAAATAAAAACTAGACAGAATCATTCTCAGAAACTACTTTGTGATGTGTGCGTTCAACTCACAGAGTTTAACCTTTCTTTTCTTAGAGCAGTTTAGAAACACTCTGCTTGTTATGTCTGCAAGTGGATATTTGGACCTCTTTGAGGCCTTCGTTGCAAACGGGGTTTCTTCCTTTCATGCTAGACTAAGAAGAGTTCTCAGTAACTTTTTTGTGTTGTGTGTATTCAACTCACAGAGTTGAACCTTGCTTTAGAGAGAGCAGATTTGAAACACTCTTGCTGTGGCATTTTCAGGTGGAGATTTCAAGCGATTTGAGGACAATTGCAGAAAAGGAAATATCTTCGTATAACAACCAGACAGAATCATTCTCAGAAAGTGCTTTGTGATGTGTGCGTTCAACTCACAGAGTTTAACCTTTCTTTTCATAGAGGAGTTTGGAAACACACTGTTTGTAAAGTCTGCAAGTGGATATATGGACCTGTTTGAGGCCTTCGTTGGAAACGGGATTTCTTCATTGAATGCTAGACGGAAGAATTCTCAGTAAATTCTTTGTGTTGTGTGCATTCAACTCACAGAGTGGAACGTCCCTTTAGACAGAGCAGATTTGAAACACTCTTTTTGCGGAATTTGCAAGTGGAGATTTCTAGCCATTTGATGCCAACAGTAGAAAGGGAAATATCTTCAAATAAAAACCAGACAGAATCATTCTCAGAAAATTCTTTGTGATGTGTGCGTTCAACTCACATAGTTTAACCTTTCTTTTCATAGAGCAGTTTGGAAACACTCTGTTTGTAAAGTCTGCAAGTGGATATATGGACCGCATTGAGGCCTTCGTTGGAAACGGGATTTCTTCATTTCATGCTAGACAGAAGAATTCTCAGTAACTTCTCTGTGCGGTGTGTATTCAACTCACATACTGGAACGTCCGTTTGCACAGAGCAGATTTGAAACACTCTTTTTGTGGAATTTGCAAGTGGAGATTTCAAGCGATTTGATGCCAACAGTAGAAAAGGAAATATCTTCAAATAAAAACTAGACAGAATCATTCTCAGAAACTACTTTGTGATGTGTGCCTTCAACTCACAGAGTTTAACCTTTCTTTTCTTAGAGCAGTTTAGAAACACTCTGCTTGTTATGTCTGCAAGTGGATATTTGGACCTCTTTGAGGCCTTCGTTGCAAACGGGGTTTCTTCCTTTCATGCTAGACTAAGAAAGAGTTCTCAGTAACTTTTTTGTGTTGTGTGTATTCAACTCACAGAGTTGAACCTTGCTTTAGAGAGAGCAGATTTGAAACACTCTTGCTGTGGCATTTTCAGGTGGAGATTTCAAGCGTTTTGAGGACAATTGCAGAAAAGGAAATATCTTCGTATAATAACCAGACAGAATCATTCTCAGAAAGTGCTTTGTGATGTGTGCGTTCAACTCACAGAGTTTAACCTTTCTTTTCATAGAGGAGTTTGGAAACACACTGTTTGTAAAGTCTGCAAGTGGATATATGGACCTGTTTGAGGCCTTCGTTGGAAACGGGATTTCTTCATTGAATGCTAGACGGAAGAATTCTCAGTAAATTCTTTGTGTTGTGTGCATTCAACTCACAGAGTGGAACGTCCCTTTAGACAGAGCAGATTTGAAACACTCTTTTTGCGGAATTTGCAAGTGGAGATTTCTAGCCATTTGATGCCAACAGTAGAAAGGGAAATATCTTCAAATAAAAACCAGACAGAAATCATTCTCACAAAATTCTTTGTGATGTGTGCGTTCAACTCACATAGTTTTACCTTTCTTTTCATAGAGCAGTTTGGAAACACTCTGTTTGTAAAGTCTGCAAGTGGATATATGGACCGCATTGAGGCCTTCGTTGGAAACGGGATTTCTTCATTTCATGCTAGACAGAAGAATTCTCAGTAACTTCTTTGTGCTGTGTGTATTCAACTCACAGAGTGGAACGTCCCTTTACACAGAGCAGATTTGAAACACTCTTTTTGTGGAGTTTGCAAGTGGAGATTTCAAGCGATTTGATGCCAACAGTAGAAAAGGAAATATCTTCAAATAAAAACTAGACAGATAATCATTCTCAGAAACTACTTTGTGATGTGTGCCTTCAACTCACAGAGTTTAACCTTTCTTTTCTTAGAGCAGTTTAGAAACACTCTGCTTGTTATGTCTGCAAGTGGATATTTGGACCTCTTTGAGGCCTTCGTTGCAAACGGGGTTTCTTCCGTTCATGCTAGACTAAGAAGAGTTCTCAGTAACTTTTTTGTGTTGTGTGTATTCAACTCACAGAGTTGAACCTTGCTTTAGAGAGAGCAGATTTGAAACACTCTTGCTGTGGCATTTTCAGGTGGAGATTTCAAGCGATTTGAGGACAATTGCAGAAAAGGAAATATCTTCGTATAATAACCAGACAGAATCATTCTCAGAAAGTGCTTTGTGATGTGTGCATTCAACTCACAGAGTTTAATCTTTCTTTTCATAGAGGAGTTTGGAAACACACTGTTTGTAAAGTCTGCAATTGGATATATGGACCTGTTTGAGGCCTTCGTTGGAAACGGGATTTCTTCATTGAATGCTAGACGGAAGAATTCTCAGTAAATTCTTTGTGTTGTGTGCATTCAACTCACCGAGTGGAACGTCCCTTTAGACAGACCAGATTTGAAACACTCTTTTTGCGAAATTTGGTAGTGGAGATTTCAAGCCATTTGATGCCAACAATAGAAAGGGAAATATCTTCAAATAAAAACTAGACAGAATCATTCTCAGAAAATTCTTTGTGATGTGTGCGTTCAACTCACATAGTTTAACCTTTCTTTTCATAGAGCAGTTTGGAAACACTCTGTTTGTAAAGTCTGCAAGTGGATATATGGACCGCATTGAGGCCTTCGTTGGAAACGGGATTTCTTCATTTCATGCTAGACAGAAGAATTCTCAGTAACTTCCTTGTGCTGTGTGTATTCAACTCACAGAGTGGAACGTCCCTTTGCACAGAGCAGATTTGAAACACTCTTTTTGTGGAGTTTGCAAGTGGAGATTTCAAGCGATTTGATGCCAACAGTAGGAAAGGAAATATCTTCAAATAAAAACTAGACAGAATCATTCTCAGAAAATTCTTTGTGATGTGTGCGTTCAACTCACATAGTTTAACCTTTCTTTTCTTAGAGCAGTTTAGAAACACTCTGCTTGTTATGTCTGCAAGTGGATATTTGGACCTCTTTGAGGCCTTCGTTGCAAACGGGGTTTCTTCCTTTCATGCTAGACTAAGAAGAGTTCTCAGTAACTTTTTTGTGTTGTGTGTATTCAACTCACAGAGTTGAACCTTGCTTTAGAGAGAGCAGATTTGAAACACTCTTGCTGTGGCATTTTCAGGTGGAGATATCAAGCGATTTGAGGACAATTGCAGAAAAGGAAATATCTTCGTATAATAACCAGACAGAATCATTCTCAGAAAGTGCTTTGTGATGTGTGCGTTCAACTCACAGAGTTTAACCTTTCTTTTCATAGAGGAGTTTGGAAACACACTGTTTGTAAAGTCTGCAATTGGATATATGGACCTGTTTGAGGCCTTCTTTGGAAACGGGATTTCTTCATTGAATGCTAGACGGAAGAATTCTCAGTAAATTCTTTGTGTTGTGTGCATTCAACTCACAGAGTGGAACTTCCCTTTAGACAGAGCAGATTTGAAACACTCTTTTTGCGGAATTTGCAAGTGGAGATTTCAAGCCATTTGATGCCAACAGTAGAAAGGGAAATATCTTCAAATAAAAACCAGACAGAATCATTCTCAGAAAAATTCTTTGTGATGTGTGCGTTCAACTCACATAGTTTAACCTTTCTTTTCATAGAGCAGTTTGGAAACACTCTGTTTGTAAAGTCTGCAAGTGGATATATGGACCGCATTGAGGCCTTCGTTGGAAACGGGATTTCTTCATTTCATGCTAGACAGAAGAATTCTCAGTAACTTCTTTGTGCTGTGTGTATTCAACTCACAGAGTGGAACGTCCCTTTGCACAGAGCAGATTTGAAACACTCTTTTTGTGGAATTTGCAAGTGGAGATTTCAAGCGATTTGATGCCAACAGTAGAAAAGGAAATATCTTCAAATAAAAACTAGACAGAATCATTCTCAGAAACTACTTTGTGATGTGTGCCTTCAACTCACAGAGTTTAACCTTTCTTTTCTTAGAGCAGTTTAGAAACACTCTGCTTGTTATGTCTGCAAGTGGATATTTGGACCTCTTTGAGGCCTTCGTTGCAAACGGGGTTTCTTCCTTTCATGCTAGACTAAGAAGAGTTCTCAGTAACTTTTTTGTGTTGTGTGTATTCAACTCACAGAGTTGAACCTTGCTTTAGAGAGAGCAGATTTGAAACACTCTTGCTGTGGCATTTTCAGGTGGAGATTTCAAGCGATTTGAGGACAATTGCAGAAAAGGAAATATCTTCGTATAATAACCAGACAGAATCATTCTCAGAAAGTGCTTTGTGATGTGTGCGTTCAACTCACAGAGTTTAACCTTTCTTTTCATAGAGGAGTTTGGAAACACACTGTTTGTAAAGTCTGCAATTGGATATATGGACCTGTTTGAGGCCTTCGTTGGAAACGGGATTTCTTCATTGAATGCTAGACGGAAGAATTCTCAGTAAATTCTTTGTGTTGTGTGCATTCAACTCACAGAGTGGAACGTCCCTTTAGACAGAGCAGATTTGAAACACTCTTTTTGCGGAATTTGCAAGTGGAGATTTCTAGCCATTTGATGCCAACAGTAGAAAGGGAAATATCTTCAAATAAAAACCAGACAGAATCATTCTCAGAAAATTCTTTGTGATGTGTGCGTTCAACTCACATAGTTTAACCTTTCTTTTCATAGAGCAGTTTGGAAACACTCTGTTTGTAAAGTCTGCAAGTGGATATATGGACCGCATTGAGGCCTTCGTTGGAAACGGGATTTCTTCATTTCATGCTAGACAGAAGAATTCTCAGTAACTTCTTTGTGCTGTGTGTATTCAACTCACAGAGTGGAACGTCCCTTTACACAGAGCAGATTTGAAACACTCTTTTTGTGGAGTTTGCAAGTGGAGATTTCAAGCGATTTGATGCCAACAGTAGAAAAGGAAATATCTTCAAATAAAAACTAGACAGAATCATTCTCAGAAACTACTTTGTGATGTGTGCCTTCAACTCACAGAGTTTAACCTTTCTTTTCTTAGAGCAGTTTAGAAACACTCTGCTTGTTATGTCTGCAAGTGGATATTTGGACCTCTTTGAGGCCTTCGTTGCAAACGGGGTTTCTTCCTTTCATGCTAGACTAAGAAGAGTTCTCAGTAACTTTTTTGTGTTGTGTGTATTCAACTCACAGAGTTGAACCTTGCTTTAGAGAGAGCAGATTTGAAACACTCTTGCTGTGGCATTTTCAGGTGGAGATTTCAAGCGATTTGAGGACAATTGCAGAAAAGGAAATATCTTCGTATAATAACCAGACAAAATCATTCTCAGAAAGTGCTTTGTGATGTGTGCGTTCCACTCACAGAGTTTAACCTTTCTTTTCATAGAGGAGTTTGGAAACACACTGTTTGTAAAGTCTGCAAGTGGATATATGGACCTCTTTGAGGCCTTCGTTGGAAACGGGATTTCTTCATTGAATGCTAGACGGAAGAATTCTCAGTAAATTCTTTGTGTTGTGTGCATTCAACTCACAGAGTGGAACGTCCCTTTAGACAGAGCAGATTTGAAACACTCTTTTTGCGGAATTTGCAAGTGGAGATTTCTAGCCATTTGATGCCAACAGTAGAAAGGGAAATATCTTCAAATAAAAACCAGACAGAATCATTCTCAGAAAATTCTTTGTGATGTGTGCGTTCAACTCACATAGTTTAACCTTTCTTTTCATAGAGCAGTTTGGAAACACTCTGTTTGTAAAGTCTGCAAGTGGATATATGGACCGCATTGAGGCCTTCGTTGGAAACGGGATTTCTTCATTTCATGCTAGACAGAAGAATTCTCAGTAACTTCTTTGTGCTGTGTGTATTCAACTCACAGAGTGGAACGTCCCTTTACACAGAGCAGATTTGAAACACTCTTTTTGTGGAGTTTGCAAGTGGAGATTTCAAGCGATTTGATGCCAACAGTAGAAAAGGAAATATCTTCAAATAAAAACTAGACAGAGAATCATTCTCAAAAACTACTTTGTGATGTGTGCCTTCAACTCACAGAGTTTAACCTTTCTTTTCTTAGAGCAGTTTAGAAACACTCTGCTTGTTATGTCTGCAAGTGGATATTTGGACCTCTTTGAGGCCTTCGTTGCAAACGGGGTTTCTTCCTTTCATGCTAGACTAAGAAGAGTTCTCAGTAACTTTTTTGTGTTGTGTGTATTCAACTCACAGAGTTGAACCTTGCTTTAGAGAGAGCAGATTTGAAACACTCTTGCTGTGGCATTTTCAGGTGGAGATTTCAAGCGATTTGAGGACAATTGCAGAAAAGGAAATATCTTCGTATAATAACCAGACAGAATCATTCTCAGAAAGTGCTTTGTGATGTGTGCGTTCAACTCACAGAGTTTAACCTTTCTTTTCATAGAGGAGTTTGGAAACACACTGTTTGTAAAGTCTGCAAGTGGATATATGGACCTGTTTCAGGCCTTCGTTGGAAACGGGATTTCTTCATTGAATGCTAGACGGAAGAATTCTCAGTAAATTCTTTGTGTTGTGTGCATTCAACTCACAGAGTGGAACGTCCCTTTAGACAGAGCAGATTTGAAACACTCTTTTTGCGGAATTTGCAAGTGGAGATTTCTAGCCATTTGATGCCAACAGTAGAAAGGGAAATATCTTCAAATAAAAACCAGACAGAATCATTCTCAGAAAATTCTTTGTGATGTGTGCGTTCAACTCACATAGTTTAACCTTTCTTTTCATAGAGCAGTTTGGAAACACTCTGTTTGTAAAGTCTGCAAGTGGATATATGGACCGCATTGAGGCCTTCGTTGGAAACGGGATTTCTTCATTTCATGCTAGACAGAAGAATTCTCAGTAACTTCTTTGTGCTGTGTGTATTCAACTCACAGAGTGGAACTTCCCTTTGCA
The DNA here is from genome assembly GCF_000001405.40 of Homo sapiens. Taxonomy (NCBI): domain Eukaryota; kingdom Metazoa; phylum Chordata; class Mammalia; order Primates; family Hominidae; genus Homo; species Homo sapiens. The sequence continues at coordinate 60,509,400 of NC_000007.14, forward strand.
CAGAGCAGATTTGAAACACTCTTTTTGTGGAGTTTGCAAGTGGAGATTTCAAGCGATTTGATGCCAACAGTAGAAAAGGAAATATCTTCAAATAAAAACTAGACAGAATCATTCTCAGAAACTACTTTGTGATGTGTGCCTTCAACTCACAGAGTTTAACCTTTCTTTTCTTAGAGCAGTTTAGAAACACTCTGCTTGTTATGTCTGCAAGTGGATATTTGGACCTCTTTGAGGCCTTCGTTGCAAACGGGGTTTCTTCCTTTCATGCTAGACTAAGAAGAGTTCTCAGTAACTTTTTTGTGTTGTGTGTATTCAACTCACAGAGTTAAACCTTGCTTTAGAGAGAGCAGATTTGAAACACTCTTGCTGTGGCATTTTCAGGTGGAGATTTCAAGCGATTTGAGGACAATTGCAGAAAAGGAAATATCTTCGTATAACAACCAGACAGAATCATTCTCAGAAAGTGCTTTGTGATGTGAGGGTTCAACTCACAGAGTTTATCCTTTCTTTTCATAGAGGAGTTTGGAAACACACTGTTTGTAAAGTCTGCAAGTGGATATATGGACCTGTTTGAGGCCTTCGTTGGAAACGGGATTTCTTCATTGAATGCTAGACGGAAGAATTCTCAGTAAATTCTTTGTGTTGTGTGCATTCAACTCACAGAGTGGAACGTCCCTTTAGACAGAGCAGATTTGAAACACTCTTTTTGCGGAATTTGCAAGTGGAGATTTCTAGCCATTTGATGCCAACAGTAGAAAGGGAAATATCTTCAAATAAAAACCAGACAGAATCATTCTCAGAAAATTCTTTGTGATGTGTGCGTTCAACTCACATAGTTTAACCTTTCTTTTCATAGAGCAGTTTGGAAACACTCTGTTTGTAAAGTCTGCAAGTGGATATATGGACCGCATTGAGGCCTTCGTTGGAAACGGGATTTCTTCATTTCATGCTAGACAGAAGAATTCTCAGTAACTCCTTTGTGCTGTGTGTATTCAACTCACAGAGTGGAACCGTCCCTTTGCACAGAGCAGATTTGAAACACTCTTTTTGTGGAATTTGCAAGTGGAGATTTCAAGCGATTTGATGCCAACAGTAGAAAAGGAAATATCTTCAAATAAAAACTAGACAGAATCATTTAGAAACTACTTTGTGATGTGTGCCTTCAACTCACAGAGTTTAACCTTTCTTTTCTTAGAGCAGTTTAGAAACACTCTGCTTGTTATGTCTGCAAGTGGATATTTGGACCTCTTTGAGGCCTTCGTTGCAAACGGGGTTTCTTCCTTTCATGCTAGACTAAGAAGAGTTCTCAGTAACTTTTTTGTGTTGTGTGCATTCAACTCACGGAGTTGAACCTTGCTTTAGAGAGAGCAGATTTGAAACACTCTTGCTGTGGCATTTTCAGGTGGAGATTTCAAGCGATTTGAGGACAATTGCAGAAAAGGAAATATCTTCGTATAACAACCAGACAGAATCATTCTCAGAAAGTGCTTTGTGATGTGTGCGTTCAACTCACAGAGTTTAACCTTTCTTTCCATAGAGGAGTTTGGAAACACACTGTTTGTAAAGTCTGCAATTGGATATATGGACCTGTTTGAGGCCTTCGTTGGAAACGGGATTTCTTCATTGAATGCTAGACGGAAGAATTCTCAGTAAATTCTTTGTGTTGTGTGCATTCAACTCACAGAGTGGAACGTCCCTTTAGACAGAGCAGATTTGAAACACTCTTTTTGCGGAATTTGCAAGTGGAGATTTCTAGCCATTTGATGCCAACAGTAGAAAGGGAAATATCTTCAAATAAAAACCAGACAGAATCATTCTCAGAAAATTCTTTGTGATGTGTGCGTTCAACTCACATAGTTTAACCTTTCTTTTCATAGAGCAGTTTGGAAACACTCTGTTTGTAAAGTCTGCAAGTGGATATATGGACCGCATTGAGGCCTTCGTTGGAAACGGGATTTCTTCATTTCATGCTAGACAGAAGAATTCTCAGTAACTTCTTTGTGCTGTGTGTATTCAACTCACAGAGTGGAACGTCCCTTTACACAGAGCAGATTTGAAACACTCTTTTTGTGGAGTTTGCAAGTGGAGATTTCAAGCGATTTGATGCCAACAGTAGAAAAGGAAATATCTTCAAATAAAAACTAGACAGAATCATTCTCAGAAACTACTTTGTGATGTGTGCCTTCAACTCACAGAGTTTAACCTTTCTTTTCTTAGAGCAGTTTAGAAACACTCTGCTTGTTATGTCTGCAAGTGGATATTTGGACCTCTTTGAGGCCTTCGTTGCAAACGGGGTTTCTTCCTTTCATGCTAGACTAAGAAGAGTTCTCAGTAACTTTTTTGTGTTGTGTGTATTCAACTCACAGAGTTGAACCTTGCTTTAGAGAGAGCAGATTTGAAACACTCTTGCTGTGGCATTTTCAGGTGGAGATTTCAAGCGATTTGAAGACAATTGCAGAAAAGGAAATATCTTCGTATAATAACCAGACAGAATCATTCTCAGAAAGTGCTTTGTGATGTGTGCGTTCCACTCACAGAGTTTAACCTTTCTTTTCATAGAGGAGTTTGGAAACACACTGTTTGTAAAGTCTGCAAGTGGATATATGGACCTGTTTGAGGCCTTCGTTGGAAACGGGATTTCTTCATTGAATGCTAGACGGAAGAATTCTCAGTAAATTCTTTGTGTTGTGTGCATTCAACTCACAGAGTGGAACGTCCCTTTAGACAGAGCAGATTTGAAACACTCTTTTTGCGGAATTTGCAAGTGGAGATTTCTAGCCATTTGATGCCAACAGTAGAAAGGGAAATATCTTCAAATAAAAACCAGACAGAATCATTCTCAGAAAATTCTTTGTGATGTGTGCGTTCAACTCACATAGTTTAACCTTTCTTTTCATAGAGCAGTTTGGAAACACTCTGTTTGTAAAGTCTGCAAGTGGATATATGGACCGCATTGAGGCCTTCGTTGGAAACGGGATTTCTTCATTTCATGCTAGACAGAAGAATTCTCATTAACTTTTTTGTGTTGTGTGTTTTCAACTCACAGAGTGGAACGTCCCTTTAGACAGAGCAGATTTGAAACACTCTTTTTGTGGAATTTGCAAGTGGAGATTTGAAGCGATTTGATGCCAACAGTAGAAAAGGAAATATCTTCAAATAAAAACTAGACAGAATCATTCTCAGAAACTACTTTGTGATGTGTGCCTTCAACTCACAGAGTTTAACCTTTCTTTTCTTAGAGCAGTTTAGAAACACTCTGCTTGTTATGTCTGCAAGTGGATATTTGGACCTACTTTGAGGCCTTCGTTGCAAACGGGGTTTCTTCCTTTAATGCTAGACTAAGAAGAGTTCTCAGTAACTTTTTTGTGTTGTGTGTATTCAACTCACAGAGTTGAACCTTGCTTTAGAGAGAGCAGATTTGAAACACTCTTGCTGTGGCATTTTCAGGTGGAGATTTCAAGCGATTTGAGGACAATTGCAGAAAAGGAAATATCTTCGTATAACAGCCAGACAGAATCATTCTCAGAAAGTGCTTTGTGATGTGTGCGTTCCACTCACAGAGTTTAACCTTTCTTTTCATAGAGGAGTTTGGAAACACACTGTTTGTAAAGTCTGCAAGTGGATATATGGACCTGTTTGAGGCCTTCGTTGGAAACGGGATTTCTTCATTGAATGCTAGGCGGAAGAATTCTCAGTAAATTATTTGTGTTGTGTGCATTCAACTCACAGAGTGGAACGTCCCTTTAGACAGAGCAGATTTGAAACACTCTTTTTGCGGAATTTGCAAGTGGAGATTTCTAGCCATTTGATGCCAACAGTAGAAAGGGAAATATCTTCAAATAAAAACCAGACAGAATCATTCTCAGAAAATTCTTTGTGATGTGTGCGTTCAACTCACATAGTTTAACCTTTCTTTTCATAGAGCAGTTTGGAAACACTCTGTTTGTAAAGTCTGCAAGTGGATATATGGACCGCATTGAGGCCTTCGTTGGAAACGGGATTTCTTCATTTCATGCTAGACAGAAGAATTCTCAGTAACTTCTTTGTGCTGTGTGTATTCAACTCACAGAGTGGAACGTCCCTTTACACAGAGCAGATTTGAAACACTCTTTTTGTGGAGTTTGCAAGTGGAGATTTCAAGCGATTTGATGCCAACAGTAGAAAAGGAAATATCTTCAAATAAAAACTAGACAGAATCATTCTCAGAAACTACTTTGTGATGTGTGCCTTCAACTCACAGAGTTTAACCTTTCTTTTCTTAGAGCAGTTTAGAAACACTCTGCTTGTTATGTCTGCAAGTGGATATTTGGACCTCTTTGAGGCCTTCGTTGCAAACGGGGTTTCTTCCTTTCATGCTAGACTAAGAAGAGTTCTCAGTAACTTTTTTGTGTTGTGTGTATTCAACTCACAGAGTTGAACCTTGCTTTAGAGAGAGCAGATTTGAAACACTCTTGCTGTGGCATTTTCAGGTGGAGATTTCAAGCGTTTTGAGGACAATTGCAGAAAAGGAAATATCTTCGTATAATAACCAGACAGAATCATTCTCAGAAAGTGCTTTGTGATGTGTGCGTTCCACTCACAGAGTTTAACCTTTCTTTTCATAGAGGAGTTTGGAAACACACTGTTTGTAAAGTCTGCAAGTGGATATATGGACCTGTTTGAGGCCTTCGTTGGAAACGGGATTTCTTCATTGAATGCTAGACGGAAGAATTCTCAGTAAATTCTTTGTGTTGTGTGCATTCAACTCACAGAGTGGAACGTCCCTTTAGACAGAGCAGATTTGAAACACTCTTTTTGCGGAATTTGCAAGTGGAGATTTCTAGCCATTTGATGCCAACAGTAGAAAGGGAAATATCTTCAAATAAAAACCAGGCAGAATCATTCTCAGAAAATTCTTTGTGATGTGTGCGTTCAACTCACATAGTTTAACCTTTCTTTTCATAGAGCAGTTTGGAAACACTCTGTTTGTAAAGTCTGCAAGTGGATCTATGGACCGCATTGAGGCCTTCGTTGGAAACGGGATTTCTTCATTTCATGCTAGACAGAAGAATTCTCAGTAACTTCTTTGTGCTGTGTGTATTCAACTCACAGAGTGGAACGTCCCTTTGCACAGAGCGGATTTGAAACACTCTTTTTGTGGAGTTTGCAAGTGGAGATTTCAAGCGATTTGATGCCAACAGTAGAAAAGGAAATATCTTCAAATAAAAACTAGACAGAATCATTCTCAAAAACTACTTTGTGATGTGTGCCTTCAACTCACAGAGTTTAACCTTTCTTTTCTTAGAGCAGTTTAGAAACACTCTGCTTGTTATGTCTACAAGTGGATATTTGGACCTCTTTGAGGCCTTCGTTGCAAACGGGGTTTCTTCCTTTCATGCTAGACTAAGAAGAGTTCTCAGTAACTTTTTTGTGTTGTGTGTATTCAAATCACAGAGTTGAACCTTGCTTTAGAGAGAGCAGATTTGAAACCCTCTTGCTGTGGCATTTTCAGGTGGAGATTTCAAGCGATTTGAGGACAATTGCAGAAAAGGAAATATCTTCGTATAATAACCAGACAGAATCATTCTCAGAAAGTGCTTTGTGATGTGTGCGTTCAACTCACAGAGTTTAACCTTTCTTTTCATAGAGGAGTTTGGAAACACACTGTTTGTAAAGTCTGCAAGTGGATATATGGACCTGTTTGAGGCCTTCGTTGGAAACGGGATTTCTTCATTGAATGCTAGACGGAAGAATTCTCAGTAAATTCTTTGTGTTGTGTGCATTCAACTCACAGAGTGGAACGTCCCTTTAGACAGAGCAGATTTGAAACACTCTTTTTGTGGAATTTGCAAGTGGAGATTTCTAGCCATTTGATGCCAACAGTAGAAAGGGAAATATCTTCAAATAAAAACCAGACAGAATCATTCTCAGAAAATTCTTTGTGATGTGTGCGTTCAACTCACATAGTTTAACCTTTCTTTTCATGGAGCAGTTTGGAAACACTCTGTTTGTAAAGTCTGCAAGTGGATATATGGACCGCATTGAGGCCTTCGTTGGAAACGGGATTTCTTCATTTCATACTAGACAGAAGAATTCTCAGTAACTTCTTTGTGCTGTGTGTATTCAACTCACAGAGTGGAACGTCCCTTTACACAGAGCAGATTTGAAACACTCTTTTTGTGGAATTTGCAAGTGGAGATTTCAAGCGATTTGATGCCAACAGTAGAAAAAGAAATATATTCAAATAAAAACTAGACAGAATCATTCTCAGAAACTACTTTGTGATGTGTGCCTTCAACTCACAGAGTTTAACCTTTCTTTTCTTAGAGCAGTTTAGAAACACTCTGCTTGTTATGTCTGCAAGTGGATATTTGGACCTCTTTGAGGCCTTCGTTGCAAACGGGGTTTCTTCCTTTCATGCTAGACTAAGAAGAGTTCTCAGTAACTTTTTTGTGTTGTGTGTATTCAACTCACAGAGTTGAACCTTGCTTTAGAGAGAGCAGATTTGAAACACTCTTGCTGTGGCATTTTCAGGTGGAGATTTCAAGCGATTTGAGGACAATTGCAGAAAAGGAAATATCTTCGTATAATAACCAGACAGAATCATTCTCAGAAAGTGCTTTGTGATGTGTGCGTTCAACTCACAGAGTTTAACCTTTCTTTTCATAGAGGAGTTTGGAAACACACTGTTTGTAAAGTCTGCAAGTGGATATATGGACCTGTTTGAGGCCTTCGTTGGAAACGGGATTTCTTCATTGAATGCTACACGGAAGAATTCTCAGTAAATTCTTTGTGTTGTGTGCATTCAACTCACAGAGTGGAACGTCCCTTTAGACAGAGCAGATTTGAAACACTCTTTTTGCGGAATTTGCAAGTGGAGATTTCTAGCCATTTGATGCCAACAGTAGAAAGGGAAATATCTTCAAATAAAAACCAGACAGAATCATTCTCATAAAATTCTTTGTGATGTGTGCGTTCAAATCACATAGTTTAACCTTTCTTTTCATAGAGCAGTTTGGAAACACTCTGTTTGCAAAGTCTGCAAGTGGATATATGGACCGCATTGAGGCCTTCGTTGGAAACGGGATTTCTTCATTTCATGCTAGACAGAAGAATTCTCAGTAACTTCTTTGTGCTGTGTGTATTCAACTCACAGAGTGGAACGTCCCTTTACACAGAGCAGATTTGAAACACTCTTTTTGTGGAGTTTGCAAGTGGAGATTTCAAGCGATTTGATGCCAACAGTAGAAAAGGAAATATCTTCAAATAAAAACTAGACAGAATCATTCTCAGAAACTACTTTGTGATGTGTGCCTTCAACTCACAGAGTTTAACCTTTCTTTTCTTAGAGCAGTTTAGAAACACTCTGCTTGTTATGTCTGCAAGTGGATATTTGGACCTCTTTGAGGCCTTCGTTGCAAACGGGGTTTCTTCCTTTCATGCTAGACTAAGAAGAGTTCTCAGTAACTTTTTTGTGTTGTGTGTATTCAACTCACAGAGTTGAACCTTGCTTTAGAGAGAGCAGATTTGAAACACTCTTGCTGTGGCATTTTCAGGTGGAGATTTCAAGCGATTTGAGGACAATTACAGAAAAGGAAATATCTTCGTATAACAACCAGACAGAATCATTCTCAGAAAGTGCTTTGTGATGTGTGCGTTCAACTCACAGAGTTTAACCTTTCTTTTCATAGAGGAGTTTGGAAACACACTGTTTGTAAAGTCTGCAATTGGATATATGGACCTGTTTGAGGCCTCCGTTGGAAACGGGATTTCTTCATTGAATGCTAGACGGAAGAATTCTCAGTAAATTCTTTGTGTTGTGTGCATTCAACTCACAGAGTGGAACGTCCCTTTAGACAGAGCAGATTTGAAACACTCTTTTTGCGGAATTTGCAAGTGGAGATTTCTAGCCATTTGATGCCAACAGTAGAAAGGGAAATATCTTCAAATAAAAACCAGACAGAATCATTCTCAGAAAATTCTTTGTGATGTGTGCGTTCAACTCACATAGTTTAACCTTTCTTTTCATAGAGCAGTTTGGAAACACTCTGTTTGTAAAGTCTGCAAGTGGATATATGGACCGCATTGAGGCCTTCGTTGGAAACGGGATTTCTTCATTTCATGCTAGACAGAAGAATTCTCAGTAACTTCTTTGTGCTGTGTGTATTCAACTCACAGAGTGGAACGTCCCTTTGCACAGAGCAGATTTGAAACACTCTTTTTGTGGAGTTTGCAAGTGGAGATTTCAAGCGATTTGATGCCAACAGTAGAAAAGGAAATATCTTCAAATAAAAACTAGACAGAATCATTCTCAGAAACTACTTTGTGATGTGTGCCTTCAACTCACAGAGTTTAACCTTTCTTTTCTTAGAGCAGTTTAGAAACACTCTGCTTGTTATGTCTGCAAGTGGATATTTGGACCTCTTTGAGGCCTTCGTTGCAAACGGGGTTTCTTCCTTTCATGCTAGACTAAGAAGAGTTCTCAGTAACTTTTTTGTATTGTGTGTATTCAACTCACAGAGTTGAACCTTGCTTTAGAGAGAGCAGATTTGAAACACTCTTGCTGTGGCATTTTCAGGTGGAGATTTCAAGCGATTTGAGGACAATTGCAGAAAAGGAAATATCTTCGTATAATAACCAGACAGAATCATTCTCAGAAAGTGCTTTGTGATGTGTGCGTTCAACTCACAGAGTTTAACCTTTCTTTTCATAGAGGAGTTTGGAAACACACTGTTTGTAAAGTCTGCAATTGGATATATGGACCTGTTTGAGGCCTTCGTTGGAAACGGGATTTCTTCATTGAATGCTAGACGGAAGAATTCTCAGTAAATTCTTTGTGTTGTGTGCATTCAACTCACAGAGTGGAACGTCCCTTTAGACAGAGCAGATTTGAAACACTCTTTTTGCGGAATTTGCAAGTGGAGATTTCTAGCCATTTGATGCCAACAGTAGAAAGGGAAATATCTTCAAATAAAAACCAGACAGAATCATTCTCAGAAAATTCTTTGTGATGTGTGCGTTCAACTCACATAGTTTAACCTTTCTTTTCATAGAGCAGTTTGGAAACACTCTGTTTGTAAAGTCTGCAAGTGGATATATGGACCGCATTGAGGCCTTCGTTGGAAACGGGATTTCTTCATTTCATGCTAGACAGAAGAATTCTCAGTAACTTCTTTGTGCTGTGTGTATTCAACTCACAGAGTGGAACGTCCCTTTACACAGAGCAGATTTGAAACACTCTTTTTGTGGAGTTTGCAAGTGGAGATTTCAAGCGATTTGATGCCAACAGTAGAAAAGGAAATATCTTCAAATAAAAACTAGACAGAATCATTCTCAGAAACTACTTTGTGATGTGTGCCTTCAACTCACAGAGTTTAACCTTTCTTTTCTTAGAGCAGTTTAGAAACACTCTGCTTGTTATGTCTGCAAGTGGATATTTGGACCTCTTTGAGGCCTTCGTTGCAAACGGGGTTTCTTCCTTTCATGCTAGACTAAGAAGAGTTCTCAGTAACTTTTTTGTGTTGTGTGTATTCAACTCACAGAGTTGAACCTTGCTTTAGAGAGAGCAGATTTGAAACACTCTTGCTGTGGCATTTTCAGGTGGAGATTTCAAGCGATTTGAGGACAATTGCAGAAAAGGAAATATCTTCGTATAATAACCAGACAGAATCATTCTCAGAAAGTGCTTTGTGATGTGTGCGTTCAACTCACAGTAGTTTAACCTTTCTTTTCATAGAGGAGTTTGGAAACACACTGTTTGTAATGTCTGCAATTGGATATATGGACCTGTTTGAGGCCTTCGTTGGAAACGGAATTTCTTCATTGAATGCTAGACGGAAGAATTCTCAGTAAATTCTTTGTGTTGTGTGCATTCAACTCACAGAGTGGAACGTCCCTTTAGACAGAGCAGATTTGAAACACTCTTTTTGCGGAATTTGCAAGTGGAGATTTCTAGCCATTTGATGCCAACAGTAGAAAGGGAAATATCTTCAAATAAAAACCAGACAGAATCATTCTCAGAAAATTCTTTGTGATGTGTGCGTTCAACTCACATAGTTTAACCTTTCTTTTCATAGAGCAGTTTGGAAACACTCTGTTTGTAAAGTCTGCAAGTGGATATATGGACCGCATTGAGGCCTTCGTTGGAAACGGGATTTCTTCATTTCATGCTAGACAGAAGAATTCTCAGTAACTTCTTTGTGCTGTGTGTATTCAACTCACAGAGTGGAACGTCCCTTTGCACAGAGCAGATTTGAAACACTCTTTTTGTGGAGTTTGCAAGTGGAGATTTCAAGCGATTTGATGCCAACAGTAGAAAAGGAAATATCTTCAAATAAAAACTAGACAGAATCATTCTCAGAAACTACTTTGTGATGTGTGCCTTCAACTCACAGAGTTTAACCTTTCTTTTCTTAGAGCAGTTTAGAAACACTCTGCTTGTTATGTCTGCAAGTGGATATTTGGACCTCTTTGAGGCCTTCGTTGCAAACGGGGTTTCTTCCTTTCATGCTAGACTAAGAAGAGTTCTCAGTAACTTTTTTGTGTTGTGTGTATTCAACTCACAGAGTTGAACCTTGCTTTAGAGAGAGCAGATTTGAAACACTCTTGCTGTGGCATTTTCAGGTGGAGATTTCAAGCGATTTGAGGACAATTGCAGAAAAGGAAATATCTTCGTATAACAACCAGACAGAATCATTCTCAGAAAGTGCTTTGTGATGTGTGCGTTCAACTCACAGAGTTTAACCTTTCTTTTCATAGAGGAGTTTGGAAACACACTGTTTGTAAAGTCTGCAATTGGATATATGGACCTGTTTGAGGCCTTCGTTGGAAACGGGATTTCTTCATTGAATGCTAGACGGAAGAATTCTCAGTAAATTCTTTGTGTTGTGTGCATTCAACTCACAGAGTGGAACCGTCCCTTTAGACAGAGCAGATTTGAAACACTCTTTTTGCGGAATTTGCAAGTGGAGATTTCTAGCCATTTGATGCTAACAGTAGAAAGGGAAATATCTTCAAATAAAAACCAGACAGAATCATTCTCAGAAAATTCTTTGTGATGTGTGCGTTCAACTCACATAGTTTAACCTTTCTTTTCATAGAGCAGTTTGGAAACACTCTGTTTGTAAAGTCTGCAAGTGGATATATGGACCGCATTGAGGCCTTCGTTGGAAACGGGATTTCTTCATTTCATGCTAGACAGAAGAATTCTCAGTAACTTCTTTGTGCTGTGTGTATTCAACTCACAGAGTGGAACGTCCCTTTACACAGAGCAGATTTGAAACACTCTTTTTGTGGAGTTTGCAAGTGGAGATTTCAAGCGATTTGATGCCAACAGTAGAAAAGGAAATATCTTCAAATAAAAACTAGACAGAATCATTCTCAGAAACTACTTTGTGATGTGTGCCTTCAACTCACAGAGTTTAACCTTTCTTTTCTTAGAGCAGTTTAGAAACACTCTGCTTGTTATGTCTGCAAGTGGATATTTGGACCTCTTTGAGGCCTTCGTTGCAAACGGGGTTTCTTCCTTTAATGCTAGACTAAGAAGAGTTCTCAGTAACTTTTTTGTGTTGTGTGTATTCAACTCACAGAGTTGAACCTTGCTTTAGAGAGAGCAGATTTGAAACACTCTTGCTGTGGCATTTTCAGGTGGAGATTTCAAGCGATTTGAGGACAATTGCAGAAAAGGAAATATCTTCGTATAATAACCAGACAGAATCATTCTCAGAAAGTGCTTTGTGATGTGTGCGTTCAACTCACAGAGTTTAACCTTTCTTTTCATAGAGGAGTTTGGAAACACACTGTTTGTAAAGTCTGCAATTGGATATATGGACCTGTTTGAGGCCTTCGTTGGAAACGGGATTTCTTCATTGACTGCTAGACGGAAGAATTCTCAGTAAATTCTTTGTGTTGTGTGCATTCAACTCACAGAGTGGAACGTCCCTTTAGACAGAGCAGATTTGAAACACTCTTTTTGCGGAATTTGCAAGTGGAGATTTCTAGCCATTTGATGCCAACAGTAGAAAGGGAAATATCTTCAAATAAAAACCAGACAGAATCATTCTCAGAAAATTCTTTGTGATGTGTGCGTTCAACTCACATAGTTTAACCTTTCTTTTCATAGAGCAGTTTGGAAACACTCTGTTTGTAAAGTCTGCAAGTGGATATATGGACCGCATTGAGGCCTTCGTTGGAAACGGGATTTCTTCATTTCATGCTAGACAGAAGAATTCTCAGTAACTTCTTTGTGCTGTGTGTATTCAACTCACAGAGTGGAACGTCCCTTTGCACAGAGCAGATTTGAAACACTCTTTTTGTGGAGTTTGCAAGTGGAGATTTCAAGCGATTTGATGCCAACAGTAGAAAAGGAAATATCTTCAAATAAAAACTAGACAGAATCATTCTCAGAAACTACTTTGTGATGTGTGCCTTCAACTCACAGAGTTTAACCTTTCTTTTCTTAGAGCAGTTTAGAAACACTCTGCTTGTTATGTCTGCAAGTGGATATTTGGACCTCTTTGAGGCCTTCGTTGCAAACGGGGTTTCTTCCTTTCATGCTAGACTAAGAAGAGTTCTCAGTAACTTTTTTGTGTTGTGTGTATTCAACTCACAGAGCTGAACCTTGCTTTAGAGAGAGCAGATTTGAAACACTCTTGCTGTGGCATTTTCAGGTGGAGATTTCAAGCGATTTGAGGACAATTTCAGAAAAGGAAATATCTTCGTATAACAACCAGACAGAAATCATTCTCAGAAAGTGCTTTGTGATGTGTGCGTTCAACTCACAGAGTTTAACCTTTCTTTTCATAGAGGAGTTTGGAAACACACTGTTTGTAAAGTCTGCAAGTGGATACATGGACCTGTTTGAGGCCTTCGTTGGAAACGGGATTTCTTCATTGAATGCTAGACGGAAGAATTCTCAGTAAATTCTTTGTGTTGTGTGCATTCAACTCACAGAGTGGAACGTCCCTTTAGACAGAGCAGATTTGAAACACTCTTTTTGCGGAATTTGCAAGTGGAGATTTCTAGCCATTTGATGCCAACAGTAGAAAGGGAAATATCTTCAAATAAAAACCAGACAGAATCATTCTCAGAAAATTCTTTGTGATGTGTGCGTTCAACTCACATAGTTTAACCTTTCTTTTCATAGAGCAGTTTGGAAACACTCTGTTTGTAAAGTCTGCAAGTGGATATATGGACCGCATTGAGGCCTTCGTTGGAAACGGGATTTCTTCATTTCATGCTAGACAGAAGAATACTCAGTAACTTCTTTGTGCTGTGTGTATTCAACTCACAGAGTGGAACGTCCCTTTACACAGAGCAGATTTGAAACACTCTTTTTGTGGAGTTTGCAAGTGGAGATTTCAAGCGATTTGATGCCAACAGTAGAAAAGGAAATATCTTCAAATAAAAACTAGACAGAATCATTCTCAGAAACTACTTTGTGATGTGTGCCTTCAACTCACAGAGTTTAACCTTTCTTTTCTTAGAGCAGTTTAGAAACACTCTGCTTGTTATGTCTGCAAGTGGATATTTGGACCTCTTTGAGGCCTTCGTTGCAAACGGGGTTTCTTCCTTTCATGCTAGACTAAGAAGAGTTCTCAGTAACTTTTTTGTGTTGTGTGTATTCAACTCACAGAGTTGAACCTTGCTTTAGAGAGAGCAGATTTGAAACACTCTTGCTGTGGCATTTTCAGGTGGAGATTTCAAGCGATTTGAGGACAATTGCAGAAAAGGAAATATCTTCGTATAATAACCAGACAGAATCATTCTCAGAAAGTGCTTTGTGATGTGTGCGTTCAACTCACAGAGTTTAACCTTTCTTTTCATAGAGGAGTTTGGAAACACACTGTTTGTAAAGTCTGCAATTGGATATATGGACCTGTTTGAGGCCTTCGTTGGAAACGGGATTTCTTCATTGAATGCTAGACGGAAGAATTCTCAGTAAATTCTTTGTGTTGTGTGCATTCAACTCACAGAGTGGAACGTCCCTTTAGACAGAGCAGATTTGAAACACTCTTTTTGCGGAATTTGCAAGTGGAGATTTCTAGCCATTTGATGCCAACAGTAGAAAGGGAAATATCTTCAAATAAAAACCAGACAGAATCATTCTCAGAAAATTCTTTGTGATGTGTGCGTTCAACTCACATAGTTTAACCTTTCTTTTCATAGAGCAGTTTGGAAACACTCTGTTTGTAAAGTCTGCAAGTGGATCTATGGACCGCATTGAGGCCTTCGTTGGAAACGGGATTTCTTCATTTCATGCTAGACAGAAGAATTCTCAGTAACTTCTTTGTGCTGTGTGTATTCAACTCACAGAGTGGAACGTCCCTTTGCACAGAGCAGATTTGAAACACTCTTTTTGTGGAGTTTGCAAGTAGAGATTTCAAGCGATTTGATGCCAACAGTAGAAAAGGAAATATCTTCAAATAAAAACTAGACAGAATCATTCTCAGAAACTACTTTGTGATGTGTGCCTTCAACTCACAGAGTTTAACCTTTCTTTTCTTAGAGCAGTTTAGAAACACTCTGCTTGTTATGTCTGCAAGTGGATATTTGGACCTCTTTGAGGCCTTCGTTGCAAACGGGGTTTCTTCCTTTCATGCTAGACTAAGAAGAGTTCTCAGTAACTTTTTTGTGTTGTGTGTATTCAACTCACAGAGCTGAACCTTGCTTTAGAGAGAGCAGATTTGAAACACTCTTGCTGTGGCATTTTCAGGTGGAGATTTCAAGCGATTTGAGGACAATTGCAGAAAAGGAAATATCTTCGTATAACAACCAGACAGAATCATTCTCAGAAAGTGCTTTGTGATGTGTGCGTTCAACTCACAGAGTTTAACCTTTCTTTTCATAGAGGAGTTTGGAAACACACTGTTTGTAAAGTCTGCAATTGGATATATGGACCTGTTTGAGGCCTTCGTTGGAAACGGGATTTCTTCATTGCATGCTAGACGGAAGAATTCTCAGTAAATTCTTTGTGTTGTGTGCATTCAACTGACAGAGTGGAACGTCCCTTTAGACAGAGCAGATTTGAAACACTCTTTTTGCGGAATTTGCAAGTGGAGATTTCTAGCCATTTGATGCCAACAGTAGAAAGGGAAATATCTTCAAATAAAAACCAGACAGAATCATTCTCAGAAAATTCTTTGTGATGTGTGCGTTCAACTCACATAGTTTAACCTTTCTTTTCATAGAGCAGTTTGGAAACACTCTGTTTGTAAAGTCTGCAAGTGGATATATGGACCGCATTGAGGCCTTCGTTGGAAACGGGATTTCTTCATTTCATGCTAGACAGAAGAATTCTCAGTAACTTCTTTGTGCTGTGTGTATTCAACTCACAGAGTGGAACGTCCCTTTACACAGAGCAGATTTGAAACACTCTTTTTGTGGAGTTTGCAAGTGGAGATTTCAAGCGATTTGATGCCAACAGTAGAAAAGGAAATATCTTCAAATAAAAACTAGACAGAATCATTCTCAGAAACTACTTTGTGATGTGTGCCTTCAACTCACAGAGTTTAACCTTTCTTTTCTTAGAGCAGTTTAGAAACACTCTGCTTGTTATGTCTGCAAGTGGATATTTGGACCTCTTTGAGGCCTTCGTTGCAAACGGGGTTTCTTCCTTTCATGCTAGACTAAGAAGAGTTCTCAGTAACATTTTTGTGTTGTGTGTATTCAACTCACAGAGTTGAACCCTGCTTTAGAGAGAGCAGATTTGAAACACTCTTGCTGTGGCATTTTCAGGTGGAGATTTCAAGCGATTTGAGGACAATTGCAGAAAAGGAAATATCTTCGTATAACAACCAGACAGAATCATTCTCAGAAAGTGCTTTGTGATGTGTGCGTTCAACTCACAGAGTTTAACCTTTCTTTTCATAGAGGAGTTTGGAAACACACTGTTTGTAAAGTCTGCAATTGGATATATGGACCTGTTTGAGGCCTTCGTTGGAAACGGGATTTCTTCATTGAATGCTAGACGGAAGAATTCTCAGTAAATTCTTCGTGTTGTGTGCATTCAACTCACAGAGTGGAACGTCCCTTTAGACAGAGCAGATTTGAAACACTCTTTTTGCGGAATTTGCAAGTGGAGATTTCTAGCCATTTGATGCCAACAGTAGAAAGGGAAATATCTTCAAATAAAAACCAGACAGAATCATTCTCAGAAAATTCTTTGTGATGTGTGCGTTCAACTCACATAGTTTAACCTTTCTTTTCATAGAGCAGTTTGGAAACACTCTGTTTGTAAAGTCTGCAAGTGGATATATGGACCGCATTGAGGCCTTCGTTGGAAACGGGATTTCTTCATTTCATGCTAGACAGAAGAATTCTCAGTAACTTCTTTGTGCTGTGTGTATTCAAGTCACAGAGTGGAACGTCCCTTTGCACAGAGCAGATTTGAAACACTCTTTTTGTGGAATTTGCAAGTGGAGATTTCAAGCGATTTGATGCCAACAGTAGAAAAGGAAATATCTTCAAATAAAAACTAGACAGAATCATTCTCAGAAACTACTTTGTGATGTGTGCCTTCAACTCACAGAGTTTAACCTTTCTTTTCTTAGAGCAGTTTAGAAACACTCTGCTTGTTATGTCTGCAAGTGGATATTTGGACCTCTTTGAGGCCTTCGTTGCAAACGGGGTTTCTTCCTTTCATGCTAGACTAAGAAGAGTTCTCAGTAACTTTTTGTGTTGTGTGTATTCAACTCACAGAGTTGAACCTTGCTTTAGAGAGAGCAGATTTGAAACACTCTTGCTGTGGCATTTTCAGGTGGAGATTTCAAGCGATTTGAGGACAATTGCAGAAAAGGAAATATCTTCGTATAATAACCAGACAGAATCATTCTCAGAAAGTGCTTTGTGATGTGTGCGTTCAACTCACAGAGTTTAACCTTTCTTTTCATAGAGGAGTTTGGAAACACACTGGTTGTAAACTCTGCAAGTGGATATATGGACCTGCTTGAGGCCTTCGTTGGAAACGGGATTTCTTCATTGAATGCTAGACGGAAGAATTCTCAGTAAATTCTTTGTGTTGTGTGCATTCAACTCACAGAGTGGAACGTCCCTTTAGACAGAGCAGATTTGAAACACTCTTTTTGAGGAATTTGCAAGTGGAGATTTCTAGCCATTTGATGCCAACAGTAGAAAGGGAAATATCTTCAAATAAAAACCAGACAGAATCATTCTCAGAAAATTCTTTGTGATGTGTGCGTTCAACTCACATAGTTTAACCTTTCTTTTCATAGAGCAGTTTGGAAACACTCTGTTTGTAAAGTCTGCAAGTGGATATATGGACCGCATTGAGGCCTTCGTTGGAAACGGGATTTCTTCATTTCATGCTAGACAGAAGAATTCTCAGTAACTTCTTTGTGCTGTGTGTATTCAACTCACAGAGTGGAACGTCCCTTTGCACAGAGCAGATTTGAAACACTCTTTTTGTGGAGTTTGCAAGTGGAGATTTCAAGCGATTTGATGCCAACAGTAGAAAAGGAAATATCTTCAAATAAAAACTAGACAGAATCATTCTCAGAAACTACTTTGTGATGTGTGCCTTCAACTCACAGAGTTTAACCTTTCTTTTCTTAGAGCAGTTTAGAAACACTCTGCTTGTTATGTCTGCAAGTGGATATTTGGACCTCTTTGAGGCCTTCGTTGCAAACGGGGTTTCTTCCTTTCATGCTAGACTAAGAAGAGTTCTCAGTAACTTTTTTGTGTTGTGTGTATTCAACTCACAGAGTTGAACCTTGCTTTAGAGAGAGCAGATTTGAAACACTCTTGCTGTGGCATTTTCAGGTGGAGATTTCAAGCGATTTGAGGACAATTGCAGAAAAGGAAATATCTTCGTATAATAACCAGACAGAATAATTCTCAGAAAGTACTTTGTGATGTGTGCGTTCAAGTCACAGAGTTTAACCTTTCTTTTCATAGAGCAGCTTGGAAACACACTGTTTGTAAAGTCTGCAAGTGGATATTTGGAACTGTTTGAGGCCTCCTTTGGAAACGGGATTTTTTCATTTAATGCTAGACGGAAGAATTCTCAGTAAATTCTGTGTTGTGTGCATTCAACTCACAGAGTGGAACGTCCCTTTAGACAGAGCAGATTTGAAACACTCTTTTTGCGGAATTTGCAAGTGGAGATTTCTAGCCATTTGATGCCAACAGTAGAAAGGGAAATATCTTCAAATAAAAACCAGACAGAATCATTCTCAGAAAATTCTTTGTGATGTGTGCGTTCAACTCACATAGTTTAACCTTTCTTTTCATAGAGCAGTTTGGAAACACTCTGTTTGTAAAGTCTGCAAGTGGATATATGGACCGCATTGAGGCCTTCGTTGGAAACGGGATTTCTTCATTTCATGCTAGACAGAAGAATTCTCAGTAACTTCTTTGTGCTGTGTGTATTCAACTCACAGAGTGGAACGTCCCTTTACACAGAGCAGATTTGAAACACTCTTTTTGTGGAGTTTGCAAGTGGAGATTTCAAGCGATTTGATGCCAACAGTAGAAAAGGAAATATCTTCAAATAAAAACTAGACAGAATCATTCTCAGAAACTACTTTGTGATGTGTGCCTTTAACTCACAGAGTTTAACCTTTCTTTTCTTAGAGCAGTTTAGAAACACTCTGCTTGTTATGTCTGCAAGTGGATATTTGGACCTCTTTGAGGCCTTCGTTGCAAACGGGGTTTCTTCCTTTAATGCTAGACTAAGAAGAGTTCTCAGTAACTTTTTTGTGTTGTGTGTATTCAACTCACAGAGCTGAACCTTGCTTTAGAGAGAGCAGATTTGAAACACTCTTGCTGTGGCATTTTCAGGTGGAGATTTCAAGCGATTTGAGGACAATTGCAGAAAAGGAAATATCTTCGTATAATAACCAGACAGAATCATTCTCAGAAAGTGCTTTGTGATGTGTGCGTTCAACTCACAGAGTTTAACCTTTCTTTTCATAGAGGAGTTTGGAAACACACTGTTTGTAAAGTCTGCAAGTGGATATATGGACCTGTTTGAGGCCTTCGTTGGAAACGGGATTTCTTCATTGAATGCTAGACGGAAGAATTCTCAGTAAATTCTTTGTGTTGTGTGCATTCAACTCACAGAGTGGAACGTCCCTTTAGACAGAGCAGATTTGAAACACTCTTTTTGCGGAATTTGCAAGTGGAGATTTCTAGCCATTTGATGCCAACAGTAGAAAGGGAAATATCTTCAAATAAAAACCAGACAGAATCATTCTCAGAAAATTCTTTGTGATGTGTGCGTTCAACTCACATAGTTTAACCTTTCTTTTCATAGAGCAGTTTGGAAACACTCTGTTTGTAAAGTCTGCAAGTGGATATATGGACCGCATTGAGGCCTTCGTTGGAAACGGGATTTCTTCATTTCATGCTAGACAGAAGAATTCTCAGTAACTTCTTTGTGCTGTGTGTATTCAACTCACAGAGTGGAACGTCCCTTTGCACAGAGCAGATTTGAAACACTCTTTTTGTGGAGTTTGCAAGTGGAGATTTCAAGCGATTTGATGCCAACAGTAGAAAAGGAAATATCTTCAAATAAAAACTAGACAGAATCATTCTCAGAAACTACTTTGTGATGTGTGCCTTCAACTCACAGAGTTTAACCTTTCTTTTCTTAGAGCAGTTTAGAAACACTCTGCTTGTTATGTCTGCAAGTGGATATTTGGACCTCTTTGAGGCCTTCGTTGCAAACGGGGTTTCTTCCTTTCATGCTAGACTAAGAAGAGTTCTCAGTAACTTTTTTGTGTTGTGTGTATTCAACTCACAGAGTTGAACCTTGCTTTAGAGAGAGCAGATTTGAAACACTCTCGCTGTGGAATTTTCAGGTGGAGATTTCAAGCGATTTGAGGACAATTGCAGAAAAGGAAATATCTTCGTATAATAAACAGACAGAATCATTCTCAGAAAGTGCTTTGTGATGTGTGCGTTCAACTCACAGAGTTTAACCATTCTTTTCATAGAGGAGCTTGGAAACACACTGTTTGTAAAGTCTGCAATTGGATATATGGACCTGTTTGAGGCCTCCGTTGGAAACGGGATTTCTTCATTGAATGCTAGACGGAAGAATTCTCAGTAAATTCTTTGTGTTGTGTGCATTCAACTCACAGAGTGGAACGTCCCTTTAGACAGAGCAGATTTGAAACACTCTTTTTGCGGAATTTGCAAGTGGAGATTTCTAGCCATTTGATGCCAACAGTAGAAAGGGAAATATCTTCAAATAAAAACCAGACAGAATCATTCTCAGAAACTACTTTGTGATGTGTGCCTTCAACTCACAGAGTTTAACCTTTCTTTTCTTAGAGCAGTTTAGAAACACTCTTCTTCTTATGTCTGCAAGTGGATATTTGGACCTCTTTGAGGCCGTCGTTGCAAACGGGGTTTCTTCATTTAATGCTAGACTAAGAAGAGTTCTCAGTAACTTTTTTGTGTTGTGTGCATTCAACTCACCGAGTGGAACGTCCCTTTACACAGAGCAGATTTGAAACACTCTTTTTGTGGAATTTGCAAGTGGAGATTTCAAGCGATTTGATGCCAACAGTAGAAAAGGAAATATCTGCAAATAAAAACTAGACAGAATCATTCTCAGAAAGTGCTTTGTGATGTGTGCGTTCACCTCACATAGTTTAACCTTTCTTTTCATAGAGGAGTTTGGAAACACACTGTTTGTAAAGTCTGCAAGTGGATATATGGACCTGTTTGAGGCCTTCGTTGGAAACGGGATTTTATCATATAATGCTAGACGGAAGAATTCTCAGTAAATTCTTTGTGTGGTGTGCATTCAACTCACAGAGTGGAACGTCCCTTTAGACAGAGCAGATTTGAAACACTCTTTTTGCGGAATTTGCAAGTGGAGATTTCTAGCCATTTGATGCCAACAGTAGAAAGGGAAATATCTTCAAATAAAAACCAGACAGAATCATTCTCAGAAAATTCTTTGTGATGTGTGCGTTCAACTCACATAGTTTAACCTTTCTTTTCATAGAGCAGTTTGGAAACACTCTGTT
Organism: Homo sapiens; assembly: GCF_000001405.40. Classification (NCBI taxonomy): domain Eukaryota; kingdom Metazoa; phylum Chordata; class Mammalia; order Primates; family Hominidae; genus Homo; species Homo sapiens. The sequence goes on from NC_000007.14 coordinate 60,530,378, forward strand.
TGTAAAGTCTGCAAGTGGATATATGGACCGCATTGAGGCCTTCGTTGGAAACGGGATTTCTTCATTTCATGCTAGACAGAAGAATTCTCAGTAACTTCTTTGTGCTGTGTGTATTCAACTCACAGAGTGGAACGTCCCTTTGCACAGAGCAGATTTGAAACACTCTTTTTGTGGAGTTTGCAAGTGGAGATTTCAAGCGATTTGATGCCAACAGTAGAAAAGGAAATATCTTCAAATAAAAACTAGACAGAATCATTCTCAGAAACTACTTTGTGATGTGTGCCTTCAACTCACAGAGTTTAACCTTTCTTTTCTTAGAGCAGTTTAGAAACACTCTGCTTGTTATGTCTGCAAGTGGATATTTGGACCTCTTTGAGGCCTTCGTTGCAAACGGGGTTTCTTCCTTTCATGCTAGACTAAGAAGAGTTCTCAGTAACTTTTTTGTGTTGTGTGTATTCAACTCACAGAGTTGAACCTTGCTTTAGAGAGAGCAGATTTGAAACACTCTTGCTGTGGCATTTTCAGGTGGAGATTTCAAGCGATTTGAGGACAATTACAGAAAAGGAAATATCTTCGTATAACAACCAGACAGAATCATTCTCAGAAAGTGCTTTGTGATGTGTGCGTTCAACTCACAGAGTTTAACCTTTCTTTTCATAGAGGAGTTTGGAAACACAATGTTTGTAAAGTCTGCAATTGGATATATGGACCTGTTTGAGGCCTTCGTTGGAAACGGGATTTCTTCATTGAATGCTACACGAAAGAATTCTCAGTAAATTCTTTGTGTTGTGTGCATTCAACTCACAGAGTGGAACGTCCCTTTAGACAGAGCAGATTTGAAACACTCTTTTTGCGGAATTTGCAAGTGGAGATTTCTAGCCATTTGATGCCAACAGTAGAAAGGGAAATATCTTCAAATAAAAACCAGACAGAATCATTCTCAGAAAATTCTTTGTGATGTGTGCGTTCAACTCACATAGTTTAACCTTTCTTTTCATAGAGCAGTTTGGAAACACTCTGTTTGTAAAGTCTGCAAGTGGATCTATGGACCGCATTGAGGCCTTCGTTGGAAACGGGATTTCTTCATTTCATGCTAGACAGAAGAATTCTCAGTAACTTCTTTGTGCTGTGTGTATTCAACTCACAGAGTGGAACGTCCCTTTGCACAGAGCAGATTTGAAACACTCTTTTTGTGGAATTTGCAAGTGGAGATTTCAAGCGATTTGATGCCAACAGTAGAAAAGGAAATATCTTCAAATAAAAACTAGACAGAATCATTCTCAGAAACTACTTTGTGATGTGTGCCTTCAACTCACAGAGTTTAACCTTTCTTTTCTTAGAGCAGTTTAGAAACACTCTGCTTGTTATGTCTGCAAGTGGATATTTGGACCTCTTTGAGGCCTTCGTTGCAAACGGGGTTTCTTCCTTTCATGCTAGACTAAGAATCATTCTCAGAAAGTGCTTTGTGATGTGTGCGTTCAACTCACAGAGTTTAACCTTTCTTTTCATAGAGCAGTTTGGAAACACACTGTTTGTAAAATCTGCAAGTGCATATTTGGACCTCTTTGAGGCCTTCATTGGATATGGGATTTTTTCATATATTGCTAGACGGAATCATTCTCAGAAAATTCTTTGTGATGTGTGCGTTTAGCTCACATAGTTTAACCTTTGTTTTCATAGAGCAGTTTGGAAACACACTGTTTGTAAAATCTGCAAGTGGATAAAAGGACCGCTTTGAGGCATTCGTTGGAAACGGGATTTCTTCATTTAATGCTAGTCAGAAGAATTCTCAGTAAATTCTTTGTGTTGTGTGCATTCAACTCACCGAGTGGAACGTCCCTTTAGACAGAGCAGATTTGAAAACCTCTTTTTGCGGAATTTGCAAGTGGAGATTTCAAGCCATTTGATGCCAACCGTAGAAAGGGAAATATCTTCAAATAAAAACTAGACAGAAAAATTCTCAGAAAATTCTTTGTGATGTGTGCGTTCAACTCGCATAGTTTAACCTTTCCTTTCATAGAGCAGTTTAGAAACACTCTGTTTGTAATGTCTGCAAGTGGATATTTGGACCTCTTTGAGGCCTTCGTTGCAAACGGGATTTCTTCATTTCATGCTAGACTAAGAAGAATTCTCAGTAACTTCTTTGTGCTGTGTGTATTCAACTCACAGAGTGGAACGTCCCTTTACACAGAGAAGATTTGAAACACTCTTTTTGTGGAGTTTGCAAGTGGAGATTTCAAGCGATTTGATGCCAACAGTAGAAAAGGAAATATCTTCAAATAAAAACTAGACAGAATCATTCTCAGAAACTACTTTGTGATGTGTGCCTTCAACTCACAGAGTTTAACCTTTCTTTTCTTAGAGCAGTTTAGAAACACTCTGCTTGTTATGTCTGCAAGTGGATATTTGGACCTCTTTGAGGCCTTCGTTGCAAACGGGGTTTCTTCCTTTCATGCTAGACTAAGAAGAGTTCTCAGTAACTTTTTTGTGTTGTGTGTATTCAACTCACAGAGTTGAACCTTGCTTTAGAGAGAGCAGATTTGAAACACTCTTGCTGTGACATTTTCAGGTGGAGATTTCAAGCGATTTGAGGACAATTGCAGAAAAGGAAATATCTTCGTATAACAACCAGACAGAATCATTCTCAGAAAGTGCTTTGTGTTGTGTGCGTTCAACTCACAGAGTTTAACCTTTCTTTTCATAGAGGAGTTTGGAAACACACTGTTTGTAAAGTCTGCAATTGGATATATGGACCTGTTTGAGGCCTTCGTTGGAAACGGGATTTCTTCATTGAATGCTAGACGGAAGAATTCTCAGTAAATTCTTTGTGTTGTGTGCATTCAACTCACAGAGTGCAACGTCCCTTTAGACAGAGCAGATTTGAAACACTCTTTTTGCGGAATTTGCAAGTGGAGATTTCTAGCCATTTGATGACAACAGTAGAAAGGGAAATATCTTCAAATAAAAACCAGACAGAATCATTCTCAGAAAATTCTTTGTGATGTGTGCGTTCAACTCACATAGTTTAACCTTTCTTTTCATAGAGCAGTTTGGAAACACTCTGTTTGTAAAGTCTGCAAGTGGATATATGGACCGCATTGAGGCCTTCGTTGGAAACGGGATTTCTTCATTTCATGCTAGACAGAAGAATTCTCAGTAACTTCTTTGTGCTGTGTGTATTCAACTCACAGAGTGGAACGTCCCTTTGCACAGAGCAGATTTTAAACACTCTTTTTGTGGAGTTTGCAAGTGGAGATTTCAAGCGATTTGATGCCAACAGTAGAAAAGGAAATATCTTCAAATAAAAACTAGACAGAATCATTCTCAGAAAATTCTTTGTGATGTGTGCGTTCAACTCACATAGTTTAACCTTTCTTTTCTTAGAGCAGTTTAGAAACACTCTGCTTGTTATGTCTGCAAGTGGATATTTGGACCTCTTTGAGGCCTTCGTTGCAAACGGGGTTTCTTCCTTTCATGCTAGACTAAGAAGAGTTCTCAGTAACTTTTTTGTGTTGTGTGTATTCAACTCACAGAGTTGAACCTTGCTTTAGAGAGAGCAGATTTGAAACACTCTTGCTGTGGCATTTTCAGGTGGAGATTTCAAGCGATTTGAGGACAATTGCAGAAAAGGAAATATCTTCGTATAATAACCAGACAGAATCATTCTCAGAAAGTGCTTTGTGATGTGTGCGTTCAACTCACAGAGTTTAACCTTTCTTTTCATAGAGGAGTTTGGAAACACACTGTTTGTAAAGTCTGCAAGTGGATATATGGACCTGTTTGAGGCCTTCGTTGGAAACGGGATTTCTTCATTGAATGCTAGACGGAAGAATTCTCAGTAAATTCTTTGTGTTGTGTGCATTCAACTGACAGAGTGGAACGTCCCTTTAGACAGAGCAGATTTGAAACACTCTTTTTGCGGAATTTGCAAGTGGAGATTTCTAGCCATTTGATGCCAACAGTAGAAAGGGAAATATCTTCAAATAAAAACCAGACAGAATCATTCTCAGAAAATTCTTTGTGATGTGTGCGTTCAACTCACATAGTTTAACCTTTCTTTTCATAGAGCAGTTTGGAAACACTCTGTTTGTAAAGTCTGCAAGTGGATATATGGACCGCATTGAGGCCTTCGTTGGAAACGGGATTTCTTCATTTCATGCTAGACAGAAGAATTCTCAGTAACTTCTTTGTGCTGTGTGTATTCAACTCACAGAGTGGAACGTCCCTTTACACAGAGCAGATTTGAAACACTCTTTTTGTGGAGTTTGCAAGTGGAGATTTCAAGCGATTTGATGCCAACAGTAGAAAAGGAAATATCTTCAAATAAAAACTAGACAGAATCATTCTCAGAAACTACTTTGTGATGTGTGCCTTCAACTCACAGAGTTTAACCTTTCTTTTCTTAGAGCAGTTTAGAAACACTCTGCTTGTTATGTCTGCAAGTGGATATTTGGACCTCTTTGAGGCCTTCGTTGCAAACGGGGTTTCTTCCTTTCATGCTAGACTAAGAAGAGTTCTCAGTAACTTTTTTGTGTTGTGTGTATTCAACTCACAGAGTTGAACCTTGCTTTAGAGAGAGCAGATTTGAAACACTCTTGCTGTGGCATTTTCAGGTGGAGATTTCAAGCGATTTGAGGACAATTGCAGAAAAGGAAATATCTTCGTATAATAACCAGACAGAATCATTCTCAGAAAGTGCTTTGTGATGTGTGCGTTCAACTCACAGAGTTTAACCTTTCTTTTCATAGAGGAGTTTGGAAACACACTGTTTGTAAAGTCTGCAATTGGATATATGGACCTGTTTGAGGCCTCCGTTGGAAACGGGATTTCTTCATTGAATGCTAGACGGAAGAATTCTCAGTAAATTCTTTGTGTTGTGTGCATTCAACTCACAGAGTGGAACGTCCCTTTAGACAGAGCAGATTTGAAACACTCTTTTTCTGGAATTTGGAAATGGAGATTTCAAGCCTTTTGATGCCAACAGTAGAAAGGGAAATATCTTCAAATAAAAACTAGACAGAATCATTCTCAGAAAATTCTTTGTGATGTGTGCGTTCAACTCACAGAGTTTAGCCTTTCTTTTCATAGAGCAGTTTGGAAACACTCTGTTTGTAAAGTCTGCAAGTGGATATATAGACTGCTTTGAGGCCTTCGTTGGAAACGGGATTTCTTCATTTCATGCTAGACAGAAGAAATCTCAGTAATTTCTTTGTGTTGTGTGTATTCAACTCACAGAATGGAACGTCCCTTTAGACAGAGCAGATTTGAAACACTCTTTTTGTGGAATTTGCAAGTGGAGATTTCAAGCGATTTGATGCCAACAGTAGAAAAGGAAATATCTTTAAATAAAAACTAGACAGAATTATTCTCAGAAACTACTTTGTGATGTGTGCCATCAACTCATCGAGTTTAACCTTTCTTTTCTTAGAGCAGTTTAGAAACACTCTGCTTGTAATGTCTGCAAGTGGATATTTGGACCTCTTTGAGGCCTTCGTTGCAAACGGGACTTCTTCATTTAATGCTAGACTAAGAAGAGTTCTCAGTGACTTTTTTGTGTTGTGTGTATTCAACTCACATTGTTGAAACTTGCTTTAGAGGGAGCAGATTTGAAACACTCTTGCTGTGGAATTTTCAGGTGGAGATTTCAAGCGATTTGAGGACAATTGCAGAAAAGGAAATATCTTCGTATAAAAACCAGACAGAATCATTCTCAGAAAGTGCTTTGTGATGTGTGCGTTCAACTCACAGAGTTTAACCTTTCTTTTCATAGAGGAGTTTGGAAACACACTGTTTGTAAAGTCTGCAATTGGATATATGGACCTGTTTGAGGCCTTCGTTGGAAACGGGATTTCTTCATTGAATGCTAGACGGAAGAATTCTCAGTAAATTCTTTGTGTTGTGTGCATTCAACTCACAGAGTGGAACGTCCCTTTAGACAGAGCAGATTTGAAACACTCTTTTTGCGGAATTTGCAAGTGGAGATTTCTAGCCATTTGATGCCAACAGTAGAAAGGGAAATATCTTCAAATAAAAACCAGACAGAATCATTCTCAGAAAATTCTTTGTGATGTGTGCGTTCAACTCACATAGTTTAACCTTTCTTTTCATAGAGCAGTTTGGAAACACTCTGTTTGTAAAGTCTGCAAGTGGATCTATGGACCGCATTGAGGCCTTCGTTGGAAACGGGATTTCTTCATTTCATGCTAGACAGAAGAATTCTCAGTAACTTCTTTGTGCTGTGTGTATTCAACTCACAGAGTGGAACGTCCCTTTACACAGAGCAGATTTGAAACACTCTTTTTGTGGAGTTTGCAAGTGGAGATTTCAAGCGATTTGATGCCAACAGTAGAAAAGGAAATATCTTCAAATAAAAACTAGACAGAATCATTCTCAGAAACTACTTTGTGATGTGTGCCTTCAACTCACAGAGTTTAACCTTTCTTTTCTTAGAGCAGTTTAGAAACACTCTGCTTGTTATGTCTGCAAGTGGATATTTGGACCTCTTTGAGGCCTTCGTTGCAAACGGGGTTTCTTCCTTTCATGCTAGACTAAGAAGAGTTCTCAGTAACTTTTTTGTGTTGTGTGTACTCAACTCACAGAGTTGAACCTTGCTTTAGAGAGAGCAGATTTGAAACACTCTTGCTGTGGCATTTTCAGGTGGAGATTTCAAGCGATTTGAGGACAATTGCAGAAAAGGAAATATCTTCGTATAATAACCAGACAGAATCATTCTCAGAAAGTGCTTTGTGATGTGTGCGTTCAACTCACAGAGTTTAATCTTTCTTTTCATAGAGGAGTTTGGAAACACACTGTTTGTAAAGTCTGCAATTGGATATATGGACCTGTTTGAGGCCTTCGTTGGAAACGGGATTTCTTCATTGAATGCTAGACGGAAGAATTCTCAGTAAATTCTTCGTGTTGTGTGCATTCAACTCACAGAGTGGAACGTCCCTTTAGACAGAGCAGATTTGAAACACTCTTTTTGCGGAATTTGCAAGTGGAGATTTCTAGCCATTTGATGCCAACAGTAGAAAGGGAAATATCTTCAAATAAAAACCAGACAGAATCATTCTCAGAAAATTCTTTGTGATGTGTGCGTTCAACTCACATAGTTTAACCTTTCTTTTCATAGAGCAGTTTGGAAACACTCTGTTTGTAAAGTCTGCAAGTGGATATATAGACCGCATTGAGGCCTTCGTTGGAAACGGGATTTCTTCATTTCGTGCTAGACAGAAGAATTCTCAGTAACTTCTTTGTGCTGTGTGTATTCAACTCACAGAGTGGAACGTCCCTTTGCACAGAGCAGATTTGAAACACTCTTTTTGTGGAGTTTGCAAGTGGAGATTTCAAGCGATTTGATGCCAACAGTAGAAAAGGAAATATCTTCAAATAAAAACTAGACAGAATCATTCTCAGAAACTACTTTGTGATGTGTGCCTTCAACTCACAGAGTTTAACCTTTCTTTTCTTAGAGCAGTTTAGAAACACTCTGCTTGTTATGTCTGCAAGTGGATATTTGGACCTCTTTGAGGCCTTCGTTGCAAACGGGGTTTCTTCCTTTCATGCTAGACTAAGAAGAGTTCTCAGTAACTTTTTTGTGTTGTGTGTATTCAACTCACAGAGTTGAACCTTGCTTTAGAGAGAGCAGATTTGAAACACTCTTGCTGTGGCATTTTCAGGTGGAGATTTCAAGCGATTTGAGGACAATTGCAGAAAAGGAAATATCTTCGTATAATAACCAGACAGAATCATTCTCAGAAAGTGCTTTGTGATGTGTGCGTTCAACTCACAGAGTTTAACCTTTCTTTTCATAGAGGAGTTTGGAAACACACTGTTTGTAAAGTCTGCAAGTGGATATATGGACTAGTTTGAGGCCTTCGTTGGAAACGGGATTTCTTCATTGAATGCTAGACGGAAGAATTCTCAGTAAATTCTTTGTGTTGTGTGCATTCAACTCACAGAGTGGAACGTCCCTTTAGACAGAGCAGATTTGAAACACTCTTTTTGCGGAATTTGCAAGTGGAGATTTCTAGCCATTTGATGCCAACAGTAGAAAGGGAAATATCTTCAAATAAAAACCAGACAGAATCATTCTCAGAAAATTCTTTGTGATGTGTGCGTTCAACTCACATAGTTTAACCTTTCTTTTCATAGAGCAGTTTGGAAACACTCTGTTTGTAAAGTCTGCAAGTGGATATATGGACCGCATTGAGGCCTTCGTTGGAAACGGGATTTCTTCATTTCATGCTAGACAGAAGAATTCTCAGTAACTTCTTTGTGCTGTGTGTATTCAACTCACAGAGTGGAACGTCCCTTTGCACAGAGCAGATTTGAAACACTCTTTTTGTGGAGTTTGCAAGTGGAGATTTCAAGCGATTTGATGCCAACAGTAGAAAAGGAAATATCTTCAAATAAAAACTAGACAGAATCATTCTCAGAAACTACTTTGTGATGTGTGCCTTCAACTCACAGAGTTTAACCTTTCTTTTCTTAGAGCAGTTTAGAAACACTCTGCTTGTTATGTCTGCAAGTGGATATTTGGACCTCTTTGAGGCCTTCGTTGCAAACGGGGTTTCTTCCTTTCATGCTAGACTAAGAAGAGTTCTCAGTAACTTTTTTGTGTTGTGTGTATTCAACTCACAGAGTTGAACCTTGCTTTAGAGAGAGCAGATTTGAAACACTCTTGCTGTGGCATTTTCAGGTGGAGATTTCAAGCGTTTTGAGGACAATTGCAGAAAAGGAAATATCTTCGTATAATAACCAGACAGAATCATTCTCAGAAAGTGCTTTGTGATGTGTGCGTTCCACTCACAGAGTTTAACCTTTCTTTTCATAGAGGAGTTTGGAAACACACTGTTTGTAAACTCTGCAAGTGGATATATGGACCTGTTTGAGGCCTTCGTTGGAAACGGGATTTCTTCATTGAATGCTAGACGGAAGAATTCTCAGTAAATTCTTTGTGTTGTGTGCATTCAACTCACAGAGTGGAACGTCCCTTTAGACAGAGCAGATTTGAAACACTCTTTTTGCGGAATTTGCAAGTGGAGATTTCTAGCCATTTGATGCCAACAGTAGAAAGGGAAATATCTTCAAATAAAAACCAGACAGAATCATTCTCAGAAAATTCTTTGTGATGTGTGCGTTCAACTCACATAGTTTAACCTTTCTTTTCATAGAGCAGTTTGGAAACACTCTGTTTGTAAAGTCTGCAAGTGGATATATGGACCGCATTGAGGCCTTCGTTGGAAACGGGATTTCTTCATTTCATGCTAGACAGAAGAATTCTCAGTAGCTTCTTTGTGCTGTGTGTACTCAACTCACAGAGTGGAACGTCCCTTTGCACAGAGCAGATTTGAAACACTCTTTTTGTGGAGTTTGAAAGTGGAGATTTCAAGCGATTTGATGCCAACAGTAGAAAAGGAAATATCTTCAAATAAAAACTAGACAGAATCATTCTCAGAAACTACTTTGTGATGTGTGCCTTCAACTCACAGAGTTTAACCTTTCTTTTCTTAGAGCAGTTTAGAAACACTCTGCTTGTTATGTCTGCAAGTGGATATTTGGACCTCTTTGAGGCCTTCGTTGCAAACGGGGTTTCTTCCTTTCATGCTAGACTAAGAAGAGTTCTCAGTAACTTTTTTGTGTTGTGTGTATTCAACTCACAGAGTTGAACCTTGCTTTAGAGAGAACAGATTTGAAACACTCTTGCTGTGGCATTTTCAGGTGGAGATTTCAAGCGATTTGAGGACAATTGCAGAAAAGGAAATATCTTCGTATAATAACCAGACAGAATCATTCTCAGAAAGTGCTTTGTGATGTGTGCGTTCCACTCACAGAGTTTAACCTTTCTTTTCATAGAGGAGTTTGGAAACACACTGTTTGTAAAGTCTGCAATTGGATATATGGACCTGTTTGAGGCCTTCGTTGGAAACGGGATTTCTTCATTGAATGCTAGACGGAAGAATTCTCAGTAAATTCTTTGTGTTGTGTGCATTCAACTCACAGAGTGGAACGTCCCTTTAGACAGAGCAGATTTGAAACACTCTTTTTGCGGAATTTGCAAGTGGAGATTTCTAGCCATTTGATGCCAACAGTAGAAAGGGAAATATCTTCAAATAAAAACCAGACAGAATCATTCTCAGAAAATTCTTTGTGATGTGTGCGTTCAACTCACATAGTTTAACCTTTCTTTTCATAGAGCAGTTTGGAAACACTCTGTTTGTAAAGTCTGCAAGTGGATATATGGACCGCATTGAAGCCTTCGTTGGAAACGGGATTTCTTCATTTCATGCTAGACAGAAGAATTCTCAGTAACTTCTTTGTGTTGTGTGTATTCAACTCACAGAGTGGAACGTCCCTTTAGACAGAGCAGATTTGAAAATCTCTTTTTGTGAAATTTGCAAGTGGAGATTTCAAGCGATTTGATGCCAGCAGTAGAAAAGGAAATATCTTCAAATAAAAACTAGACAGAATCATTCTCAGAAACTACTTTGTGATGTGTGCCTTCAACTCACAGAGTTTAACCTTTCTTTTCTTAGAGCAGTTTAGAAACACTCTGCTTGTTATGTCTGCAAGTGGATATTTGGACCTCTTTGAGGCCTTCGTTGCAAACGGGGTTTCTTCCTTTCATGCTAGACTAAGAAGAGTTCTCAGTAACTTTTTTGTGTTGTGTGTATTCAACTCACAGAGTTGAACCTTGCTTTAGAGAGAGCAGATTTGAAACACTCTTGCTGTGGCATTTTCAGGTGGAGATTTCAAGCGATTTGAGGACAATTGCAGAAAAGGAAATATCTTCGTATAATAACCAGACAGAATCATTCTCAGAAAGTGCTTTGTGATGTGTGCGTTCCACTCACAGAGTTTAACCTTTCTTTTCATAGAGGAGTTTGGAAACACACTGTTTGTAAACTCTGCAAGTGGATATATGGACCTGTTTGAGGCCTTCGTTGGAAACGGGATTTCTTCATTGAATGCTAGACGGAAGAATTCTCAGTAAATTCTTTGTGTTGTGTGCATTCAACTCACAGAGTGGAACGTCCCTTTAGACAGAGCAGATTTGAAACACTCTTTTTGCGGAATTTGCAAGTGGAGATTTCTAGCCATTTGATGCCAACAGTAGAAAGGGAAATATCTTCAAATAAAAACCAGACAGAAATCATTCTCAGAAAATTCTTTGTGATGTGTGCGTTCAACTCACATAGTTTAACCTTTCTTTTCATAGAGCAGTTTGGAAACACTCTGTTTGTAAAGTCTGCAAGTGGATATATGGACCGCATTGAGGCCTTCGTTGGAAACGGGGTTTCTTCATTTCATGCTAGACAGAAGAATTCTCAGTAACTTCTTTGTGCTGTGTGTATTCAACTCACAGAGTGGAACGTCCCTTTGCACAGAGCAGATTTGAAACACTCTTTTTGTGGAATTTGCAAGTGGAGATTTCAAGCGATTTGATGCCAACAGTAGAAAAGGAAATATCTTCAAATAAAAACTAGACAGAATCATTCTCAGAAACTACTTTGTGATGTGTGCCTTCAACTCACAGAGTTTAACCTTTCTTTTCTTAGAGCAGTTTAGAAACACTCTGCTTGTTATGTCTGCAAGTGGATATTTGGACCTCTTTGAGGCCTTCGTTGCAAACGGGGTTTCTTCCTTTCATGCTAGACTAAGAAGAGCTCTCAGTAACTTTTTTGTGTTGTGTGTATTCAACTCACAGAGTTGAACCTTGCTTTAGAGAGAGCAGATTTGAAACACTCTTGCTGTGGCATTTTCAGGTGGAGATTTCAAGCGATTTGAGGACAATTGCAGAAAAGGAAATATCTTCGTATAATAACCAGACAGAATCATTCTCAGAAAGTGCTTTGTGATGTGTGCGTTCAACTCACAGAGTTTAACCTTTCTTTTCATAGAGGAGTTTGGAAACACACTGTTTGTAAAGTCTGCAAGTGGATACATGGACCTGTTTCAGGCCTTCGTTGGAAACGGGATTTCTTCATTGAATGCTAGACGGAAGAAATCTCAGTAAATTCTTTGTGTTGTGTGCATTGAACTCACAGAGTGGAACGTCCCTTTAGACAGAGCAGATTTGAAACACTCTTTTTGCGGAATTTGCAAGTGGAGATTTCTAGCCATTTGATGCCAACAGTAGAAAGGGAAATATCTTCAAATAAAAACCAGACAGAATCATTCTCAGAAAATTCTTTGTGATGTGTGCGTTCAACTCACATAGTTTAACCTTTCTTTTCATAGAGCAGTTTGGAAACACTCTGTTTGTAAAGTCTGCAAGTGGATATATGGACCGCATTGAGGCCTTCGTTGGAAACGGGATTTCTTCATTTCATGCTAGACAGAAGAATTCTCAGTAACTTCTTTGTGCTGTGTGTATTCAACTCACAGAGTGGAACGTCCCTTTACACAGAGCAGATTTGAAACACTCTTTTTGTGGAGTTTGCAAGTGGAGATTTCAAGCGATTTGATGCCAACAGTAGAAAAGGAAATATCTTCAAATAAAAACTAGACAGAATCATTCTCAGAAACTACTTTGTGATGTGTGCCTTCAACTCACAGAGTTTAACCTTTCTTTTCTTAGAGCAGTTTAGAAACACTCTGCTTGTTATGTCTGCAAGTGGATATTTGGACCTCTTTGAGGCCTTCGTTGCAAACGGGGTTTCTTCCTTTAATGCTAGACTAAGAAGAGTTCTCAGTAACTTTTTTGTGTTGTGTGTATTCAACTCACAGAGTTGAACCTTGCTTTAGAGAGAGCAGATTTGAAACACTCTTGCTGTGGCATTTTCAGGTGGAGATTTCAAGCGATTTGAGGACAATTGCAGAAAAGGAAATATCTTCGTATAATAACCAGACAGAATCATTCTCAGAAAGTGCTTTGTGATGTGTGCGTTCCACTCACAGAGTTTAACCTTTCTTTTCATAGAGGAGTTTGGAAACACACTGTTTGTAAACTCTGCAAGTGGATATATGGACCTGTTTGAGGCCTTCGTTGGAAACGGGATTTCTTCATTGAATGCTAGACGGAAGAATTCTCAGTAAATTCTTTGTGTTGTGTGCATTCAACTCACAGAGTGGAACGTCCCTTTAGACAGAGCAGATTTGAAACACTCTTTTTGCGGAATTTGCAAGTGGAGATTTCTAGCCATTTGATGCCAACAGTAGAAAGGGAAATATCTTCAAATAAAAACCAGACAGAATCATTCTCAGAAAATTCTTTGTGATGTGTGCGTTCAACTCACATAGTTTTACCTTTCTTTTCATAGAGCATTTTGGAAACACTCTGTTTGTAAAGTCTGCAAGTGGATATATGGACCGCATTGAGGCCTTCGTTGGAAACGGGATTTCTTCATTTCATGCTAGACAGAAGAATTCTCAGTAACTTCTTTGTGCTGTGTGTATTCAACTCACAGAGTGGAACGTCCCTTTACACAGAGCAGATTTGAAACACTCTTTTTGTGGAGTTTGCAAGTGGAGATTTCAAGCGATTTGATGCCAACAGTAGAAAAGGAAATATCTTCAAATAAAAACTAGACAGAATTATTCTCAGAAACTACTTTGTGATGTGTGCCTTCAACTCACAGAGTTTAACCTTTCTTTTCTTAGAGCAGTTTAGAAACACTCTGCTTGTTATGTCTGCAAGTGGATATTTGGACCTCTTTGAGGCCTTCGTTGCAAACGGGGTTTCTTCCTTTAATGCTAGACTAAGAAGAGTTCTCAGTAACTTTTTTGTGTTGTGTGTATTCAACTCACAGAGTTGAACCTTGCTTTAGAGAGAGCAGATTTGAAACACTCTCGCTGTGGAAATTTCAGGTGGAGATTTCAAGCGATTTCAGGACAATTGCAGAAAAAGAAATATCTTCGTATAATAACCAGACAGAATCATTATCAGAAAGTGCTTTGTGATGTGTGCATTCAACTCACAGAGTTAACCTTTCTTTTCATAAAGGAGTTTGGAAACACACTGTTTGTAAAGTCTGCAATTGGATATATGGACCTGTTTGAGGCCTTCGTTGGAAACGGGATTTCTTCATTGAATGCTAGACGGAAGAATTCTCAGTAAATTCTTTGTGTTGTGTGCATTCAACTCACAGAGTGGAACGTCCCTTTAGACAGAGCAGATTTGAAACACTCTTTTTGCGGAATTTGCAAGTGGAGATTTCTAGCCATTTGATGCCAACAGTAGAAAGGGAAATATCTTCAAATAAAAACCAGACAGAATCATTTTCAGAAAATTCTTTGTGATGTGTGCGTTCAGCTCACATAGTTTACCTTTCTTTTCATAGAGCAGTTTGGAAACACACTGTAAATCTGCAAGTGGATATATAGACAGTTTTCAGGCATTCGTTGGAAACGGGATTTCTTCCTTTAATGCTAGACAGAAGAATTCTCATTAACTTCTTTGTGTTGTGTGTATTCAACTCACAGAGTGGAACGTCCCTTTAGACAGAGCAGATTTGAAACACTCTTCTTGTGGAATTTGCAAGTGGAGATTTCAAGCGATTTGGTGCCAACAGTACAAAAGGAAATATCTTCAAGTAAAAATTAGATAGAATCATTCTCAGAAACTACTTTGTGATGTGTGCCTTCAACTCACAGAGTTTAACCTTTCTTTTCTTAGAGCAGTTTAGAAACACTCTGCTTGTTATGTCTGCAAGTGGATATTTGGACCTCTTTGAGGCCTTCGTTGCAAACGGGGTTTCTTCCTTTCATGCTAGACTAAGAAGAATTCTCAGTAACTTCTTTGTGCTGTGTGTATTCAACTCACAGAGTTGAACCTTGCTTTAGAGAGAGCAGATTTGAAACACTCTTGCTGTGGCATTTTCAGGTGGAGATTTCAAGCGATTTGAGGAAAATTGCAGAAAAGGGAATATCTTCGTATAATAACCAGACAGAATCATTCTCAGAAAGTGCTTTGTGATGTGTGCGTTCCACTCACAGAGTTTAACCTTTCTTTTCATAGAGGAGTTTGGAAACACACTGTTTGTAAACTCTGCAAGTGGATATATGGACCTGTTTGAGGCCTTCGTTGGAAACGGGATTTCTTCATTGAATGCTAGACGGAAGAATTCTCAGTAAATTCTTTGTGTTGTGTGCATTCAACTCACAGAGTGGAACGTCCCTTTAGACAGAGCAGATTTGAAACACTCTTTTTGCGGAATTTGCAAGTGGAGATTTCTAGCCATTTGATGCCAACAGTAGAAAGGGAAATATCTTCAAATAAAAACCAGACAGAATCATTCTCAGAAAATTCTTTGTGATGTGTGCGTTCAACTCACATAGTTTAACCTTTCTTTTCATAGAGCAGTTTGGAAACACTCTGTTTGTAAAGTCTGCAAGTGGATATATGGACCGCATTGAGGCCTTCGTTGGAAACGGGATTTCTTCATTTCATGCTAGACAGAAGAATTCTCAGTAACTTCTTTGTGCTGTGTGTATTCAACTCACAGAGTGGAACGTCCCTTTACACAGAGCAGATTTGAAACACTCTTTTTGTGGAGTTTGCAAGTGGAGATTTCAAGCGATTTGATGCCAACAGTAGAAAAGGAAATATCTTCAAATAAAAACTAGACAGAATCATTCTCAGAAACTACTTTGTGATGTGTGCCTTCAACTCACAGAGTTTAACCTTTCTTTTCTTAGAGCAGTTTAGAAACACTCTGCTTGTTATGTCTGCAAGTGGATATTTGGACCTCTTTGAGGCCTTCGTTGCAAACGGGGTTTCTTCCTTTCATGCTAGACTAAGAAGAGTTCTCAGTAACTTTTTTGTGTTGTGTGTATTCAACTCACAGAGCTGAACCTTGCTTTAGAGAGAGCAGATTTGAAACACTCTTGCTGTGGCATTTTCAGGTGGAGATTTCAAGCGATTTGAGGACAATTGCAGAAAAGGAAATATCTTCGTATAACAACCAGACAGAATCATTCTCAGAAAGTGCTTTGTGATGTGTGCGTTCAACTCACAGAGTTTAACCTTTCTTTTCATAGACGAGTTTGGAAACACACTGTTTGTAAAGTCTGCAATTGGATATATGGACCTGTTTGAGGCCTTCGTTGGAAACGGGATTTCTTCATTGAATGCTAGACGGAAGAATTCTCAGTAAATTCTTTGTGTGGTGTGCATTCAACTCACAGAGTGGAACGTCCCTTTAGACAGAGCAGATTTGAAACACTCTTTTTGCGGAATTTGCAAGTGGAGATTTCTAGCCATTTGATGCCAACAGTAGAAAGGGAAATATCTTCAAATAAAAACCAGACAGAATCATTCTCAGAAAATTCTTTGTGATGTGTGCGTTCAACTCACATAGTTTAACCTTTCTTTTCATAGAGCAGTTTGGAAACACTCTGTTTGTAAAGTCTGCAAGTGGATATATGGACCGCATTGAGGCCTTCGTTGGAAACGGGATTTCTTCATTTCATGCTAGACAGAAGAATTCTCAGTAACTTCTTTGTGCTGTGTGTATTCAACTCACAGAGTGGAACGTCCCTTTGCACAGAGCAGATTTGAAACACTCTTTTTGTGGAATTTGCAAGTGGAGATTTCAAGCGATTTGATGCCAACAGTAGAAAAGGAAATATCTTCAAATAAAAACTAGACAGAATCATTCTCAGAAACTACTTTGTGATGTGTGCCTTCAACTCACAGAGTTTAACCTTTCTTTTCTTAGAGCAGTTTAGAAACACTCTGCTTGTTATGTCTGCAAGTGGATATTTGGACCTCTTTGAGGCCTTCGTTGCAAACGGGGTTTCTTCCTTTAATGCTAGACTAAGAAGAGTTCTCAGTAACTTTTTTGTGTTGTGTGTATTCAACTCACAGAGTTGAACCTTGCTTTAGAGAGAGCAGATTTGAAACACTCTTGCTGTGGCATTTTCAGGTGGAGATTTCAAGTGATTTGAGGACAATTGCAGAAAAGGAAATATCTTCGTATAACAACCAGACAGAATCATTCTCAGAAAGTGCTTTGTGATGTGTGCGTTCAACTCACAGAGTTTAACCTTTCTTTTCATAGAGGAGTTTGGAAACACACTGTTTGTAAAGTCTGCAATTGGATATATGGACCTGTTTGAGGCCTTCGTTGGAAACGGGATTTCTTCATTGCATGCTAGACGGAAGAATTCTCAGTAAATTCTTTGTGTTGTGTGCATTCAACTCACAGAGTGGAACGTCCCTTTAGACAGAGCAGAATTGAAACACTCTTTTTGCGGAATTTGCAAGTGGAGATTTCTAGCCATTTGATGCCAACAGTAGAAAGGGAAATATCTTCAAATAAAAACCAGACAGAATCATTCTCAGAAAATTCTTTGTGATGTGTGCGTTCAACTCACATAGTTTAACCTTTCTTTTCATAGAGCAGTTTGGAAACACTCTGTTTGTAAAGTCTGCAAGTGGATATATGGACCGCATTGAGGCCTTCGTTGGAAACGGGATTTCTTCATTTCATGCTAGACAGAAGAATTCTGAGTAACTTCTTTGTGCTGTGTGTATTCAACTCACAGAGTAGAACGTCCCTTTGCACAGAGCAGTTTTGAAACACACTTTTTGTGGAATTTGCAAGTGGAGATTTCAAGCGATTTGATGCCAACAGTAGAAAAGGAAATATCTTCAAATAAAAACTAGACAGATCATTCTCAGAAACTACTTTGTGATGTGTGCCTTCAACTCACAGAGTTTAACCTTTCTTTTCTTAGAGCAGTTTAGAAACACTCTGCTTGTTATGTCTGCAAGTGGATATTTGGACCTCTTTGAGGCCTTCGTTGCAAACGGGGTTTCTTCCTTTCATGCTAGACTAAGAAGAGTTCTCAGTAACTTTTTTGTGTTGTGTGTATTCAACTCACAGAGTTGAACCTTGCTTTAGAGAGAGCAGATTTGAAACACTCTTGCTGTGGCATTTTCAGGTGGAGATTTCAAGCGTTTTGAGGACAATTGCAGAAAAGGAAATATCTTCGTATAATAACCAGACAGAATCATTCTCAGAAAGTGCTTTGTGATGTGTGCGTTCCACTCACAGAGTTTAACCTTTCTTTTCATAGAGGAGTTTGGAAACACACTGTTTGTAAAGTCTGCAAGTGGATATATGGACCTGTTTGAGGCCTTCGTTGGAAACGGGATTTCTTCATTGAATGCTAGACGGAAGAATTCTCAGTAAATTCTTTGTGTGGTGTGCATTCAACTCACAGAGTGGAACGTCCCTTTAGACAGAGCAGATTTGAAACACTCTTTTTGCGGAATTTGCAAGTGGAGATTTCTAGCCATTTGATGCCAACAGTAGAAAGGGAAATATCTTCAAATAAAAACCAGACAGAATCATTCTCAGAAAATTCTTTGTGATGTGTGCGTTCAACTCACATAGTTTAACCTTTCTTTTCATAGAGCAGTTTGGAAACACTCTGTTTGTAAAGTCTGCAAGTGGATATATGGACCGCATTGAGGCCTTCGTTGGAAACGGGATTTCTTCATTTCATGCTAGACAGAAGAATTCTCAGTAACTTCTTTGTGCTGTGTGTATTCAACTCACAGAGTGGAACATCCCTTTGCACAGAGCAGATTTGAAACATTCTTTTTGTGGAGTTTGCAAGTGGAGATTTCAAGCGATTTGATGCCAACAGTAGAAAAGGAAATATCTTCAAATAAAAACTAGACAGAATCATTCTCAGAAACTACTTTGTGATGTGTGCCTTCAACTCACAGAGTTTAACCTTTCTTTTCTTAGAGCAGTTTAGAAACACTCTGCTTGTTATGTCTGCAAGTGGATATTTGGACCTCTTTGAGGCCTTCGTTGCAAACGGGGTTTCTTCCTTTCATGCTAGACTAAGAAGAGTTCTCAGTAACTTTTTTGTGTTGTGTGTATTCAACTCACAGAGTTGAACCTTGCTTTAGAGAGAGCAGATTTGAAACACTCTTGCTGTGGCATTTTCAGGTGGAGATTTCAAGCGATTTGAGGACAATTGCAGAAAAGGAAATATCTTCGTATAATAACCAGACAGAATCATTCTCAGAAAGTGCTTTGTGATGTGTGCGTTCAACTCACAGAGTTTAACCTTTCTTTTCATAGAGGAGTTTGGAAACACACTGTTTGTAAAGTCTGCAATTGGATATATGGACCTGTTTGAGGCCTTCGTTGGAAACGGGATTTCTTCATTGAATGCTAGACGGAAGAATTCTCAGTAAATTCTTTGTGTTGTGTGCATTCAACTCACAGAGTGGAACGTCCCTTTAGACAGAGCAGATTTGAAACACTCTTTTTGCGGAATTTGCAAGTGGAGATTTCTAGCCATTTGATGCCAACAGTAGAAAGGGAAATATCTTCAAATAAAAACCAGACAGAATCATTCTCAGAAAATTCTTTGTGATGTGTGCGTTCAACTCACATAGTTTAACCTTTCTTTTCATAGAGCAGTTTGGAAACACTCTGTTTGTAAAGTCTGCAAGTGGATATATGGACCGCATTGAGGCCTTCGTTGGAAACGGGATTTCTTCATTTCATGCTAGACAGAAGAATTCTCAGTAACTTCTTTGTGTTGTGTGTATTCAACTCACAGATTGGAACGTCCCTTTACACAGAGCAGATTTGAAACACTCTTTTTGTGGAATTTGCAAGTGGAGATTTCAAGCGATTTGATGCCAACAGTAGAAAAGGAAATATCTGCAAACAAAAACTAGACAGAATCATTCTCAGAAACTACTTTGTGATGTGTGCCTTCAACTCACAGAGTTTAACCTTTCTTTTCTTAGAGCAGTTTAGAAACACTCTGCTTGTTATGTCTGCAAGTGGATATTTGGACCTCTTTGAGGCCTTCGTTGCAAACGGGGTTTCTTCCTTTAATGCTAGACTAAGAAGAGTTCTCAGTAACTTTTTTGTGTTGTGTGTATTCAACTCACAGAGTTGAACCTTGCTTTAGAGAGAGCAGATTTGAAACACTCTTGCTGTGGCATTTTCAGGTGGAGATTTCAAGCGATTTGAGGACAATTGCAGAAAAGGAAATATCTTCGTATAATAACCAGACAGAATCATTCTCAGAAAGTGCTTTGTGATGTGTGCGTTCCACTCACAGAGTTTAACCTTTCTTTTCATAGAGGAGTTTGGAAACACACTGTTTGTAAACTCTGCAAGTGGATATATGGACCTGTTTGAGGCCTTCGTTGGAAACGGGATTTCTTCATTGAATGCTAGACGGAAGAATTCTCAGTAAATTCTTTGTGTTGTGTGCATTCAACTCACAGAGTGGAACGTCCCTTTAGACAGAGCAGATTTGAAACACTCTTTTTGCGGAATTTGCAAGTGGAGATTTCTAGCCATTTGATGCCAACAGTAGAAAGGGAAACATCTTCAAATAAAAACCAGACAGAATCATTCTCAGAAAATTCTTTGTGATGTGTGCGTTCAACTCACATAGTTTAACCTTTCTTTTCATAGAGCAGTTTGGAAACACTCTGTTTGTAAAGTCTGCAAGTGGATATATGGACCGCATTGAGGCCTTCGTTGGAAACGGGATTTCTTCATTTCATGCTAGACAGAAGAATTCTCAGTAACTTCTTTGTGCTGTGTGTATTCAACTCACAGAGTGGAACGTCCCTTTACACAGAGCAGATTTGAAACACTCTTTTTGTGGAGTTTGCAAGTGGAGATTTCAAGCGAT